>NT_187383.1:730465-1048989 GCF_000001405.40 Homo sapiens | reverse complement strand
CAGGAAGTCAATCCTTTCAACTGTCTGTGCTCCATAGAAACAATTGTCTGCACTGGGAGTCATATGAGGTACAGACAACAGCCAGACTTCTGATCCTCTCATTAGTGATTTCAGAAGAAATTACCAGTCAACTGAGTAACTCACTGAGTATAGTAAACATTTGGCACTGAAAGAGGTTAGACGGATAACTATTTGTATCACCATATTCATGAAGCTGGAATATTTTCCATTACTGGTATCACATCCGAATGGAAGATGTTAAAAGGTCTCTCATCATGTAAGATAGATATGAAAGAACATTTTCTGAGAAACGAAATTATTAACACACCTGTGAGGTGCATGGAAGAGAAAAAAAGAATAATCACCTTGAGTTCTTCTCCTTGATAAGAGAACTCACTAAAAACATAAAGAGAAAAATACAAGTTTAAAATAATTAACCAGAAGAAGACGACTCTAGAGATTTTAAATTGCTGATAAGATTTTAATTTGCTCCAAGTTGAAAATAATTATATTGCTTGTGTTTTAAGGCACATAATGAGCAATTATATCACACATGATAGTTTCAGCAGTAAAATATGATCCGTTAACAGCTGGAACTCATAAAAGCATAGCACAATGTGAAGATGGAATTTGCTAAAAGAAACCATCTGCTGAAAACTGCTATCCTGCAAATTTAAAAATAAAGTTTAAATGTTATTTGTCTTATTTAATAGGTCTGTGAAAAAAATGCGCTATTTGAAAAGTAGCTGCTACCTTAATTAATTCTTTATATTAGACGGCTGGTTACAGTAATGCACAGTAAGGTGCTACATAGATATATTGCTAAATTTTCTGCATATACTATGTATTTGGCTTAAATTATTTGAAATTTTATAGTTAAAATAACAAATGTATATTTAAATGTTGTGACACAAATTGCAAATATACCTTTAAAAAGCGTCTTACACTCTAAATATTATTTGTCACCTATATATTTGTCTTTCCTCTATAGGAAAGTTTAAATTCTTCCCTTGAAGCTTTAATTATTGGAGTCTATAAAATAAACTGATAATGTACAAATTAACAGGAAAAAAAGGTTTACAGATATGTGCACAAGTATGCACTTGGAGTTTACATAATATATATAAATATATCTATACAAATATTTGTATATTATAAAGAGATATACAAATATATACTCTTTATATAAAAACTCCAGGAAAGGCAAGGTAGTCAACACGCCTATGCTGTCTTGAGGTTACAGAAAACACAGAGCTGTAGGTTGGTAAATCAGGCTTTGCGGAAGACAGGTGACGACAAGGAAGAAAGAGGAGCCTGGCAGCAGAGGTGGTCTTGTTACATGGATGAAACCTCACAGGGAGCAGCCCTCCTCTTGGGAAGTATAGATAGGAAATGGTTTTTAGAAATGTAAACGTGCCAGGCTCAGTTAATCATTCCAAAACCCAGACAAGGGAGTATCTCAGGGAAAGCCTGTATATATCAATGCAGATTTTCTCTACAAATGCAAATCTCCCCAACAAACACAGCTTTTCAGCTATTCTTGTAGAAGAAGCTATCTCCAGTCTTCCAAGTAGCCATCTTGAAATATGTCAAAAAGCTGGCCAGGCGCACGCCTGTAATCCCAGCACTTTGGGAGGCTGAAGTGGGTAGATCGCCAGAAGTCAGGAGTTGGAGACCAGCCTGACCTACATGGTGAAACCCCGTCTCTACTAAATACAAAAAATTAGCCGAGTGTGGTGGTGCATGCCTGTAATCTCAGCTACTTGGGAGGCTGAGCTAGGAGAATTACTTGACCCTGGGAGGCTGAGGTTGCAGTGAGCCAAGATTGTGCCATTGCACTCTAGCCTGGGCAATAAAAACAAAACTCCGTCTCAAAAAAATAATGTATTTTAGGGTAATATTTTGAGTATCTTTACCTCCATATGTACAATAAAAATTATTGCGATTTTTAATCTTTTCTGTGGAGAAAACACAGTTGTGATTTCTAGTGTAGCTGAACATCGTTTATTTGACAATATTGCACTTCTGTGTGGGTGTGTGCATGTGTAGCTACTTTTTAATTTGGTTCTCACAAAATGATTAGATACTAACAATTAATTCAGTAAAATGTATGTTTTGCAACATTTCTCCATGTTATTATGCTTTAAATTAGTTTAATCATGCCCCTATAATGTGTACATTTTAACCTTTGACTACAGGTCTCAATCCTACTTTGGTTCCTGTATTTGAATTTATGCTAATAAAGTCCTACAGCTAAAAAAGATTACATAAACTTTTTAATATAATTTTTACTAGTATTCTGGTGTCATTTTAAATTACGTAATGAAATCACATTTTAATTTGGATTATTGTTATCTGAGTTAAAGATCTAAATTTTTAATTTTCTTATAAATATTACATAATTATTTCTGAACCATATATTGACTAATCTGCCCTTTATAGGATGTGCATTATAAGAGCTTGGGATTGTTTCATTTGCAAAGATGAATGCTTGAGAAGTAGATATTTAATCATAACATTTCAAAATCTACTGGATAACCTAGAATTGAAAAATAGCCTATAGGTTGAAAAACTCCTGTAGTGAAGAAAGAAAATAACTAATATACAGTGACAATATAAATATTATAAGTATTTATTTTATTATCACCCTGAAATTTGATAATACAAACATGTAATATCTACATATCATCCATATATCAGGTCATAAAAAATCAATACATTCTTCAAAAATTTAGAATAACAGAAAATGCACTCTCTCTCCTTGATGGAATTAAGTTACAAATAAAAGTAAAAATAAGTAGATAAGTAGATGGAAGTAGATGTTTAAAAACAAAGAAAAATATTTGTTTTGGATAACATAAAATCTCAATTGACAATTCCAATATTTCCAGAACTTTGCCTGTCAACTGGTAGAGAGTTTTCCCCAGGAGACATTTGTCAATGTCTAGGGTTATTGTGGGGATGTCAAGACTGGTGGAGGTGTGAAATTTAGAGGTCAAACGAAACACCTAACATTGCTAGGGCAGCCTCCCACAACAAAGAATCCTCTGGTCCTAAAGGTAAGTAGCACCAAGATTGAGAAACCATAATCTAGACAGGAAACACTACGTAGCTATTCCAAGTGCTCAGGAAAACACATCAGTGCCCTCGAGGGGAAAAGTGTAAACATTTTAATTGCTGTACATGGTGACACAAATCCATGTTGTTAATCTAAGTGGAAGGGGCTGAAGCACAAAACATAATTCAAAGAGTTTACTTGAGCCACAATGAGGACAGCTGCCTGGAAGAAACAGACCCAAGTATCCTTGGATATGAACTCCCTTTGGAGCTTTGCAACAAGCAGTTTCTTAAAGGCAAAAAAGGGTCCAGAAGTGGGATGATGCAAAGAGGTTTGTCACAAATTCTCATTGGCTTATGGAAATAACATTTATTAGTGACTGGCTATACACTGTTACACTATTTTGGGGTGTGGATTATAGTGTCTGGTGTGGCGTTATTGGTTAATTTATAGCTACTGTGGCAACAGCAAGCAGCCTAGATGAACACACAGCTCAAAGAGGAGCAGGACAGAACTGCTGTCTCATTTGAATAACTCTCTGGGCCTGATTATATAAAAGGACTTGCATTTCTCACATGAAAGTTATTTTCTTTTCTCAATGTCCATAAATGAGAATAAATAGACGTAAGATACATCTTTTCGAGGATGAGGTAAATGGAATGAAAAACAAAACCCAAGCTGACCAGAAATCATTGAGGGAAGAAAAGGATATAAATACATGGATTTTTTCAATGTGATTTTAAGCTATTAGGAATCAGTTAAATGTTGGGGGAATTTGTCTGAGAATGGGCTAAAGAGAATGTCGCTTTTGCCTTCTGAAGTTTCCCTGAAAATCACTAATAGGAGGCAGATAAATAGTAGAAAAGGCATACAGGTTTCTGCAATGTGTGTACACTGGAACCCTTAGAACGAAGACCCAGTCACACGATGCGAGCAGAAGCTTATCTACCACATGAAGTTTACAGAAAAATGGGGTCTTGGATCACAGGGAAAAGAAAGAAAAAGGTTATGTGAGAAAACGACCCTGGCTAGCAACAGTGGACTTATTACATTGGTGGAACCTCACTGGGAGTAGTCCTCAGAGAGAATAGACAGAAAATGTTTCTTTCAGACCTTTAGAGACCTCAGCCTCTCAGTTAACCTTTCCTAGATCCAGACAAGGGGGCAGACCTCAGAGAAAACCTGGCTGCATCATGGCAGATTCTCTACCGATGCAAATCTCCCCAAGACAGCTTTGCAGCTAACATTGCATTTGCAGCCCTTCTCAATAGCCATTTTGAAATATATCAAGGAAATATATTTAGGGGTAAAATATATTAGTTTCCTTCATACAGCTGTAAAACATACAGGAATAATTTTTGTCAATGTCTACTACAAATCCAATATAGCAGTAACTATGAAACCCACCAGATATTGATGAAAAAATATGTAGAGTACCTCAATTACAAATGTTGATACTAAAATGCCAAATAAAATACAAATAATATCCAACAATATTTGAAACAGTAAGACAAGAAATTGGCAAAAAAAAAAAAAAAACAAATATCCACATTTGGGATGAAAGTGTGTTTCCAAATTTGGTAATCCAGTAATATTAATAATCATATTGATTAGCCCAAACTAAAAATAAATAGGCGATTCTCAGTACATGGTAAAATATATTTGTTAAAAGGCAATATTCATGTCTTTAAAGATTTTAAATGCTACAAAGAGTCTGATATTCTATATGCAAACGTGTATGTCCATTAGAAGAAGAGAGGCCTGATTTTCATATGTTACTACATAGAGATAGAGAAGTGGATAGATTAATTTGCATATGCATAGAGAAAGCATAAAATAGAATTTACTATCATATTAAAGGAATTTTAATTCAACAATAAAATAATTCAAAGGTAAAATTTTAAATATTTTTAACAGGTACATTATTAGTATTAGATAATATTTATAATAATTGTGAAAATATTCAGCGCTAAAATAAGATACAATGTCTAAACATCAGTATTAAAACTAGTATAAATATTTGCTTGTTTATACAAGGAAAATTCAAGCTCAACCTCAAATTATAAGGGAAATAAAAGAAAAATATTAAGGGAGCTCTTTAATGACATAAACATATATATATAAACACACACATATTACATGTATATATGTTATATGGGATAGATATAGATTTAACAGGTTATATCTATATTTGTATCTGTAACTACAGCTGTATGTATCCACATTTCTATATATTTACTCAGTGATATAAATGTAGACTGGAATAAATATAAAGACACATATGATTCTTGAATAAAAAGGATTTAGTATCATAAAGACAAATTCTTTCCAAATTCACTTATGAATTCACAACAATATACAGTTTCATTAGTATAATTTAATATTTCTAAATAAATTCCAAGATTCATTTAAAGGAATATACATGTATACAAGCAGTCGAGAAAGAAGCAAGAGGGCACTAAACTAACTTGCTATTAAAATACATTTTTAAACTTAGTCACTAAAACTGAGCAGTACTGATTTGGAGTACTGGAATTTAGGTGTATGGGATCTCAAAAGCACAGAGCTCAAAGGAGGCCCCTGTATGCACGAGAGCTTAGGATGTGCTTTAGAAGGCATTACCAAACCTCGGGCAAAGTTACTTTAGTGTCTTAGTCTTACTAGGTTTGAAAAGCCAGAGAAAAGACTCAAGACCACCATATAAGAGCAAAACAAAAGGACAGGGAGAGAATGTGAAGATACTGAAACATTTTACATAAAGTTGTATAAAACATCCTTTAAAGAAAATATAAACTTTAGGATATACATCAAAATCAGCAGAGCCACTATATAAATAAATAGGCATTGTAAAATAACAAGAGAAAATTTAAATGGATTTCTAAAAAATATTGACACCTATGATTTTTAAAATATGTTTAAGAAATCCCGTATTTCACAGGGCAGCCTTTCACAACACAGATATGTTAGGACATAAAGGTCCTTCTGTTTTTAATTTACTAGTGTTTATAGGGTTACAAATGTCTTCTACACTTGTCTTTTGTCTGATGGTGCAAAAAATTTTCATAAGCATGTATTTCTGAATGCCTGATGGATTGACATATATAATAAGCTGCTAGTATTAAAATATGAGACGGAAAACGCATCCAATCTTCTCACTGTTTACGTAAATTCTAGGTTTCTCCTCTTTACCTCAAGCACATATGGATCGAATTCTTACCTTTTAATATTGCCATGGCATTCACATTGAACATAAGTTGAACTCTCTCATATGGTAGCTGGGTTCGGATTCTCTTGACAATTTCCAGTTCTAACCTTCACAGTTCCTCAGTGTGGTTGGCCCAGATATTGACCCTACACAGTTGTCTCCTCGTGGTGACTACCAGCTATGGAATCGTTGGATACAACCTACCTGACTCACCCCACAGACTTCACAGCACACATGGACAGCACCCACATGCCACAGTAACCAGCTCGGTTGCAGCGGGAGTCAAGAAATGTGCCTGCTGGCACTCACCCTACTGACTAGTACCCCGTGGAAAACTTATTTGGGTAATGTTCTGGGCCAAATAATGGCTGGAGTCCCACAGACCCCTTTTCTGTCTCCTGCTCCCCACTCATCTTCCCCATTTTGTTCAGCCCTATGAGGTGTGCTACTGTATCAGTCCATTTTCACACTGCCGGTAAAGACATGCCCAAGACTGGGTAATTTCCAGAAGAAAGAGGTTTAATAGACGCACGATTCCACATGGCTGGGTAGGCCTCACAATCATGCCGCAAGCTGAAAGGCACATCTCACATGGCAGCAGACAAGACAAGAGAGATTGTGCAGGGAAACTCCCCTTTATAAAACCATCAGATCTTGTGAGACTTATTCACTATCAGAAGAACAGCATGGGAAAGACCTGCCCCCGTGATTCAATTACCTCCCACCTGTTCCCTCCCACAACATGTGGGAAATCAAGATGAGATTTGGCTGGGGACACAGCTAAACCCTCTTCTCAGCTACCCTCTTCTCTCTGGATCTGTGAGTAATAAACCTACTTCTGTGATTTCCCATGTTTGGTTCTGTGGCCTCCATGTGTCTGAGCTGACCTACACTGGAACCTAACTCTCTTCCTGGCCAGGGTCTCTGAGAGTGGCTCTTGTCAGAAATACACAGGACACAAGTCAGGCAACAGTCACTAGGCATCTCCTAGTCTCAACAGATGTTCTGTGAGAGGGAGGCCTGGCCGTGGGATGCACACCTGGCCACTGCTGGGGTAAGGAAGTGTCCTGTGAAAGGCACATGTTAAGCATCCACAACCCCCTGACCAGAACCCCAGAAAGGCAGGGCTCCAATTGACAGTCACTCTCCAGAGACAAACCTCAAGCCCTAACTGGAGGAAAAGAAAACAATGTAAAAAGTTCAATTTATCTTACTATTTTAATGATCCAGTAAAGACATTCTATGCCTGTACACCACATATTTTCTTCAATTGTGGATTTATTTTAGATAGAATTTTAGGTCTGGCTTTCACTTTAGCCTGGTCCCTACCTCAAGCATAAGGTAAAGATTTTCCATGCGTTCTTTTCTCGTACTACTACCTGCCAGTGTGGGGTCATGTCCTAGTCTATCTTGAGGGAATCCCCCTGTTCATTATTGTCAGAGTGAGACTGTTAAGTCTTGATTTCCCTGGACAACTTCACTGCATGACTTTTAATATGATTTTTTAATATACCCTTTACTGGAAAATAAATTCTATAGTTATCTGAGTAAGAGATATGGTCAGGAAGAGGCATTGCCTCATTCAGCTTTTCTCTTTGGTGAACTCGCATATGTTCTCCTCACCCGCCAGTCACCTCTAAACCGTATTGTTCCAAGACAACAAACAGAACTCGAGTGTGTATCTTTCACCACTGGATTTGTGTTTGCTCCATAAAGCTTCATGCTTAACAGAGTTTCCGTTAGCATTTTCTCTATTTATTTTCCCATAAAATATCACAGGCCTTCTTCATATGGAATTATGGGTGATTTCCTTCAATCTGCATCATATCAAGTTGAGGTTCATGTTGATGAAAAGTAAAACATACATTGAAAATATCAGTAAGGATGTTTTCCCCTCCTTTTTAGCACCTGTGCTTGTGATACAAGCACATTTTAATACAACTGTACTCTCATGCTTTGATCATTCCTATGATGAAAATAACATTTTTAGATAAAATATCTGAGTTTTATGAGGCCTTTAGTATGTGATGTGATAGAATATCAGAAGACCATACTTTTTTCTAGTTGTCCGTGCAATTCTATCATTGTTTCATCTTTACTCCTACCAGAGTAATTTTCCAAAATACATATCTTGTCATTCTTCCTGTTGTTATCAGTAAAAAAGTGAAATGAAAAGCTAGATTATATAATTTATCTACAACAAGAAAGTAGAATTGAATCTATATTCATTAATGAGTCTAACCAGTCAATTACACAGACAGGCATTTTACATTTTGAAGATCATATGGACCCACTGTCAGAAATATTATTTTTTATGTCTATATGGACATCACCTGTGCATATTTACATAGAAATCAATGAGAGTTGATTTTTATTATTATATATATTTTTTGAGATGGGGTCTTCCTTTGTTGCCTAGGCTGGAGTGCAGTGGTGCAATCGCTACACAAATCAATAAATGTAATCCAGCATATAAACAGAGCCAAAGACAAAAACCACATGATTATCTCAATAGATGCAGAAAAGGCCTTTGACAAAATTCAACAACCCTTCATGCTAAAAACTCTCAATAAATTAGGTATTGATGGGAGGTATTTCAAAATAATAAGAGCTATCTATGACAAGCCCACAGCCAATATCACACTGAATGGGCAAAAACTGGAAGCATTCCCTTTGAAAACTGGCACAAGACAGGGATGCCCTCTCTCACCACTCCTATTCAACAAAGTGTTGGAAGTTCTGGCCAGGGCAATTAGGCAGGAGAAGGAAATAAAGGGTATTCAATTAGGAAAAGAGGAAGTCAAATTGTCCCTGTTTGCAGATGACATGATTGTATATCTAGAAAACCCCATTGTATCAGCCCAAAATCTCCTTAAGCTGGTAAGCAACTTCAGCAAAGTCTCAGGATACAAAATCAATGTACAAAAATCACAAGCATTCTTATACACCAACAACAGACAAACAGAGAGCCAAATCATGAGTGAACTCCCACTCACAATCGCTTCTAAGAGAATAAAATACCTAGGAATCCAACTTACAAGGGATGTGAAGGACCTCTTCAAGGAGAACTACAAACCACTGCTCAAGGAAATAAAAGAGGATACAAACAAATGGAAGAACATTCCCTGCTCATAGGTAGGAAGAATCAGTATCGTGAAAATGGCCATACTGCCCAAGGTAATTTACAGATTCAATGCCATCCCCATCAAGCTACCAATGCCTTTCTTCACAGAATTGGAAAAAACTACTTTAAAGTTCATATGGAACCAAAAAAAGAGCCCGCATCACCAAGTCAATCCTAAGCCAAAAGAACAAAGCTGGAGGCATCACACTACCTGACTTCAAACTATACTACAAGGCTACAGTAACCAAAACAGCATGGCACTGGTACCAAAACAGAGATATAGATCAATGGAACAGAACAGAGCCCTCAGAAATAACGCTGCATATCTACAACTATCTGATCTTTGACAAACCTGAGAAAAACAAGCAATGGGGAAAGGATTCCCTATTTAATAGATGGTGGTGGGAAAATTGGCTAGCCATATGTAGAAAGCTGAAACTGGATCCCTTCCTTACACCTTATACAGAAATCAATTCAAGATGGATTAAAGACTTAAATGTTAGACCTAAAACCATAAAAACCCTAGAAGAAAACCTAGGCATTACCATTCAGGACATAGGCATGGGCAAGGACTTCATGTCTAAAACACCAAAAGCAATGGCAACAAAAGACAAAATTGACAAATGGGATCTAATTAAACTAAAGAGCTTCTGCACAGCAAAAGAAACTACCATCAGAGTGAACAGGCAACCTACAAAATGGGAGAAAATTTTCACAACCTACTCATCTGACAAAGGGCTAATATCCAGAATCTACAATGAACTCAAACAAATGTACAAGAAAAAAACAAACAACCCCATCAAAAAGTGGGCGAAGGACATGAACAGACACTTCTCAAAAGAAGACATTTATGCAGCCAAAACACACATGAAAAAATGCTCACCATCACTGGCCATCACAGAAATGCAAATCAAAACCACAATGAGATATCATCTCACACCAGTTAGAATGGCAATCATTAAAAAGTCAGGAAACAACAGGTGCTGGAGAGGATGTGGAGAAATAGCAACACTTTTACACTGTTGGTGGGACTGTAAACTAGTTCAACCATTGTGGAAGTCAGTGTGGCGATTCCTCAGGGATCTAGAACTAGAAATACCATTTGACCCAGCCATCCCATTACTGGGTATATACCCAAAGGACTATAAATCATGCTGCTATAAAGACACATGCACACGTATGTTTATTGCGGCATTATTCACAATAGCAAAGACTTTGAACCAACCCAAATGTCCAACAATGATAGACTGGATTAAGAAAATGTGGCACATATACACCATGGAATACTATGCAGCCATAAAAAACGATGAGTTCATGTCCTTTGTAGGGACATGGATGAAATTGGAAATCATCATTCTCAGTAAACTATCGCAAGAACAAAAAACCAAACGCCGCATATTCTCACTCATAGGTGGGAATTGAACAATGAGATCACATGGACACAGGAAGGGGTACATCACACTCTGGGGACTGTTGTGGGGTGGGGGGAGTGGGGAGGGATAGCACTGGGAGATATACCTAATGCTAGATGACAAGTTAGTGGGTGCAGCGCACCAGCATGGCACATGTATACATATGTAACTAACCTGCACAATGTGCACATTTACCCTAAAACTTAAAGTATAATAATAAAAGAAAAAAAAAAACTTTAAAAAAAAGTTTTTTTAAAACTTGAGTTGTTCAATAAAAAGTAAACTTCATAAATTCACATTTTAAAATAATTAGAACTACCTCATAGACGCACGGTACCTTCTAGGTTGCTAAAGCCCTCTTCATGTCTCTGAGGCTGAAAAACACAGGAACCACTGCTTTAGGTGCCCTGTGAGACAGGCCCTGCTCACCACAGAAGCGCAAGCTCACACAGCTTCCTAGAAGGCAAACTTGAAGTACCAGAATCAAGTTCTTTCAAGTGCTAATGTTGGTGCTGGGTCCTAGTGTAAAGCCAATTTCCCTTATCATACAGTAACTGAGCACAAGTTCACCTACTGGTTTCAGCTGATTCAATGGGCAAATGTGACACGTCCGCATGTCAGAGAACTGCACGGTGATTTTGCCCTTCGGGGTGATGCCAGTCACAGTGCCTTCTCCAAACTCATCGTGCACAATTTGGCCGCCCAGGCACAGGCGACCATCGATGCCTCCAATCACAGCCAGGACCGCCATGAGGCCCCCCACTTCAGGGTTCTCGGAGTCGGGGAAGTAGTCCTCTAACTGGGCCTAGTGCAGACCAAACAGTGAGCTCGACCAGGGACACTCACGGAGCTGCCCAATCCCTACAAGTTTACTGTTCAACTAAATTAATTCTGAGAACACAAACTCACCCCTTCAGAAGGCCTTCCCGCAAAGCTGTGGGTGATGGAGCGGAGCTGGGAGTTGATGTACTTGTTGATGAGCCCATTCCACTGAGTCAGGGAGTGCAGCGTGCACAGCAGTGCCACCACCACCTCCACCAGTGTGCTGCTATGGGTGGCAGTCAGCAAGGCCTGCGGGCGCACCCTGCGCCACCTCGGCATGGACTCTGAGGAGGAAACAAGGGGAGAAGCTGCTGCACTGCTCTTCACCAGGACACAGGGAAGGGAGACGGCCACCGACCTCTGAGTGATGGCACTGTGCCGCAATTCACCAGGGCACAGGGAAGGGAGACAGCCACCCACCTCTGAGTGATGGCACTGTGCCGCTCTTCACCAGGGCATGGGGAAGGGAGACGGCCACCCACCTCTGAGTAATGGCACGTCAGAGGAGCAGGTAGTGAGCAAGCTCCCCAAGAAGTCAAACAGCTTCTCCACCAGGCATTTCATGTCCCTCGCCCTTTTGGTCTTGTCCCATGACCGAAGGACTGCTTGCAACAAATGCACAGCTAAGATCTGATAAAAGAAAACTTAAAATAACAAGCATTAAAAATCTGATTAAGAAACTACAGACTGTTACTTTCTCTTTTCTTTCTTTTTTTTTTTTTTTTTTTTTTTGAGACAGAGTCTCGCACTGTCACCCGGGCTGGAGTGCAGTGGCACGGTCTCGGCTCACTACAACCTCCACTTCCCAGGTTCAAGCGATTCTCCTTGCCTTAGCTTCCTGAGTAGCTGGGATTACAGGCACCCACCACCAAGCCCGGCTCATTTTTCTTGGATTTTTAGTAGAGACAGGATTTCACTATGTTGGCCAGGCTGGTCTCAAACTCCTGACCTCATGATCCACCTGCCTCGGCCTCCCAAAGTGCTGGGATTACAGGCATGAGCCACTGCGCCCAGCCTCTCTTTATTTTCTGTTCTCATAATGCAAATAATCATGTGAAAATTTTGAGATTCGTTATTTTACAGCCAGGTAATTACACTCAAGTTGATTAGTGATTAGGATTGTCAGGGACTTTAGAAAAAAGCAACATTACAGATGCATGTGTTTAATTAAAAAAGAATTATTTTTAGTTTAATTCTTAAGACAATTATGCTACAAATTCTGTGAAGCAGATGAGCAAGTAGTTGCAGGATTTACCACTTAAAAGCAGGTAAACTAAAGGTTAGTAACTTACCAATTATCAAGGACCACTGCCCCTTGCCTCCAGAAAATCTACCCTGTTACTTCTAGACCCTTTCTGCACTCCTTACTGAATAAAGGCCCGACTCTAAGGGCAGGGAACTTCAGTACATGGATGCCTCTCTCAGGGAACTGGTTTTGCCTGGCAGCACGTTACCTGCCTCTGCAGCGAGGCGGCAGGGAAGGGTGCGTGCCCTTTCATGACCTTCATGAGCAGCGTGATCCACTGCGGGGAGCTGAGGGCGCCGCACACCTGCGGCGTGAGAGCGATGCTCCGCACAAACCCCAGCATGCACCAGCTCCGGTGTTGCTCCCTGTACACCAGCCTGTTTGGAGAAGCTGCGGGAGGGAAAATAGACATGCTTGGTAACAAGTCCCTAAAGACAAATCCCTAAAGATAAATCCTTATTTTTTTATCAACTTATTTTATTTTCTACAATAAGCTCCTTTAAAATATATTGCAGTTTGTAAATTAATTCAAACTAATTCAAAGTGAGAAGTGCAAGAAGGCTTTTAAGGTAGTTCAAGAAACATTTCCGCATTTTTGTTTTTTTTTTTTTTTTTTTTTTTTTTTTTTTAAGAGATGGGCCCTGCCCTCACTACGTTGCCCAGGCTGGTCTAAAACTCCTTCAAGTGATTCTCCTGCCTTGCCCTGCTGAATAGCTGAGACTACAGGTATTTTTAAAACCTTCTAAGTATGTGTAGTAAAAGTAGTTAGGGAATTTTAGCTATGTATTGTTTCTAGGCAATAAGAAAATGATCTATAATTCAAATAGCAGTAATTTGCAACAGTGTATCTACTGTATTTTTAATTTTGTGTTTTAAATATCTCCACAATCTTGCTTATATTTAATCTGCACCACTTAAATACTTTTTTTGCATTTTTAGTAGAGACAGTTTCCAATCCAAGTTTAATACATCTGCATTAACAAAATGAGTTTTTCACTAGGTTTACACCACTGGATTCTGGCACCAGTGGGCCCACCTCTGCTCCGCCTGGCTCCAGGACTCCATTACTCCCTGAATGGAGGCTGAGGCTTGGAGGCTGGGCCCCCCTAAGGGACCCCGCCCACAGCCCCACAGGACCTGCTCTCGCCTCCCACCTCCCACCCGCCCACCTCCCCCGCCCTCAGCTATCCAAGCTTTTGAGGACACCTGCCTTCCTTCAGCATACTCACATGCGCTCACACACACACACTCTCACACCCTCACATGCATCCTCACACCCACACCAAGTTATTCAGACACACTCATGGGCACTCACACACCCACCCTCACACAGGTGCACTCACACCACTGTCGCAATCACTAACACACACAATCCCAGTCACACGTATGCACACACAACCTAAGATGCAATCTGACACACACTCCTATGCACTCTCACATACACTTACCCCTCCCACTGCATACAAAAACTCACATATGCACTCACACTCAACACTAGTCACAACCGATTCCTCACCCACTCACACCTTTACCCACTTTCTCACTTTACACTCACACCTACACCCACTTCCTCACTTTACTCACACCTACACTGTTACCTCCCACTGACACAAGCAAAATGCTCACATTCGCTCACACGCCTTCACAATAACGTCACTCGTGCTCACACTGATTCAAGGCACTCATACACATTTACACAAATGCTCACAATCGCACACTTACACTTGTGCTGCCACCCATACTTCCTCACACTCATCAAGCCTCACTGACTTACACTTCATCTCATTGGCACACCCAGTAATCCCCTCACACTCACACTCATGCCTCCCTCGTGCTCACCCTCACACACACACTGGCTCAATGCACTGACGCTTTCACTCCCACTTCACCTGACTGTAGTCACCTGCCCACTCACATGCTGTCACGGACATACACACCACTCACATAAATGCATGCATACATACACCCACACAACCACATGCTACAAACACACTGTCACACTTGCAACACAAACGCTCAGCCACTTGCCCATCAACCGCTAACACACTCTCACCAATATGTGCAGATGCTCCAGCACACCACTAATACATGCATGTTCTCACACACACTGGAGCACACCCACATACCCACCCTCACATGTGCTCACTCTCAGTCGCATGCACACTCACCCCACTCCCTCAGCTCACATTTCTCATACTTACTCTCCACACACACAAACACTTTATGGATTAAACTGTGCCTGTCCCCCAACTTCACATACATTCGGAACTCAGAATATGATCTTATTTAATGAGGTCTCTGTAGACGTCCTTAAGGTAAGAATTTAGGTGACATCATGTTGGATTAGAGTCAAAGAAGCTCAATGAAAGAGTCCTTTCAGAGACAGAAAAAGACATGCAGAACACAGGGGCAGGGGCCATGTGAAGACGCAGGCCTCTGAGACTGGCACAATGCGTCCCCACACCAGGGAAGCCTGGAGCTCCCAGAAGCTGGATAAGGTAAGGAAGGACCTTCCCCTAGAGCCTGTGGAGGGAGCATGGCCCTGCCCGCACCTGGATTTGGGACTTCTGGTCTCCAGAACTCTGAGAGAACAAATTTGTTGTTTGAAGCCAGTGTTATGGGTTGAATTCAGAATTGCAAAATTCGTATGTTGAAGCCCTAACCCCTACCATACCTCGGCAGGTGACCTTGTTTGGAAATAGGGCCGCTGCAGATGTAATCAGTTTGATGAGGTTGAATGATGTCCTTATGAAAAGGGGAGATTTGGAGGTGACTCACACACAGGGAGAATGCCATGTGAAGATGATGGCAGAGATCAGGGTGACCCCTCTACAAGCCGAGGAACGCTAAAGAGGCCAGCAAACTCCAGAAGCTGGGGCAGAGCCCTGAAGCAGCTTCTCCCTCACAGCCCCAGAAGGAACCACCCTTGATCTCAGTCTTCCAACCACCAGAATCATGAGAATTTCTACTGCGTAAGCCCCCAAGTTTGTAGTACTTTGTTACAGCAGCCACAGGAAATGAATCCACACACATCCACACCCACCCACATGCACACCCGGACACGACAAGCGTGCGGCCCCCAGCGCTGACTCCCTGGGCCTTCAATCTCTCATTCCATGCGTGTCTTGTCCGTCGTTCCGCTTTCCACTAATATTTGCAGCAGTCCGCATAAAGTCTTGGTGGCTTCGCTCTGCATGATCTCAGCATGAACTCTGGCAGGCAGACAAAGAGTCTGCAGTAAGTTAATAGTGCTGGTAAACATCATTGTAGTGGGGTGAATGTTCCTTTCAGTTTGTTCAGCTTCTAAAAAAAATAATCAAAATAACAAATTATATTGGCAGCCCCAGCCTCTTGGATGGTCTTACCAAGCCCAGCCATGTGAAGCTTCGCATGTCTTTTAGGAACAGCTAAGAAATGTCATGAAACCTCCTCCCACAACCTGGATCTCCACAGATAGGATCTAGCTTTCTTGGTCCACCCCTAAATTCTCACCTCTGCTTCCCTAGAAGCAATAAAGTGCTGACTAACTCCACATTACTTGAAGAGTTCAGAGTCAGGGACCGCAGAGGAAAGGTAAAGACAGGTGGCAGGTTGGGTGTGCTCAGGCGGGGGCTCTCACTGGAGGAGGAGGCAATGGACCGAGACCGCAGGGCAATTCCACCAGGCCTCGGCTCACTCGCTCAGATGCAGGCTCAGCACCAACCACATGAGACTCACTGGTGGTGCAGCTGCCCCGACCTGGCCACCACATTCTCAAAGAGGGGCAGGTGCACACGTGAGAGGAAAATGCAGAAAGTCAGTTCCAGACAGATCGCCGGATCCCACAGCCACTCCATGCACCTGCATCGGAGGTGCCTGGGAGCTTATTTAAATGGCAGGTTCCGAGGACAGAGTGCCAGCTGCAGGTGCGTCCTGACATCCCATTCTAAGGCCCAGATGGCAGTGGTGGCAGCCAGCACCTGGACAGTTTGTGGGCTGCCTTGGACTAAAGGCCTTCCTGAGTCACCCACCAGAGTCGTCCTCTGTGTCCGAATCCTCTGCTGAGGGCTGTGCAGCGGCCGGCAGCTCTGCCAGCTTGAGGTCGTATTTTCCTTCTTTCCCCATCCTGTAGGAGTTGGTGCTGCCCGTGCCCCACTGGACTCTTATCCACCCGTCCTCTCCCAGCTCACCAATCACTCGGCCTAGGCCTGGAGGAGGCCCATCCTGACAAAGCCCAAGTAGAGATCAGTTAGGAGGGTGCGTGCCTTGCCCTGGTCCTTCCATGGCTCCCAGCAGACCTCAGTTAGGCGGGTGCGTGCCCTGCCCTGGTCCTTCCATGGCTCCCAGCAGACCTCAGTTGGGAGGGTGCGTGCCCTGCCCTGGTCCTTCCATGGCTCCCACCAGACCTCAGTTGGGAGGGTGCGTGCCCTGCCCTGGTCCTTCCATGGCTCCCACCAGACCTCAGTTAGGAGGGTGCGTGCCCTGCCCTGGTCCTTCCATGGCTCCCACCAGACCTCAGTTAGAAGGGTGCGTGCTCTGTCCTGGTCCTTCCATGGCTCACACCAGACCTGCCACACAGATGTCGCCATATGCCACCCTGTCTGTCAGGGGCTGTCCCCAGACACAGATTTCACCTCTCCTACAAAATGTGTGCTTGCATCATTTTAAATTAAATGGCATAAAATAACGTGCTCATGCTGCTTTACCAAGGAAGTAGGGGAAATCTCATCTCAATGAGGATCCTCTGAGTTAATGCACAGACAGGGCTTTGCAGCAAGTCCTGACCCCTCAATCCCTCACCGGCCTTGCAAGAGCAGAAACCTGAAACAAGTACCAGCACCTGCACATTCCCTTTTCTTCAGTTTCCTCCGGGCCCCAGGGGGAAGCTCTGTCTCTCACTTCTGTAGGAGAAAGCTGTTTCTAGGATGGATGCTGCTGTCTCCAGACACTGCTATTTCTAAGATGACTGTGACAAAGCCGGGGCTTACTAGCGTGGCTGAGAAAAGCTAGACAGACCATGGGAAGGTGAACACTGCCCTAACTTAGCTAGGGCTGTGGTAAGTGACTTCCACCTGGGGGCACCTGGCAGCGATTTAGAAGACACCTGCGATGAGGGAAAATGGAGACATGGCCACAGGCCCATGAAGTATATCCCTAACTACTGGGTTCAGGGCACTTCGCAGCACGTGGCCATCAGCTCACAGGGGCAGAATCTGGGCTTCCTGCCTCAGAGCCTTCACTACACCAACTTTCAGAATGAGATTTACTCTCTTGCTCACTCTCACTCTTGTTCCAGTGACCCATCAAACTGAGCCTCATGCCAGTGAGTTTCCTGAAAAGAGCTGCCTCTCTTTCCAGACTTGATTCTGCTCAGATGCCCTACTTATGATTCCCTATTTGTGTTCACTCCCTTCAGCAGCTCGGGAACCAACACCTGTGTCATCTATCAACCGACACATCCTGGATTATTCCAATTTCCACCCACCAGTATCGTACAGACCTGTGCAGAAGATAACTAATGTGTGGCTAATGTGTTCACATCAAATCTCTGAGTACCTGATCGCCCCATTTCCAGTCCACACCTCTCATGACCCTCGTTCCAATCTTCATCGTGGCAGCCAGTTCTGGCCCTGAAACAGGGAGATGCACAGGAGCCGTTTCCTTCCTTGTTGCTTCCAAAACTGTGGCAGAAACACCTTGAGCAGAAGCATTCATATCTTCCTCAACATTGTCACAACTGGGGCCTGACAGAGCATCAAAAACAATAGCTGAGCCAACAAGTAGCTACAATGTCCCTTTAATACACACAAAACATTTAAAAAATACTAATGAAGATCATAATGTTTTGAAGAATCCATACTATATGTTTATCAATATAATACTATGAATATTTTACTGATATACGATAAAAAGAAGGTAAACGGAAGGACAAAATACATAAATATCCTAGGAAGATATAAAAGATATTAAAATGCTCAGTAAAGCTACTTTCTCTACTTCTAGGAATTACTCCCCCGTAAAAAGCAAAATAACTGAGTTAGAAAGATACTCATCACATTTTTTATTAATAGAAAAACAAAGATAACTACCTAAATATCTAACAGTGGGAAACTGACAAACTTTAATCATGGTTCTGTGCAGAAGACAGCTAACAGCTGGCCCGAGATACAACCTCAGACAGGATTGCTGCAGGCTAGCCCTCGGCTGGAGTCTGGATTTCAGGAGGGCTCCCCAATTCCCTAGGTGATAGTTGTGGTTCGCTGTGCCTGAATTGACTGTACAAACAACATGGTCTGTGCTGAAACCTGCTTTCCTTGTTCTGGAACTTGGTATGCACCAGGCACGGGGTGCCCATGTGGTCAGCCCTGATGGAAACCCTGGGCCTGGAGTCTCTACCCAGCTTCCCGGCAGACAGCACTTGACATGGCTCGGTGCCGGGGCAGTTATGCTCGTCCTGTGTGGATCCTGTGGAAGCTTGTACCTGCTTTCCTCTGGACTTTACACACGTCCTTTTTCATGATTTTGCTCTGTGTCCCTTCACTGTAATAAACTATAGCCCTGAGTACAACTACATGCTGAGTCTTGTGAGTCCTCCTGGCCAACCATCAAACCTGGAGACCCCTGACAATTGGTGCCCTGGGTGGCTACAGAGTCATCCATAGCATGAAACAGAAGCTGAGCTGCTGTCACCTGAGAGAAGTAAAACTTACCAATGGATTTGAAAATAGGAGAGCTAACCCTAGGAGAGTAGGCTAGATTTTTAACCCCCCTTTTCTCACTTGCTAAACTGAGAGCGGGTAGGAGTGCGGTTCTGGTAACTCCCTTGATTTTAGTTTTCTCCTCCAGGTGGGAGGGAAAAAGATCCAAACGGTCCCAAAGGTGGGCTTGGGTGAGCCAAAAAATGTAAAAAGTTTGTGTTTCTCTCTCTTCCAAGAGAGCAAAAAAGGATATTCAATTCCCAGGGCTGGAGCAAAACTTTAGATAAACTAGCGGGGGAAACAGCCTTTCCTTTAGCCTAGCCGCTACTTTAGGGCTCCCAGGAAGGGGCCCCAAGGAAGGGACAGGAGTTGCATTCCAGGTGGATCTCCCAGGATCCCCTGGGCAGCTATACTGTTAACTCTGTAAAGACTGAATTTATTGCTAAGGGCTTGAATAAATTTGCAACCAAAACTGGGGGAAATTTTTTATTTTACATAGCTTTATGTTTTGTGGCTGTTACATGTGGATGTACACATTAAGCTGGTATAAAATATTATATGCTTATAATTTCTTAAATGATAAGAAGGATACCCTGATCAGGGCAAGCTGCAAATATAGACGGATATTCATGAGACACAACTTCCTTGCTTTTTGCAGCCAGTGGGCCAGATGAAATTTAAACACATGAATACTATCAACAGAACAAGTCCCCATACTTAATGATTTGTGCTGTGATTTTTACTTATTGGAACCTCTGGGGAAAAAGCAGACAACATAAAAAGGCCATTTCTCGATGGAGATATGCTTCTGTAATTTTTAAATGTAACTTTTGGTTGCTAATGAGGCCTCAAGAAATCAGATATAACTCTTACTAGATGATTCTTTTCAGCTGTAATACACATATTAAAATATATATTTAACATAATACAACATATAAATATAATATATAAATTAAAAAATAATTATATACATATATATATAGAGAGAGAGAGAGAGAGAGACAAACTGACAGACAGACAGACAGAAAGATTCCCCCCACCCCCAAGACAGGATTTCACTCTGTCGCCCAGGCTGGAGTGCAGTGGCTTGATCTCCGCTCACTGCAACCTCTGCCTCCCTGGCTCAAGCAATCCTCCCACCTCAGCCTCCCAGGTAGCTGGGACCACAGGCACACACCACTATGCCAAGCTAATTTTCATATTTTTTATAGAGACAGGGTTTCGCTATGTTGCCCAAGTTGGTCTCAAACTCCTGAGCTCAAGCAATCCACCCGCCTCAGCCTCCCAAAGTGCTAGGATTACAGCCTGGCCTGATACGTATTTTTGAATGGATTAATGTGAACTCTAAGACTGATGTGATTAAAAGAGCTTGGGAAAACCTTGCTTTTTCACTGTGACTTTGACAACGGGCCCTGCAGCATCTCAGTTTTAGCCAAAGAACACCACCATAAACCAATCAGATCTAATAGACATATACAGAACATTTCACCAAAAAGAGCAGAATAAACATTATTCTCAAGTATACCACAGAACACTCTCTTAGACTGACCAGACCATATGTTAGGCCACAAAGTCTCAAATTTAAACAGACTAAAATCATACAAATTACCTTCTCCAACCAAAATGAAATGATGAGAAATTAATAACAAAAGGAAAAGTGGAAAATTCACAAGTATATGAAAATTAAACAACACACGGTAAACAATCAGTGGGTCAAAGAAGAAATCACAAGGGAGATTAGAAAATACTATGAGATGAATGAAAACACAACATACCAAAACTTCTGTGCTGCGCCAAAAGCAGGGCTAAGACGGGCAATTATACTATAGAAGTCTGCATTCACAGAAGATGATCTCAAATCAATAACTCTACATCTGGAAGAACTAAAAAAATAAGAACACAATAAAAACCAAAGTTAGGCCAGGTGTGGTGCCTCACACCTGTAATCCCAGCACTTTGGGAGGTTGAGGCAGGTGGATAACTTGAGCCAAGGAGGTTGAGGCTGCAGTGAGCCATGACTGCGCCACTGTACTTCGGCCTGAGGGACAAAGTAAGACCCTGTCTCAAAACAAAGACAAAAAAAAAAAAACAAAAACAAAAAAATACAAAGCAGAAGGAAGGAAACGACAGAGATTAGAGCAGCCATAAATTAAATAGGGAATGGAAAAATAATCTACAAAACCAAAAGTTCGGTTTCTGGCAAGAACAAAAAATCTGATAAACTTTCCGCAAATTAAGAAAAAAAGAGGCCAGGCAAGGTGGCTCACGCCTGCAATCCCAGCACTTTGGGAAGCTGAGGTGGGCGGATCACGAGGTCAAGAGATCGAGACCATCCTGGTCAACATGGTGAAACCCTATCTCCACTAAAAATACAAAAAAATTAGCCGGGCATGGTGGCGGGAGCCTGTAGTTCCAGCTACTTGGGAGGCTGAGGCAGGAGAATCACTTGAACCTGCGAGGCGGAGGTTGCAGTAAGCCGAGACTGTGCCACTGCACTCCGGCCTGGCAACAGAGTGAGACTCCGTCTCAAAAAAAAAAAAAAAGAAAAAAAGAGAAAAGATGCAAATAACTAACATCAGAAATGTAAGTGGAGACAGTACTAGCAACATAAAAATAAAAAAGATTATAAAAGAACACTGTGAACAACTGTATGCCAACAAATAAAATAGCCTAGATAAAATGGACACATTCCTAGAAACATAAATTACCCAACCTGACTCAAGAAGAAATAGAAAATCTGAATAGACCCATAACAAGTAAAGAGATTGAATCGGTAATTAAAAATCTTTCAGGCCGGGCGCGGTGGCTCACGCCTGTAATCCCAGCACTTTGGGAGGCCAAGGCGGGTGGATCACGAGGTCAGGAGATCGAGACCATCCTGGCCAACATGGTGAAACCCTGTCTCTACTAAAAATACAAAAAATTAGCCAGGCGTGGTGGCAGGCGCCTGTAGTCCCAGCTACTCGGGAGGCTGAGGCAGGAGAATGGCGTGAACCTACGAGGCGGAGCTTGTAGTGAGCCGAGATCGTGCCACTGCAGTCCAGCCTGGGCAACAGAGTGATACTCCGCCTCAAAAAAAAAAAAAAAAATCTTTCAACAAAGAAAAGCTTAGCTGGTTAACTCTACCAAACATTTAAAGCAGAATTGACACCAATCCTCAAACTCTTCTAAAAATAGAATATATGGGAACACTACCTAGTTCATTCTATGAGGCCATTATTACCCTGATAACTGTAAAACAATAAAATATTGCTGAAAGAAATTAAAGAGGACGGAAATAAATGGAAAGACATTCCACATTCAGAGAATGGATGTTAACATTGTTAAGATGGCACTATTCCCCAGAACAATCTACAGATTCAATCCCTAGCAAAAATCCCAATGGTCTTTTTTGCAGATATGGAAAAGCCAGCCTTGAAGTTCATATGAAAATTCAACGGAACCAAAGCAGCCAAAATAATCTTGAGAAAGAAGACACACTTCTCAATTTTAAAACAGTACAAAACTACAATGTTCAAAACAGTGTGGTACCTGCATAATTATCAACATATAGAATGTAATAATGTAATTGAGAGTCCAGAAATAAACCTAAATATCTACAGCCAACTGATCTTTGCCAAGGGTACCGAGAACTTCAGGGAAAGAATAGTCCTCAACAAGTGGTATTGAAACAATCAGATAATCAAAAGGAAAAGGCTGGACTCTTACCATACACTGTGTAAAAGAAATTACCTAAAAATGGACCAAAGATCTAACTATAAGAGCTAAAACTATAAAACTTACGGAAGAAAACATGAGATGAGGATAATCTTCATCAGTCTTGTATTTGGAAATGGCTTTTTGGGTATGATATCAAAAGCATAGACGACAAAAGAGAAACAGATAAACTAAACTTCATCAAAATAAAAAACTTCTCTATGAAAGGAAATACAATCCAGAGAACAGGAGAAAATACCCACAAATGATATATCTGATAAAGGTCTACAGATCTGTGAAGGTCTAGTATACATGAAATTTTTAAAGAGTCTGAGGACTGGTGTTAATTCTTCTTTAAATGTTTGGTACACTTACATAGTGCATTTACCGGTACAACAACAAGATGACGACAAATAACCCTATTTAAAAAGGAGAAAGGGGCTGGGCGCAGTGGCTCATGCCTGTTATCCCAGCACTTTGGGAGGCCAAGGCAGGCAGATCACCTGAGGTCACGAGTTCCAGACCAGCCTGGCCAACATGGCGAAGCCCCATCTCTACTAAAAATACAAAAATTAGCCAGGTGTGGTGGTGTGTGACTGTAATCCCAGCTACTCGGGAGGCTGAGGCACGAGAAGCGCTTGAACCCGGGAGGTGGAGGTTGCAGTGAGCCGAGATTGTGCCACTGCGCTCCAGCCTGAGTGACAGAGTGAGATTCCGTCTCAAAAAAATAAAATAAAAAATAAAGAGAAAGGGACTTGAATAGACACTTCTCCGAAGAAGATATACAAATGGCCAACAAGCACAAACATGTAAAGAAGCTCAATGTCATTCATCATTAGTGAAATGCAAATCAAAATCACAATGAGATAGCACTTCACACCCACTAGGATGGCCTTAATCCAAAAAAAAAAAAGAAAACCACAAAAAATAGTGTTGGCAGGGAAGTAGAGAAACTGGGACCCTGGAATCCTGCCCCCTGGTGGTGGGAATGTAAAAATGATATGGCACTGTGGAAAAGTTTGGTAGTCTCTTAGTAAGTTACACATAGTTGTACCATATGACCCTGTAATTCCAGTCCTAGGTGTATAATCAAAAGAACTAGAAACAAGTGTTCAAACAAGTATTTGTATATAAATGTTGCTAGCAACACTATTCACAAAAGTCAAAAGGCAAAACCAACCCAAATGTCCATCAACAGATAAATGAATAAACAAAATGTTATATATTCATACAATGGAAATCTTTTTCAGCCATAAAAATAAAGTACTGATATATACCAAATGAAATAACCCAGACACAAAGGCCACAAATGGTATGATTCCATTTATATGAAATATCCAGGATATGCAAATCCATAGACAGAGAAAGCAGATTTGTGACTACCAGGGGCTGGAGAGCAGGTGAGTCAGGACTGATGGCTAAATGGGGTGCATTTATAGTGATGAAAAAGTTCTACAACCAGACAGTGGTGATGACTCTAGAAAATTGTGAATGTATTTAATACTGCTGAATTGCGACGTTAAAATGCTACACTTTCTGCTATTTGTGTCTTACCATAATTTACAAAAAGCTTAAAAAAAAAAAAAGAAATCAAAGCAAAATCTTGACGTTTTCCCAAAGGCTCTCAAGCCAGTGCAGACCTACCAATCAGGCGCAGTGCCGTCTGAGTGAGGGCCAGCGTGCCGGAATTGAGCAGGAGGTCGAGGTTGTTTGCGCTGTGCTGCAGGGTGAGCATGCTGAGCATCATCAGGAGGAAGCGGGCTTGCGGGATGCTCCCCAGGCTCGGTCCCAATGGGTTCTCACTGGTGATGGTCTGCAGGGGAACCGGCTGGATACCTAATAAGCATTGACACCCACTTACGTTTCTTGTGATGGATACAAGAATAAACATAACGCAGAAAGCACGGGCTATTACTTTAAACATCTGACTAATAAGCATTGACACCCACTGACATTTCTTGTGCGTGGATACAAGAATAAAAGTAACACAGAAAGCACGGGCAATTACTCTAAACATCTGACTATTTTTCAGTGGTTTCCACAGAGTGGGCAGCTCTGTCATGCTGCACGATGGGCCTAACCCCTGTATTCTATGCACAGGTCGTTCCATCTGTCTACAGGACTTAGCATGTTGCTCTCTGAATACACTGGTGCCCTATTCCATTCCTTCCATTTCAAATATAAAAGTTATGTCTCACTTTTCCTCCACAAAACCAATCCAATCAACTCTCTGTAGATGCTCAGACTATCCAGGAAATAAATATTAATATAGGACACAGACACTTAGGATATGTGGTGATACACATATAAATGTCAAAATGTAAAAATGTTATACTAGAGTACTTCAACATTGTATCTCCTGCTAAATTTTAAAGTTTTGTTTAAAATCTGAGAAAGCTGACAGCAGCATAGATTATACAAGTACAAAGTACAAACTTATTACAGTCTTCTCAAAAGCAAAAATTGGCATTTGCAAGTTTCCACAACACATAATTAAAGGCAAACTATAAAATAACATTGATGCAATTGGTCACCAAGCTCTTTAAATTTGGCACTGGCATCCATCAGAACATTTAGAATGTTCTGAACAGTCCAAGCATACAGCTTGCCAAAGGTGACTTCCAGCAGCATCCGATTAAAAGGTGGGATCAAATCAACATCCTTTAAACAATCAGTAAGAGGTTCCCTTTCAAATAAAGATAAAGAATTTGACTCGGGACACTGCCAGACTTCTAACTGTTACAGAACAACATTCTGTTGCCACAGCTTCCTTAGTTAGGAAAAAAATATGCTAACGTTTTACCCTATATCGATTCCTTCAGGAATAAGTCTTTGCCATCCACAAAACATCGCTTACTGCACAGATGGAAGTAAGAAATTCTTGCTCACCAGATACAATTTCAAAATTGTATCTATCCCTTCCAGGCGAACCTCTGCTCTCTCCAACTGCAAAATATCAATGCATATACAGTTAAGTGTTATGTATATTACCCACTGCAGAGAAGCATTTCTCATCAAATGTTATCTGTTTTAGTAGGCACTATCTCATTTTTTCCACATCCACTGGCTCTTCCTTAAGGGCAAATTCAGCAATTGTACTGAGGAGTGGAGACTGCGGATAAAGATCCTGAACATTCTGCTTCAACCACTTGTATCTGTGAACCCCTGTAACAGTACTCAACAGTGGCTGCCATTTGTCCTAACAAAGGAAAACAATTTTCATCATTAGTCTACCCTATTTAATATTAAACTGTGCTCTAAAAGTTATTCAAGTAAAATATAAATAATGCTCATAGGTTTAAATTGGTTAAAATATGTTAAATTTAGTAATTAATACATGGTTTTAAAACTATGCTATAAATATAAGTGAACTTATCTCTATACTAATATATGTTGGAACAGGCTAGCTTGGCATACGAAGTTAAGTTGTGGTTCATATTAATAGCCACAGGGCCCAGCACTGTTTCTGGAACAAAGAATATATTTAAGGAATGAATGGTGAATAATTAATGATACAATCTAGTACCAAAAATAAAAGGAAACCCTTCTCCAGCTACAGCTCTGACCAGGACATCATAAGTCAAGTTCATGAACCATCACTGGGGCCGTATTTCTAACAACCGCCCGTCCCTCCCTCCGGATGCTCAGGTACGGAGGTACAAGACTGTGGATTCCTTTGCTACATGCTATGATTCTATTCAGCTAACCTCAGAATCACAGAAAACACTGCACCTTGGGTGATTTAATTGCAATGGGTCTCTTGTCCACATTTATTGGACTATGAGGCAAAATGCAGGCTTCTTCTAAATCACTCTCTTCGTTTCCAATTTTTTCTTCATCAGCCGTAGATTCTGGCTTCTTAGGAACTGTGTTTTAAAACATCATTCACTATAAAAAATCATACACTTAAACATTAATTTTAAATTAGGAAATACTTAGACTTACATGAAAGACAAATATTTCATTCAAATAAACATCTGAACAACATTATAAATTGCAAGGCTCAAACAACAAGAGTGAAATGATCACCATGGCAGAACAAAATGACAAAGTGAGAGTGTGACAAGGGGAGAAGCCCCGAAGCAGGGGAAGCCCAGCAGCCAGCAAGCTCTTCCTCAAGTGCCAGAGAGTGAACATTTGAGTCTTTCAGGCCACGCAGTCTGTTGGAAATACTCAACTCTGCTGCTGTAGCACAAAAAGTAACCACAGATAAAGCAACAGGTGTGGCTGTGCTCCCGTAAAACTTTATGGTGCTACAATTTTAGCTTCATGTAATTTTCATGTGTCAAAAATAATATACTTCTTTTAATTTTTAAAAAACAATTTCAAACTGCAAAAAAAAAAAAAAAAAAAGGTCTTAGTCCACGGGCAACACAAAGCAAGCAAGAGGTGGAATTTGGCCCACAGTTCCTGGCTTGTCCACCATGGTCCAGTTCAGTGGTTCTGTTAGTGTGTAACTGAATTAATTGAATTCATTGTGATATGTGGAATTTCCTCCCTATATTTTATCTCTTTTAAAATTTTTGGTCTAAATCTCCTCAGCATATAATATAAAAAATAAGCAACATGACAATACACCTGGGCAGTAAAGAGCTAACATAGCAGGCCGGGGTTGCTCAAACACTGCAAATTCCCAAGGAAGGTCTGTCCCTTCAGGATTGGTCCTTCTTCTTCTAGGAGCTGAGCTCTGAGGCCTTGGAACATCCTGCCTGATAAGTTTTTTGGTATACCTGACACCCAGGACCTTGTGGCAGTGGTCTGGCCAGGCAATTTATGCTAATGATGTGACTTGCGAGGGACCACTTGTTTTTGCACTGGGGCACTGGAGTGTAAGTAGTTGAGGTCAGTCACATGGGCACTGCCTGCGTATGTGACTGGCCCCCAACAAAATCTCTAGACTCTAGGTTCAGGTGCGCTGGCCTGGTTAACAATTCTGCACACATGATGTGACCCACTGTTGCTGGGAGAGCTAAGCACATCCACGTGACGCCACTAGGGAGAGACACCAAAGCTTGTGCCTAGTTTCCTCTGGACTTCCCTCCATGCACCCTTCCCTTTGCTAATTTTAATCTGTATCCTTTTTGCGGTTAAAAAAAAAAAAAACACACAGCTGTGAGTATAACAGCTCTTCTGAGTCCTTTTGGTGAATCATCAAGCCTGAGAGAAGGCTTGGCGATCCCTGACACAGCAACAGGAATATTAATCACTTAATCTTCTTAAGTTACTTAATTTCCAAAAAAAAAAAAAGAAAACCAGCTTGAAACAACACACAATAAATCTATAAACCCACAAGAAACTCTAAAAGTGACAGTGTGGGCTCAGAACCCACGGATATGAAATGGCAAATGGTGGAGTCTCTCTCCCTCATGCTGAGGCAGGCCTGTCTCCTGGGCCCGGGCTGAGTTCCTGCATGCCTGGGTTAAAGGAATTGCAGCAGTGTGACTGCTGTGACTTCCTGATCCAGAGCACCCATCGGATTCCGACAGGCTGTTATGGTGTAGGGTTTGTTCAGGAACAATCAAATTAGGATGGCTTCTAAAACGCTCTAGTCTTTCATAAGCTTATTGTTCAAAATGCCCATCAGAAACTGAGTAATTAATACTGTTCAATAAGCAGGTTTGTGAGTAAATCAGTATAAGTCATAAGAACATGATCAGAGGCCAGGTGGGGTGGCTCATGCCTGTAATCCCAGCACTTTGGGAGGCCGAGGCAGGCAGATAACAAGGTCAGGAGATCGAGATCATCCTGGCCAACATGGTGAAACTCCGTCTCTACTAAAATACAAAAATTAGTCAGGCGTGGTGGCGCATGCCTGTAATCCCAGCTACTTGGAAGGCTGAGGCAGGGGAATCGTTTGAACCTGGGAGGCGGAGGTTGCAGTGAGCTGAGATTGTACCACTGCACTCCAGCCTGGCGACAGAGCAAGACCCCGTCTCAAAGAAAACAAAAAAGGATATAATCAGAAACTTCTGTAGTTTATTTATAATCACAAGTGACTGAATTCTAAACTATTTTATAATTTCTAAGCATTTTTATTCAAATTTGGATTTAATGCAAAAAGACTTTTCTGTACTCTTACACAGCTACTTCCAGGAAAATGTCAGTAACTCTTTCAGCTTCCCTTTATAATTCTCCATGTATCAGAATACTCAATATTTCCAAACAAAAAACATTTCTTTAGAAGAATGGCAATAAGTTTAAATGTTCCCATTATATCTCATTACCAGGATAACTAATAAAATAAAAATACGTCCTTGTTCCCATCAATTTAGCAAAGATTATTTACGTTTTCAACATCAATTTACTAGTAATCAAATCATACCACACTCAATTCCTAAACTGCCTCATTGTCTGATCGGTTGAAAAAATAGGAGAGATTTCCGTATTTAATCATAACTATACATAAAAATGATGGCAGCAGGTAGAAATGTCACATGGAATCAACAGTAGAGAAACTTCACTCTGAAATCACAGGTCCAGCGAGGCAGGGTGAAGCACATGCTTTAATAGTATCTTCTGTCCTTTTACATTCTTACTTCTCTTTTTCCTCCGTTCCCGAATTATCTTCTGAGCTATCCTCCTCCAACGGGGCAAAGAACTTAACAATTTAAACTCAGAGATTATAGAGAGGTCATTACCAACAGCAGGTCTCAATTCATTAGAGAGGAATCTCAAACGTTCGATGACAGGAGTGCAGACCTCCTTGTAAGAACGGCCCTGTTCTTGATGAGTCTGCAAAGTTAACCAGGAAAAGACAACTTTAACAACAAATATTTCTGCAACTGTCTGCAAAGCACAGAATAAAAAGAATTAAAATATATCACCTTAATGAGCGAACATTTTGCTTGGTAGACAACTCTACAAACATCCACCACTGACTTAGGCAACGTTCTGTGCTTTATTTGCTCAATATCAAGTGCACCTGCATGAACTAAAGATAATGCCACATGACCTGCAAAAAGACATTTAAAAGAAGGACAGGGAAGGAATGAATATGTACCACAGGTTAGTCGAGGAATCTGCAGTCTAGCTGAAGTACACAGATATTGAGCTCCTTACCTAAATCTTCATGTTTTAAGAAGCAACATAACAGCAAGCGACCGACCTCTTCCACGGGGTGCTCGGGGGGAAACATGATCGGTGTGGTCAAATGGCACTGCCTACAGTACCTTTCTATTTGACACAAAAAGCCCTGCAACAGAAACAGCTGGAGGTAACTTCAGGGCCGGCCAGTGAGTCTTCACAAATCTTAAACATGCCACAGCTTCTGATGCACTTGCAATCAGTAATGCTTCCGAAGCCTTGCTAGCATGTTAACACAATCAGGTTCTCACCTCAAAACCCTCCAAATAATACATGAAACAAAGTCTGTGCTATGTTAACCAAAGAGCACATAAGTATTCCTATGTCAAAGTCCTCAGATAAACAGAGCACTGAGGTGGCAGTGGGGACAGGCCTAGCTCACCTTCACGTTGTGATCCTGAATGTTATTGTCTGCAATGGCTTGCAGAAATGCCTGAGAATGGTCCCCCAGGGCCCATCTGTGGGAGCAGTCGCGATTTGCTGGCAGGTGTGCCCACTGGGAGCTGCAGTGGTCCTCATCTTTCTCCTCGTTGTAGCTGTAGTGGATCTGGCTGGTCTGCAGCCTCCAGAGAAGATGGATGACTGAAGCCATTCTAGAAAATGCACACGCAAACATGAAAGAGAAACTCAAGTGCACAACTCAAAATAAATACTAAAAAAAAAAAAAAGATGCTCAACTGAACACTCAATTTAGAAGGTAAAATACAGCATCATTCATATGAAAGAGCTCCACCTAACATGTTTACACAGGTTGACTTGTAATTCCTCTATCTACGTGAATACACTTTCTGGTGATTCCACACACCTCAGGCATGGCATCAGAACTCAGGATTGTAGTTCCAGTCCAAAATTCTCTGGATACCTGTGCTCTGCCTGCAGCTGCCTGGTTCCACAGATACCGTGTGAAGACTGAGTTGCACACTCTAACAAGGAAGGCAGCAAAGGGCACCGCTGACACAACTAATCACAGGATTTCAAGTCCAAAACTGTGCAACGGATGACTATGGGAGTACCAGGGAGACTGGAGGACAGACCACCGCTATTCTGAGGGTCAGTAAGGGACTTGTGGAAGCAACAACTGAGCTAAGATGAGGAATAAGACCCAGACGCTGAGTATCCAGGCAGGGAACAGCATATCTGAAGGGTTTCTACAAAGAATTACATCCTCAGGGTAGGCTATGTATTCCTAGAGCACTTATAAAGGAATGAAAAGGAGAAAATATTTAACAAACACACAATCTTTAATGAAGGATAGATCCTTGGAGACGGGAGGGCCGATGGACTGGAAAGGAGACCTGTGCATGGTGCAAGGCATGGGATCAGCCAGTGCAAATGTTAATTACAACTGCTTATGGTCACTTGAGGGAGCGGCACATACACACAAAATTAGGATGTGCACCACTACAGATCTCTATTAACGATCTGTGTTATCAAATACTGCTCCAAATCCAAGCAATCAAAGCGGGGATGCACTTACTGTTCTTTTACTGGACATTTAGATTTTTAGAGCACTCAGGAGCATTCCCCAACCCACCACATTCATTCTTCTGAAACACTAATCCAATGCCAACTCTCTCTGGCCCCCTTTCTTTAAGCACAGGACAGCCCCTCCTTACTGCTCCAAGATAAGCCTCTGATCCTCCTGTGGCTCGGACCCACCTGCCAGGGCTCATGGCACCCTCTGCTCTGGAGCTCGCCAGCCCTGCCCTCCTTGTCAATTTAAACAAAGCCCATCTTCTGGCAAGCAATGAGCCTTGAGGAGGAGGGAGGGAAGCAGACACCTCAGAGGGCACCACAGGCAGTCCAGCACCCAGCACTGCACAAAGGTCCACCCAACGGGGGGCTGTGTGGACACCAAGATCCTCCTTTCCCGCAAGCCTCTCCCACACCCACTCTCGCAAGCAGCAGGAAAGCCCTGCTCCTCTCAGCATTGCCCTTGACACTCCTGTGTTTTCTGCCCAGAATGCTCCCTCATGCAATTTCAGGACTGCTGCCGGTGTGAAGCCTTTCTTCTCCCAGAACCACGTATGAACGTCTCCATTTCACCATTCACCACCTTGTAACGTGACCTGCTTAGAATGCTGGCTCATCAACAAGCAGCAACTGAAAGCAGAGGCGTGTCCTATCCATCACTGCATCCTGAACACCTCGCATGGTAACGGCACCAGGCAACTGCTCAACAGAAGCTGCTCACACGGACGGACAGATAGACAGATGGGAAATGCACGACTACATGAAGGAAAATGTAAACCCATCTTAGGAGACAGGAAAAAGCTTATTATTTTAGGTGGTTACAAAGGCTGCCATCCTGAAATATAACTGACTTGAGCCTGGTCTGGTAAAAACGCAGTCCTCAAATAGAACGCTGTTCCCTGAGAGAACAGCTGATCCACATTCTGTGCAATTTCTGGGCATGCAGGGAGACAAAAGCCATGCTGGGCCCATCAGGCAGAGGCTGCAATACGTGAGACCACCACAGGGTAGACGGGTAGACACTCCTGCACACTTTTTAGCTTCCTCTGCAGCAACAGACCATGAGGGCAAATGACAGCCACTCACAGCTGTTTCTACCTGATTGAGTCTCACTATCCTTATTATTATTTTTTGTAGCATCATCAACTGTGTTGAATCCTCCTCTTTTTTTTTGAGACGGAGTCTCGCTCTTGTCACCCAGACTGGAGCGCAGTGGTGCGATCTTGGCTCACTGCAACCTCTGTCTCCTGGGTACAAGCAATTCTCCTACCTCAGCCTCCCGAGTAACCGGGATTACAAGCACCCGTCACCACGCCCAGCTAATTTTTGCATTTTTAGTAGACATGGGGTTTCACCACATTGGCCAGGCTGGTCTCGAACTCCTGACCTCAGGTGATCCACCCGCCTCAGCCTCCCAAAGTGCTGGGATTACAGGCATGAGCCACCGCCTGGCCATCTCCTACTTTTTTAAAGAGAGAGTCTTGCTCTGTCACCCAGGCTGGAGTGCCGTGGTATGATCATGACTCACTGCAACCTCAACCTCCCAGGCTTAAGCGATCCTCCTACCTCAGGCTCCTGAGTATCTGGGACTACAAGTACATGCCACCATGCCTGGCTAATTTTTGTGTTTTTTGTAGAGATGGGGTTTTGCCGTGTTGCCCAGGCTGGTCTCAAACTCTTGACCTCAAGCAATCCACATGCCTCAACCTCCCAAAGTGCTGGGATTACAGGCATGAACCACTGTGCCTGGCCCTCTCCCACTCTTAATGGCACTTACAGTTCAAAAAAAATAATCTGCTAATCAGCAAAAAGCAAAGATTTTCTTACTGGCACATTCAATCTCGACAGGAGACAGCGGTGTGCTCATTGCTAAATAGGAAGTGTGTAATCCGAGAAGCAGGCCCAGATTCCTCTCTGTGTCTATCAGAGGTGAAGAGAGACTTCCCGGATCTGGTATGGTGACAACTTCTTGGTCAGGCTGGAAAAATAAACTTCATCATCAATCTGAGGAAACAGAATTAATTAAAAACATAAAACCAAAAGGACAGCTCTGTCCTGCAGCTGTACCGCCATGTGAGCCCAGGGGTGCCCTGGGTGTTCTGCCCCTCCATCCTGTAATGAGTTGATGCTGCTGTGCCCAAGTAACAGCAGATACCACATAAACCCACATGCCCTATAAAGCTGGCAGCAACCGTACACGCAGAAAAACTAAAGCACAGATACATGATTTGGCTAGAATATTCCTTAGGAATCAGTTTCCAAAGTGACTGTACACCATGCTTCAGAAAGTATAATGAATTGTTACATGCATAAAGAACCCACTGGGCAACAAAACTATGACAAGTATTCGATGACAAGTATTAGTGGACTGTGACCACACAGGTAGAGGAAATGAAATTTATTCTAACAAAAATCAAACTCTGAAAAAAGCAAGAGTTCAACTTTTCCAGTCACAGAAGATATTTACAGCAAAGTTAATTCTCCCCTTCATAAAATGCTTTAAGCCCTGCCCTAATGGCATTTAATACATTTTATTACTTGTGGATAGCTGGAAAGCTAATCCCAGTATATAAATTCTATGTGTTCGTGAATACATAGGAAGGACATATTTCTATTGTAAAGAATTACACTTCTACATAGTTCTTCCCAAAAAATACATACCTCAAGATAATAAGCCATTCCAAATTTCTACATAAGACCAAAGTTTAACCTCTTTTCTTGTGGAACACTGTCTATATTTCTCACAAATTGATCATTTAAAAAACAATCTTTCAAGACCAGTACATCACAGATCCTAACACGAATAAATGTAAATTCATTTATGACAAAACTTCTAAAGGATCTTTATATTATCCCTAATGCCCCCCAAAAGACCCAGATATCAGTACTTCTAGATCCAAATATTCCTATCACAAACACACAGAGGGTGTCCCCTGCCATCCTCTGCATCACTCAAGGCATACAGCCTCACCTCCAAATATTGGCCAACACAAAATGCGTGCATGGATTCCCGGGTGACTTCAAACTCGAAAGCAGCTTCCAAAGCTACCACTGGGTTTTCCCCTGCAAACTGAGCTGAAAGAAAAAGGGAAAAAGCAACAGGAGTTCAATTCAGCTTGCCTGAAGAGCTATAGGAGAAACAGTGAGTAGGAAATAAGTTAGGCGCTTAACTCAAAAGTGAGGGTTACCAGAGTATAATGACCTCCCACTGTCTCCCAGGGTTGCCTGGGCCAACTCAGAACTTGAAATGAGTTCCAAGTATTAAAACAAAAAATGCATAATGAAAGGAAATTCTTCAAATGTGCTGAATTTGTTGATAAGACAGACACCAAAGCCACAGATACATTAAAATATGCGGGGGCTGGCGCAAAACTAAAGAAATCATTTATAAGCCAAATACTCTGCTTAAAATGATACAGGCTGTAACTTTTAACCAGGAAATAAGAAGGGTAATCTTACCAAGAATACTATTTCCTGTTAACGACTGTGTCTGGAAGTCCTTTATATCATACACTTTCTCATCAATCACAATCCAGAAGCCTCCATCTTTATTATGGTTCTCCAAATCAGCTTTGCATATAAGTGTCACTTCCTCATTATTTCTACAGTTCTGAACTGTAAAAAATGACTCTCTGTATACAGAAACCAGAATCAGTCCATTGATCAATCAACAGGTAAAATGAAAAGAACAAACTGTGTGAAAGAACTACAAGCAGAAATAAACAAATCCACAATCACAATGGGAGAAATACATACCTAGCTCTGAAACTAATACCACACATACAAATTCTATTAAATATAGAATGCTTTAAAAAAAATCTAGGCAGCATGAATATCAAATCAGGCCATGCCAGGCCATAGAGCAAATCTCAACAGATTTCAAAGAAATAAAGTTACACAGCATGTGTGCTGACTACAATGCAGTTAAATTAGAAATAGGTTTTCAAAAGTTCATTCAAAATAAAATAAAAATGACTCTGTATATACAGAAAATGAAAATATTCATCCACATATTTGAAAATTACAAAATACACTTATAAGTAACCCAAAATTCTAAGAAAAAATGACTATGAAAATTAGAAAATGAGTTCAATTAATAATCAAAATATTGCAGATCAAAATTGGTGACATACAACTAAATGCATGCTTGAGGGCATTTACGCCTTTAAATGTGTATATTAGGGGGAAAAAGCTAAAAAAGAAAAGAAACACCAAATCAATAGAAGTCTATTAGTTCATAAAAATACTCAAAAAAAAAGAAAACCTGAGTGGTGGTCACCTATGCAAGTGCTAGGATACCAACTCAATATTATGAAAAATAGTTAAAGGGAGGTGGCAGTTCAAGAAGTCAAGCTTAGATTATGTCCTTCCTGTACAAATTGTACCTCCTGCTAACCAGACAGCAGAGGGCAAGGTTGGTAGGGGATTTTATAGAGGACACGCAACACATGAATTCCCTGGTCTAGCTTCACAGAACTAAAGCGGGGAGCCACTGAGCATTACAGGCCTCCTGAGCCAACAGAAAGCATGCAGCATGACTCCAGACATAACACCACCCCAACGAGACTGAATTCAAATCCAACCAAACCTCTAGATCTAACCAGCAGATTAATGTAACTAACAGAAGAATATGTTGGTCTAGAATAAGAGAATGCAATCAACCAAGTTCAGAAAATGTGAAGTTCTCCAAAATAACCAACTTGCTTCTTTGAAAAAGAAAATGGTATGATCAGAGACAGGGAGAGGAGGGCCTGGAGCCATGTTGTTTGGGGAAAGAGACTAGAAGCATATGTCAACCAATGCCAATACACAGAACATATTCAGGTCCTAATTCAAAATTACCACCTAAAAAAGGCATTTTTGAGATAGTCCAGGAAAATGTAACATGGACTACATGTTAGATTAAGGAATCACTGTTAATCTTATAGACAGGATAATGATATTGTAGGGTTTTTCTTAAATCCTTATCATTAAGAGGTAAAATGCCTTAAAATGTTTTAAAGACAGAGTTATGCTTTAAAATAATCCAATTGGCCGGGCACAGTGGCTCATGCCTGTAATCCCAGCACTTTCGGAGGCTGAGGCAGGCAGATCACGAAGTCAGGAGATCGAGACCATCCTGGCTAACATGGTGAAACCCCATCTCCTACCACGCCGTATTACCGCATTTAACAGGTATGATGAAGCAACTGAACAGGCTATTTTTCCATTTCCATTGCATTTCAACAGAACCCATTAAAAAGTAGTATAAATGGCCCTTAAATACTAATATATTTTAAAATGCTCAAACTATATCAGGGTCACCATTTTGTGCTTTAGCAGGCAAAATCCCAAAAGCCCACACACAAGGCTGGGAGACCAGCATCCCTATTGGTGGTGAGAGAAATCAAGATGTACAGGAGCGATCTGGTGACAACCAGCCCACACTAGGTGCATCCCCACCTGTGCATGTGCACAGGCACACACGCGTGCACACATGGAGGACACATGTTCCAGGTCAGGCCTTGCAGCACTATTTGTGTTTTTTGTTATTGTTGTTGTTGTTTTTTGAGACAGTTTCACTCTTGTTGCCCAGGCTAAGGTGCAGTGGCGCAATCTCGGCTCACTGCAACCTCTGCCTCCCAGGTTCAAGCGATTCTCCTGCCTCAGCCTCCCGAGTAGCTGGGATTACAGGCATGTGCCACCATGCCCCACTAACTTTTGTATTTTTTAGTAGAGACGGGGTTTCTCCAAGTTGGCCAGGCTGATCATCTCAAACTCCAAACCTCAGGTGATCCACCTACCCTGGCCTCCCAAAGTGCTGGGATTACAGGCATGAGCCACCACAACCGACCCTCAGCACTATTTGTGTAGCAACACTGTGGCAATAAGCCCAAGTGTCCACCAATAAGAGACTCACTGAAGAATGATACATAAAAGACATATCTACACACTGAAGACTAAGCTGCTTTATAAAAACAAAGAGCGACACTCTGATAAAGTACTCCAGTATATATGGTTAGTAAAAAAAAAACAAGCAACACAAGTAATGCAACATGCTACCACTAGCATACTCATTCCAGAGAACAAGGAGGTTACAGAGGAGACTGAAAAGCCAGAGAGAGCAGGTAGGAAAATGGGTGGAAGGGGTGGGCAGGGGAAGTGACAGTGTGTCTCTGCCTAGGTTTGATTTTTGAACCATGTGACTGTATTCCTCTTTTTTTTTTTAATGACTGTAAAACAAAATAAACACTCTTCATACTAGAAATAAAATGTTAGAAAAATCTGGATTCAAAACTAGGATTACTGTTATACACTGGCAAAGTTCACTAACATTCCCAAAGGCAGTTTTCTCATTGACATAATGAGATACAACAGCGTGCATGAGGTCCTCAGTGGGCCTGCACCCTACAGGTGCTCCACACATGCAAATCACTACTATTACCATTACTATTACATAACAGATATAATATATAATTATACTGTCACTACTATAACCAGCATTACATACTAAGACAGCCCACGTTCAGAGTATAAAGAAGGCTGTGGAACCCTCTGTAGAAGGTGGGAGGGCCTGGGGCTGTGGCTAAAGGGGAGCTCTCTGGGGCTGTGCCACCTGAACCTGGAACCTGGGCCCCCAGGTTGGGTCCCCAGGCCTGTGCGCCTCAGCTTGCTCATCATTCACTCTCAACACGGATAACACCTTCAACTGCAAACACGTTTAAAAACCACAGGCCAGCTCCCCCTACCAATACCAGAAAAAGCAAGTCTCCACACGGGCCCAGGATGAGAACCTACAAGTGGTACTAGCTACAAAACCCATGGAGAACACGGTTCTTGCACACACACCTTATGAGACGTCGGACAGCTACACGGCAGAGGCATCTACAGGGTGTAGCCAGATCTTCTAAATGGGCCATGACAACAACCGCCGTTTGTTGCAGATCAATGGCAAGCTCGTTGTCTTGTGGAGGGTGAGGTACCTCAGGAAACTCTCACTGGGGCTCAGAGGGCCAGACAAAAGCTAGAAAGGAAAGGTAAACAAACATTCAGAAATGGTGGGAAAAATTAAAGTAATACAGTTAGCCTTTACCCACTCTTTATATTTTGGTATTGACTCATTTGACCCATCAAATGACAATGTCGATGATACAGTTATACTATACATCTATATATTTATGTAGCATACAAACTGACTGTATAAATGTCTAAATGTGCTGTACACATGTACACAACATTGACTGTGCATGTATACATTTATGACACCACAGGTAAGTTGAATCCACACAGATTACTAACATGACCAAACCACCCTACAGGCCTAGGACCCCTGGAGAAAGGCAGAACCACCTCTGTGGGAACCCAGAACAGCATCTCAAGCTGGCCTTGAAATCTAAAACCAAAACCTTTATTTTAATCTAAACATTGCCCACTCTGGAGAACACCTACTTTCATTTGCAAATTAAATCATAGTTCTAATTCTTCTAAAGGCAGAAGAGCCCTATTATCATTAGTTTAAAGACTAACAAATAATAGAAAAATTAAACCAAAGCATGATATTGAAATGCCTAAGACTTTCCCAAAAAGATGCAAAATTCAACTTGTACTTGACCTGTAAAGACCAGCACTCCTGGAGATTTACGCCCAGGGCCCCACATGCCTGCTCCTCCCCCAGCTCGGCGTCCACACCTGTTAAGGGGGGAGCTGGTACTAAACAGAGTGACAGCTCAGATGACATGCCCTGCACAGAGCCCAGTACATAGGAACGGCCAACAAAGAAAGCCACTATTTTCGTTGTTCTTTTCTAGTATTGATTTAAAAGTGCGTGTTTCAAGCTTGGTTCTGTGCTGACAAGGAAGTCGGTGCTCACTGATCCAAGTCTTCTCCACAAACAAGTGGCCTCCCACACCTGTCTCATCTGACTCGCTGCTGTTACCACCAAATACACACACGCCAGAGAAAAACACTGCCGTGGACACACACACTGGTCTTGCGTAAAAAATAACTAGACTTGAGTACCACCTAAACACAACGTTCCATCATGACACTCACGTGCATGTTGCCCTCGGAGGGGGGCGTATCCTTACTGCAAATGATGCTCTGGAACGTTTGCAGCAAGGACAAAAGCAAGGTGCTGGTGCCCTGGGCAGAACGCTCATTGTCAGTTTCCTGTGCCCTGCTGTCCCACAGCTGAAGCAACAACAGGATGGCAGACAACATTTGGCTAAAGGAGAAAACACATTTATTCCTAGTAAAAACAGATTAACTTTTTTTTTCATGGTTGATCAAAAATAAAAGCAAACAGCTAGATAGAAGTGAAGCAATACTTGGGATATGAAAGGAAATGAAAGTAAAGCCATGGTAATTAAATCACTGAATTGACACTAAGATTTTAGCACAAGTCATCGCCTTCTGCTGATAGGAAAGACCAGTTAAGAAGCTCAAAGAGCACATTCACATGGAAGTTCTAGGATCTTAAATTCATGGAATAAAAATAATTAAATGAGGAAAACTGAAAGAAAAAAAAAAAAAAAGAACAGTTCCCAGGCTAGAAAACTGAGCATAAAAAAGGAAGTGAAGAAAAGGTAAAGAGAGAGCGAGCTCTGGGACATGGTGCTCTCTGCTGCAGTCAAACACGATTCAGTGAAATGCACACAATGCAACAGGTATTTGGATACAGAGGCGTTTCCCCAAAGCGTTCCCATTCTGCACAAGCCCTCACCTCAGCGTGCCTCTCTGCACAGCCAGCTCCAGCAGGATGGCCAGAGCCAAGTGCTGGTCCTGCAGGGGCATGCTTCTGGCCTTTTGGTGTCTGGCGTTCCGTGAACATCCCTGAAATGAAAACAGTGGATGCAGGAACACAGCGACCTCCAGAAAGACAGTATGCTTACAATCACACTAACATGTTTACTACATGCTCCCTCCCAAGGAAGGATATATTCTTAATATTTAGAACCAAGTTTCTGAGACTTGCTACTCAAATTTTTCAGAGATTTTTAAAGTATACAATTAACTTACAGAAATGTATTTTATTTAAAGTATTCATTCAGATACCGTATTACAGTAGATGACATACTCCAAGTGTGTGAAGCATAAAATATCTCATTATCCAAAACATGAGTAGAAGAATATCTAGCTACCTTTTCCAGTTTCAATGACGTGTAAGCCTATACCAGTATCAACCTTCTCCTACAGAATTAGAGAACCAATTTCTAAAACCACCTGAGGATCTGGAGGCAAAATGTCTATACTAATTTCTATCTCTGATCAAAGATTACCTGGTTGCTTACTCCCATACCCAGCTCTCCAGAATTGACTTGGCCCTATATACAGGTGCAGGAGTTTCATCTTTTTTCTCTTTGTCATCCAGATCTTCTTTCTTTGTTCCACTTGGTTTGACACTATCATCTGCAGAATTAAAATTTTTTTAATCTGTAACCGCTTTTCAGAATGCCATACCATTAGTCAGTCTCTGCAAATGTCCCTCCCTGAAAAGTTACAACACACATCATTAACTGAATGTTTGACAACTCAAAAATAAAATATATCAATCATACCTGTAACAGATCCAGTATAATTTTCATAAACAAACCAATATATCGGCCGGGAGTGGTGGCTTATGCCTGTAATCCCAGCACTCTAAGAGGCCAAGGCCGGTGGATCACGAGGTCAGAAGATGGAGACCATCTTGGCTGACACAGTGAAACCCCGTCTCTACTGAAAATACAAAAAATTGGCCAGGTATGATGGTGGACACCTATAGTTCCAGGTACTCGGGACGCTGAGGCAGGACAATGGCGTGAACCCGGGAGGCGGAGCTTGCGGTAAGCCGAGATGGCACCACTGCACTCTAGCCTGGGCAACAGAGCAAGACTCCATCTGAAAAAAAAAAAGAAAAGAAAAGAAAAGAAAAGAAACCAATATATCAAATTATTTAAAGCATGTCTTCCAAAATGATATTTCATTAACTTCCTAGTAGATTTCACAACTGAGAAACTTAGTATTTGATATTTACCTACTTCAATTTCACACGAATTGCTTCCATCCATTGAGTCCCAATGCTTGCGTACCCATGGGAAAAGGGAGGGTGTAGAAAAGGAGTATGATTCAAAAATCTTTTAACCCTTTCCAAGGCCCTACTCCACTGCCAACTGGCAAGCACTGCTATGCAGGGGCGCTGTCACTGATAGCATAATTCAAGAGCACTGGGACACAAAGGAAAAGCTGGGAAAAATGACTTTAGGCCACTGACAATGTAACGTTTCAGTCAAAAACAACTGTCATAAAACTCCTGACATAGTAAGCGAAGAGAAGAGAGAACTAACCTTAACCTTGAAGTGTAAACACGGTCCATCACAGAAGGCTGTGACTAAACGTCTAAACAACATAATTAGAAAAATGTACCTCAATCGGTGAAAGACATGATATCCCATCCAGATTATAAATAATGAGTATCTAAAAATCCCTAAGGAAACAGTTCCTCTGTTTACAACACTTCTGACGCCAAATGTATGGACTTTTGCACCAAGCAATTCTCCAGTTCTTTGCGACACCCAGCTATGTGTCCCACAATGCAATTCAATTCTGAAACTAACTACCTAGAATTAGCACAGACCCCACAGGTTAATAACAGGAGAGAAAAGGTACAATGCTGGAAAAAAAATCTAAAGAACTAATAGCTGAAAACTTCCTAGGTTCAGCAAATGACAGAAACCTAGGCAGATTGAAGAATCTGTGCAAAGCCCAAACAAGATAAATCCAAAGGAAGCCATGATGAGGCACATCATAATCAACTGCTAAACACTAAGGACAAAACCTTTTGAAAAGTGCCACAGAAAGTAGATACAGAGGAATGTCTTGTGTGGCCTGAAATTAAGACTAAATATTATGTGCTGCCTTGACGTCAGTAAAATCAAGAAGGCCTCAAATAGCCTAACCACAAGGTCTCCTCCAAGCTCTGCTCCCACGGATAAGATCCCAGAGCCAAACAACCCTCCTTATCGCGGAGACCCGACCCCAGCCTGCTCATCCCTGCCGGTCCAGAGTTATTCCAACAAGCCAATCACATCTTCCCACGGAAGCAAGGTCATTTCACCCTCTTCTTACTACAAAATGTGCCTCCCACAGCCCCTCGTGGTTCACTCTGTTCCCAAGTGCAGCCCCCGTGTGACATGCGGTGTCCCCCACCCCCAGGGCTGTGAGCATGCGTGACTAATAAACTGCTATTTCATCTGTCCAGTGTTGGTGTCTTATGTTCAGCCATCCCATATCCCTAAGGCAGGAATCTTCTAGGATTATAAACAGAACTTTAATCAACCTCTCCTTGGTTATTTTACTGGTTCCATGATACAGCTTTTTCTGTGCAAAAGATCTGAACAGAAACTTCACAAAGGATACAAGAGTGGCAAAGAAGAACATGATATTCAGCATTGTTAGCCATTATGGAAATGCAAATTTAAACCACAATGAGATCCCACTAGACGTGTTAGAATGGCTCAACTAAAAAACACTGATAACACCAAGTGCTAACAAAGACACAGAGCAACAGAAACGTGACAGATTACCAGCAGGAATGCAAACTAAAACAGCCACTTCGGAAAACAGTTCAGCACATGACCCAATTTTCACACTACTAGGTCTTTATCCTAGGGAAATGGAAACTATATTCACACAAAATCTGTACAGAAATGCTCACAGCAGGATTACAATTGTGAAAGAAAAACGGAAACAACCACAAGGTCCTACAATAGCAGAATGGATAAACACAATGTGGTACATCCAAATGATGAAACACCATTCATCAATAAAAAGAACTATTAATACACAGAACAACAATAAATCTCAAACATATAACTAGGAGTAAATGAAGATGGTTTCAAAACGTTACTTAAAATATGGTTCCACTCACATGACATTCTCAAAAAGAATACCCTATACTGATGGAGAACAGATCAGTGGTTGCCAGGGTATGAGGCCAGGGGATATGTGATAAAAAGCAGCACCTTAAGGGAGCTTTTGGGGTGATGAAACTTCTCCATCCTGATGATGGCGGGGGTTAAATGAATCTATAGGGTCAAAATTTACTGAACTAGATACCACAATAAAATAAATTTCATGTAAGTTTTTTAATAAAAAAAAAGTTGGCTGGGTGCGGTGGCTCACACCTATAATCCCAGCATTTTGGGAGGCCGAGGCGAGCAGATCACAAGGTCAGGATTTCGAGACCAGCCTGGCCAACATGGTGAAACACCGTCTCTACTAAAAATGCAAAAATTAGCCAGGTGTGGTGGCATGCACCTGTAATCCCAGCTACTTGGGAGCCTGAGGCAGGAGAATTGCTTAAACCTGGAAGGCGGAGGTTGCAGTGAGCCAAGATCGCCACTGCACTCCAGCCTGGACCGCCAAGTAAAACGTCATCTCAAAAACAAAAAACAAACAAACAAACAAAAAAACAAAGAAAATATCTAGGTCCAGGTAGGACAGTTGGAATACAGTCCAGTGGAATCATGTCAGAGCAGGGAGCTGGGTCTGGAAGGCTGGAGCAGGGCGTGGCCCCACTCTAGGAAGGAACTAGGAAACGCATCCTGGATGAAGCAAGAGCAGAGTCCCGTTCTGCAACAGATGAGCCTTTATCCTGATCTGAGAAACTATATGCAAATTTAATACATCTCACTTAGCCTCTTATTTTCCTTAACAACATGGAAAATGAGAGAACAAACAATTCAGAAGGTTAAGACATGAAATACATTTCATTCAGAAATCATACACAGAAAGGTAGGAAATAAATGGGGGAAAATAGCAGCTAATGAAAAGTGAAAATGGGCCAGGGCAGTGGCTCACACCTACAATCCCAGCACGCTGGGAGGCTGAGGCGGGCGGATCACTTGAGGTCAGGAGTTTCAGACAAGCTTGGCCAACATGGTGAAACTCCAACTCTACTAAAAATACAAAAATTGGCCCAGCATGGTGGCAGCCACCTGTAATCCCAGCAGCTTGAGAGGCTGAGGCAGGAGAATTGCTTGAACCCAGGAGGCAAAGGTTGCAGTGAGCCAAGATAATGCCACAGTACTCCAGCCTGGGCAACAGAGCAAGACCCTGTCTCAGAAAATAAAATAAAATATTCATAGTCTTAATAATGGAAAATAAAAACATTTACTGAATGCCAAAAAATCTCCCTAAAAACCCCAATCAGTTGGGATCTACATAAAGAACAATTATGCTCTGCTTTCTAACCACAATTTTTAAAAGAACAAAGGACAAAAATATCCATCAAACGTGGGCCGGGTGCGGAGGCTCACGCCTATAATCCTAACACTTTGGGAGGCCGTGGCAGGTGGATCATGAGGTCAGGAGTTCAAGACCAGCCTGGCCAATATGGCGAAACTCCGTCTCTACTAAAAATACAAAAATTAGCTGGGCGTGGTGGAGGGTGCATGTAATCCTAGCTACTCAGGAGGCTAAGGCAGAGAACTGCTTGAACCCGGGAGGCGGAGGTTGCAGTGAGCCAAGATCATGCCACTGCACTCCAGCCTGAGCAACACAGCAAGGCTCCCTCTTGAGAGGAAAAAGAAGCAAACAACAAATTCATCAAATGTAATAAATAAAACATATACTTTGGATTTTTCCATGTGCTTAGCTTTTCTTAGAGCATCTTTTAGAATTATTGTTTCACAAAAAAACACTTTGGGAAATGTTTTAATTTATTAACAAATACTAGGGCTAGGAAGAGAGCTTAAAACTTTTTAAAATATACAGAATGAATTACAGATACGTGAAAGAAAAAAAAAAAAAAAAAGATTGCTGACTCCTGTCATGGAAGGCCCTATCATATGGACATTCTTAGCCTCAGCATCCGGAGGTCCAGAAAGGGACAATTTCGAGTCAGAGAGAATTCTATATATACCATTTATTTGGAACCTTCAGCCCTTAAGATTCCAACATCATGACCTCAGTTTCAACACAATTGTCCTTAGACCTTGTATTGCATACAAATACAAAACAAACACCTCGACTGAACTAACTCTTGTCTCTCCAAAAACACAAACACAAGACCTCATAAAATGAGTGCGTTTCTATTGGCCATAATTACTGCAACTTACTTCTCCAACTTTCCCCTGCACAGTTAACTAAACAGCTCAAAAACTATCAGTAACAAATAACAGTCACCATCATATGGTTAGGAGTGTGGCAGATTTCTTAACCAGTAATAAAAAAATAGGAAAAAAATTTTGCCTATTCATAGATCTCAAGTTTCGTGCACTTGCAAGAAACTAATTAAAAGGCAGCCGTGCACGATCTACAAAAACAGCCATAAAGACTGTTACATTTTAAGTTACAGGAAACAAACCTGCTCCTCTACTATAGCAAGAAACAACTGACTTCCCCTTACATACCCTAAAAAAAAAAAGACTTACACGAGAAATTTAAACATGGAAGCAGAAATACACCAAGAAAGAGACATGTCAAACCCCACCTGTATATCTGTTTTCAACCATTTGGAGTCAAGGCGAGCCTGGGCAGCCAAACACAAATATTCAGAGGGCATCTTTTCTCCAGCTTCCTCCCAGTTCTCAGGCCTGCAAGTAAACATACATGTTGAAGACCTAACGCTTTTTAATATTTTACAAAGACACTCCCGAAAAGTTTAATGCAGAAAAAAAAGAACAGAAAGATGGGAGAGAAGAGCTCGGGGAAGGGAATGAAGAGGAAAGAGAGATAGAGGGAAGAGATGGAGGGAGAGGGAGGTGGGGAAGGGAAAGCCTCCTTCCTAGATAGGCAAGGTATGCCGGGTTTCTGCACCACGCTGGCGAGACCTTGAGAATGGACTGTCACAGGAGGCCAAATCACAATGTCATACCCCTGCCCTCAAATCCAAAAGGTACACACACACATGACAGGAAGCCCATCATTTTTTGTTTTGTTTTGTTTGAGATGGAGTCTCCCTCTGTCGCCCAGGCTGGAGTGCAGTGGCGGGATCTCAGTTCACTGCAAGCTCCGCCTCCCGGGTTCATGCCATTCTCCTGCCTCAGCCTCCCGAGTAGCCTGGAGTACCAGCGCCCGCCACCAGCCCGACTAATTTTTTTTTTTTGTATTTTCAGTAGAGACGGGGTTTCACCATGTTAGCCAGGATGATCTCGATCTCCTGACTTCATGATCCGCCCGCCTCGGCCTCCCAAAGTGCTGGGATTACAGGCTTGAGCCACCGCGCCCTGCCAGGAAGCCCATCGTTTGAACGACAAATGACAGCAGCGTGAATCTGCCGCTTTACCCAACAGCAGGGCGCCTGCATGAAACAAATTACTCAAAAGGCTCACCTGCAGAAAAACCCACAGCCACCACCACTTAGAGATAGAGAGAGGCAGGGGGCTGCGCCGCGGGCGGTCCGCGCAGCAACGCCCCCCCCGCCCCCCCACCCCTTGTGCCGCCCGCCAACCCCGCACCGCCTCCGACGCCGGACGCCCCGGTGCCCCAGGCCAGGACCTGAGGCGCAGGGCCCGGCCTCCTCGCCCCGCAGGCGTGCGCACACAGCCTCCCAGCAGCCGCTGGCTCAGCCGGCGCCCGCGATCCCGACGCCTCTCGCTACCCGAGGGGCGTGCCCGCGCGGGACTGCCGCCCCCTCCACCGACCCGCGCTTACCGCCAATCGCAAGGCGGCTCCGCGGGCGCAGCCAATGGGGAAGAGGAGCCCTTCCCTGCTCCTCCTGACTCTCCCGCTTCCTGCAATCCCGTTTATCTTCCTACTTGGAGCTCACCCACTGCAGCCAGGGCCAACCGCCGGCGCCGGAAGGCGGGATTTCCGCGGCACGCACGCACGCCCGCACTCCCACGGGAGTCAGTTTCTCACCAGCTGAATTATTTGAATTTAGCACCACTAAAAGTGGAGCAATCAGGTACGGAGTGCCTCCAGAGCTGATGTAGCAGAAATCACTGACACCATCTTTTTTTTTTTTTTTTTTTTTTTTTGAGACAGTCTCATTGCGTCGCGGAGGCTGGACTGCAGTGGCATGATATCAGCTCACTGCAACCTCCACCTCCCGGGTTTAGGTGCCTCAGCTTTCCGAGTAGCTGGGATTACAGGCATCTGCCACCCACCCGGCTAATTTTTGTATTTTCAGTAGGAACGGAGTTTCATCACAAACTGCTGACCTCTGGTGATCCGCCCGCCTCAGCCTACCAAAGTTCTGGGATTACAGGTGTGAGCCGCCGTGCCCGGCCTATTTCAGATATTTTAAATATTAAAAAGTAGAACCTGGCCAGGTGTGGCTCACACCTGTAGTCCCAGCACTTTGGGAGGCTGAAGCGGGAGGATCGTTTGAGCCCAGGAGTTCAAGACCAGCCTGGACAACATAACAATACCCTGTCTGTTCAAAAAATAAAATTAGCCAGGTGAGGTGGCACGTGCCTGTGGTCCCAGCTACTCGGGAGGCAGAGGCAGGAGAATTGCTTGAACCCACGAGGTGGAGGTTGCAGTGAACCAAGATCGTGCTACTGCACTCCAGCCTGGGAGACAGAGCCAGACTCCATCTCAAAATAATAATAATAATAATAAGCTTGGGCGGTGGAGGGCTCCCCCAGGCATTGGCCACCTGTGGAGTGACCTGGCTTTTGGCTCCCTGGCAGCCAACTTCTGGGTCGGGCATCTTCGTTGGTGACTGCCCCTTCAGCTCTCCTGGTGTGGCTGTGAGTGGTATGGCACTGCTGTGACCCATCATCTTGTCTTAAAGAGGCATCCTGACATCTCCACACTTGCACACTGAAGAACGCAACATCATGATTAACTTTTTAAAGGAATATTACAAAAATCACAGCATCCGAAAATTTTTTGGTCATTGCAATGATCTTGATCAGGCAATGAGAAAATAAATCCTTGAAGAATGAGTACATGGAAAAGAGGACCAAGAGCAGAGACTATGGCAATTTGATGCAAGAGACTTTTTTTTTTTTTTTGAGACGGAGTCTTGCTCTGTCACCAGAGCAAGTGCAGTGGCTCAATCTTGGCTTATTGCAACCTCCGCCTCCTGGGTTCAAGCAATTCTTCTGCCTCAGCCTCCCACATAGCTGGGACTACAGGTGTGTGCCACCACACCCAGCTAATTTTTGTATTTTTAGTAGAGACAGGATTTCACCGTGTTGGCTATGGCCAGGATGGTCTCGATCTCCTGACCTTGTGATCTGCCCACCTCAGCCTCCCAAAGTGCTGAGATTACAGGTGTGAGCCACCATGTCCAGCCGCAAAAGAGACTTTTTTAATTCTCCAGAGGAATCTGAAAAATAAATTGTATTTTCACTGGATGCCTTGGCTGAGAGAAGACTGAAAGACTATGGGTTGGCCCGGGCACGGTAGCTCACGTCTGTAATCCCAGCACTCTGGGAGGCCGAGGCGGGTGGATCACCTGAGGTCAGGAGTTCGAGACCAGCCTGACCAATATGGTGAAACGCTGTCTTTACCAAAAATACAAAAATTAGCCAGGCATGGTGGCGTGGGCCTGTAATCCCAGCTACTCGGGAGGCTGAAGCAGGACAATCTCTTGAACCCGGGAGGCAGAGGTTGCAGTAAGCCAAGATGGCGCCACTGCACTCCAGCCTGGGCCACAGAGCGAGACTCTGTCTCAAAAAAAAAAAAAAAAAAAAAAGACTGGGTTGATACCTGAGAGAATCCTGTCTTATTTGCTCTCCAGAATCCTTGTAATGAAAAGTGACCCATGAGAAATTGAACCATGGAGAAATATGAACATTTCTGGATTCTGAATATTTGTTGGGCAGTCTTTAGTATCATTTTTCCTCCACCAACAAACCTGACTTCACCCTGTTTCTTCTCTTTGCCTACTACCAGTTATCTCAGTAACTTATCTCCCTGAATAAAGGAATATGATAAGTTAAAATACAATAATTTATTTTAAAAACTTGTTTAAATAGGCCGGGCACGGTGGCTCACACCTATAATCCCAGCACTTTGGGAGGCCGAGGTGGGCGAATCACGAGGTCAGGCGATTGAGACCATCCTGGCTAATATGGTGAAACCGTCTCCACTAAACATACAAAATTAACCGGGCCTGGTGGCGGGTGCCTGTAATCCCAGCTACTTAGGAAGCTGAGGCAGGGGAATCACTTGAACCCGGTAGGGGGAGGTTGCAGTGAACCAAGATCGGGCCACTGCACCACTGCCCTCAAGCCTGGGCGACAGAGCGAGACTCCATCACACACACACACACACACACACACATACACACACACACACACTGTTTATAAATAAATTAATAATTTATTTTTAAAAATTAATAGACTGAATCTGTAGGCTTTGTAATATCTAGTTTATCTACTCCAATACCTCTTGGAGGCATACTTCCTTTATTTGATTTCTGAATTGGGGATCCTATCACTGCAAACAAACAATAGAAAATAAAGAAATAAAGGCCAGGTGTGGTGGCTCACACCGGCAATCCTAGCAATTTGGGAGGCCAACGCTGGCAGATCACCAGAGGTCAGGGGATTGAGACCAGCTGGGCCAACATGGTGAAACCCCATCTCTACTAAAAATACAAAAATTAGCCAGGCATGGTGGCACATGCCTCTACTCCCGGCTACTCCGGAGGCTGAGGCAGAAGAATCGCTTGAACCCAGGAGGCAGACATTACAGTGAGCTGAGATTGTGCCACTGCATTCCAGCCTGGGTGACAGAGTGAGATGAGAGAAAGACAGACAGACAGAGACGGGGTTTCACCGTGTTAGCCAGGATGGTGTCGATCTCCTGACCTCATGATCCGCCTGCCTCGGCTTCCCAAAGTCCTGGGATTACAGGTGTGAGCCACCGCGCTCAGCCAGGTATGTGATCTTGAGCAAGTTTCTAAGCCTCTTTGTGCCCCAATGTCCATTTCTTACAATAGGGATAATAATAGTAACCTTTAAGTGAGTCATTACGCATAGAGTTTAATTAGAAGAGCTCTTGACATACAGCAAATACTAAAAACATTCAGTAGCATCCACAGTAGAAAACGCAGGGCCGGGCGCGGTGGCACACGCCTGTAATCCTAGCACTTTGGGAGGCCGAGACGGGCGGATCATGAGGTCAGGAGATCGAGACCATCCTGGCTAACGCGGCGAAACCCCGTCCCTACTAAAAATACAAAAAAAAAAAAAAAAAAAAAAAAAAAAATTAGCCGGGCGTGGTGGACGGTGCCTGTAGTCCCAGCTACTCGGGAGGCTGAAGCAGGAGAATGGCTTGAACCCGGGAAGCGGAGCTTACAGTGAGCGGAGATAGCGCCACTGCACTCCAGCCTGGGTGACAGAGCGAGACTTCGTCTCAAAAAAAAAAAAGAAAGAAAGAAAACGCAGAGTACATAGCACATGGTAGATACTGACACTGCGCTGAGTCTCTTACAAACATCGTCTCATTTTATTCTCACAAAACCCCAGGAGTTTGGTATCTTTATTCTAATTTTAAAGACGAGAAACTGAGGCTTGAAAATATTAGGGATATGTCCAAGGTCACGGCGGAGCTTGCAATGAGCCGAGATCACGCCACTGCACTCCAGCCTGGGCAACAAACAGAACAAGACTCCGTCTCAAAATAAATAAAAATAAATAAATAAATAAATAATTAAAAAAGATGTATTTGGATGGTTAATGCATTTTTAATGTATAATCATCTACTGTAGTTAAAAGATGATCAAATGTGCTGATTCACTCAGTGTGTTTCAAATGCAGGACTTAAGGAACAATATGCCATAAGCCACCAACTTATTGTTTTCTTTTAAATTATATATCTAACACGCATACATACACACACACACACACACACATATATACAAAATGTTAATAATGATGAAAATTTTGAGCATCATGAAGAATAGTATATATGTAATATATGTTTTTTCACAAGAGTTTTCCAACTTCTGTACTTTTTTTTTAGTAGAATACATTAGATACTACAAAAGAAATGAAAACAAAATGATGTGGAATAGCATGTAAACAATAGAAGGAAGTTTTTGAAGACTGTTACAACACAGCTTCCCTAGCTAATAATACCTGAGAAAACCTGCACATGTGGCATATATGTGTCGCTACCTTTTAGCATATATAATGGGTTTATTAATATTTCTTCATAGCATTGATGGGATGAATATATAAAATAGTATCTATAAATACCTAGACCTTTGCTGGGTGTATAGTAAATATTGTGTTAAAATAGAACTCTTCCATCTTTCTGCAGAAATACTCTATGCAGTGATTACTTCTGGCTGTGATACATAAAAACAGGAAAATCTCAATAGAGAAAAAATATGTATTGATGATACATAATCTGGATTTTTCCAAAGAACAAAAACTATGAATTGGGTTGCAAGGATTTCATGTTAAGACAACAGTAAGAATAAAGACATGGAGTAGAAGATACACACGTTGAGTAGGTTTAACAGGCCTGAGCAAAAGATGCATATAATGAAACGTCACAAGAACAGACTAGAAATTCCTCTAAGCCTGTTGCGAGAGCCAAAGAAAATACATCTGTATTTGACTGTTGATAATGAGGAATTTCTGAAAGGTTGACCTATAGAAGTTCTGAAAAAATGCTTCTAAACAAACCAGATTCCTTTGTCAAACAGATAAGGGAAATTATGGATATGTAATGCCACTTTAGAAATTTCAAATGCACATTAACAAAGCAACAGCAAAAAGCAAACCCCATTTAACATTGTTTAACCTAGATTTTATGAACTTATTTACCAAGGAAACTCTCCCATCTGTATTTCCCTACTTGTAATACTTATTAAGAATCACTATTTTGGTGTCGTTGGAATTTACTTAGAGAAATGCGGTCTAACCTCTGCTTTAAGAAGACAACTCTGGCAGAACTATCAATTGGAAAAAGAGAGTTTAGATGCTAGGAGGCCATTATAATAGCTCACTTGAGAGCTAATCTGTGCATGACTCTGATGGGAGAAAATAAAACTGAGAAAAAGGCATGCATTGGAGGCAACAATCCTTGGAATGTGATTGACTGTAGAGAATAATGAATGTGGAAGACCCAGAACAGACTTTAAAATGTTAAGCCCAAATGACTGTCTGACAGGTGGTATCTGTAACAAAAATTGGAAACTCTGAAGGAAGAACAAGATTCTGAGGAAACGACTAATTTTTTAATGTGTTGAGCTTGAGGGCCTGCTTTGGAACTAACAGGCAGCTGAAGATTTCATTTCATGTCAAAGAAACTTAATTTAAAATCCATCAAGTACTAAACTCAGAGCTAAATGTGAAGGACTGAAATACCAACTTGCCCACCATGTTAGGTTTATGAGAGCTCAATGCAGAAATGCCTCTGAAGTGGGAAAATCTATAATTTCCCCGAAGAAGCACTGTCTGTGCTCTGGAGGTCAGAAACTTTCTAGACTCATGTCTTCATTAGGGCAGATCGAGAAGCCTTTTAGAAATTAAATTTTGGACATGCCCATGTGTCCTCTGAGCCTGTCCTTTCTGTCAGAAGTCACGCAGAGACCCAAATGTCAAAAAGGGACACACTCTTTTGTTGATGCACAAGATTGTGGCATTCCAATCTCTTTCTGAAAATACATTATTGGATTCTTTGCAGCCAAATTCTTAAGAAAAGTTTGGTATTGGAGACTAATATTCCATGAAGAATTACCTGAAGCATGAGGAAATCATCCCTTTAGATCAGTGGATTTTTTGCTTTAATTTTTAAATTGACACATCATTGTACATATTTATAGGGTATAGGGTGATATTTTGATTAGATCAGTGTTTTATATAGCATGTTATGTAAAGCTTCTGAGAAGAGTCAGGGAGCATCTTAGAAAGCAAAATGGAGTCTGTAAACAGACATGTAATGAATACTAAGACATGTAATGAATCTTCATGCCCTCCCAGATATTTCAGAGACATCCAGTTATGTTGGGATCACGTGGAAAGATCTAAGAGACTCTGAGGTGAAGTGCCATGAATCACTCTGGGGCTGAGGCAGTAAAAAGCCCCTGCCTCCTTCCCAGGTTCTCTCCTTTTCCACTTCCAGTACTTTGAAGGTTACGTGCAATGTGTGTCATAGGTTAATGATAGAGGAGTTTATTCTGACTGACATTGAACTTTATGGGAGCAACCCACAAACTTTGGTGTGGTTGAGCCACTGAGAATTCAAGCTTAGTATCTTCTTGTTGCTGTTGCTGTTTACCAACACTGTGGTATTTCTACAGGGCTCAAGCGGGCAGAGAAATTCCATGTGAACAAGAATGTCTCATGTTGGGCTTCTGTATAAATTGTGCTGTTGAAAAATGTTAAGCAGATAAAAATTTTAGAAATTCATTGCTCCACACTGTATCGATACTATTTTTGTCTCAGTCGAAGCCATCCTAAAGTTATATATACTTAGATCATATAATCTTCAATAGAATTGTTTTTATCAAGTTGCTTTTTGATGTTATAGATGAGCCTTAAGTAATTCACAACTGAATTCATACACAAATGTTATTGAGTCTATTTCCCACCATGTTAGAGAGGTTTATGAGAGCTCAATGCAGAAATGCCTCTGAAGTGGGAAAATCTATAGTTTCTCCAAAGAAACTATTATAGTTGTAACAGAAAGAATGATGGAAAATAATAAGATAGAAAATCGTATGAAGGAGTACAGAAGATGGGGCACTATTGAAGGGATTATTTAACAGCAATAAGGATGAAAATGTGTCATTGAAATTCTTTAGGTTCCACATAGAAATTGCACCAGTTTATCCCGGCAGACATATTGTTTAGAAGTTTTTAAGAAAAGAAATTTTTGAATCATGGTTTTACACTGTTTTAGGTCATGGGAACTAGTAAACATGTTTCACTCTGCAGACTATTAGTCAACATTTAGATCATGCTTTTCAATAAAGAATGTCAAATTGTGAGAGGAGAATCGATAGATCTAATTGTTACAGTCACTCAACTGACATGTTGACGGGCCTGGAAAATTTCTCACATGAATAATGGGTGAAGAGTCAAAGAATGATTCTTTTGGGGAAAAGAAGACCTGCCAGGGTTTTGGAAAGGGTATGTGTATGCATTTAGTATTGTTTAGTGTGGTAGCTCTATGGTCCTGACTGTCACATATTTATTGGGCTGCCATGTGTTAGGTGGAAACACAAAGCTGTCATTTTTTTGTAGGACAGAAAAGGCTGAATACTGACAATTTCATATGGTTCCACCTAATAGAATAGGAAACACAGGTATCTCTGAATTGTTTATCTAAGGTAGAATTTGGGGAAGAACTTAGAACTTATAAAAATTAAATTTTAGACTAAAATATATAGATATATCTAGAGTTGTTCAAAAATGAAAATAGAGCTGAAATATCAAGTGCTATAATGGAGTTCACATAAGAATTCCATGCTTTATATTTGAGGTTGGATATGTGCTTTTTCTTTATCCCTTTCATTTATATGGATCTAATCTTCTATAATGTTTAAAACATTTTGATTGAGATGTTCTTTGGCATTCTTTTTTTCTCTTGATTTAAAGATCTGCTTTACAACCAAACAGTAAGATTAAATAAAACAAAACAATGCCCATGGCTTCATGATCACTCTACCCATTTAGAAAGGCCTTGTGCATGGCCTATTATGGTCATCTTGAAATTCTTTGTAATTTTTTATCAAAGGGTTCTACATTTTCACTTTTTACTGGGCCCTGAAAATTATACACCCAGTCCTCAATCCGTGGTCTTCTTAAATTTGCATGCGGATTAGAATTATAAAGGTACATTAATTCTAGGCCGTCAAAGCCTAGCTTATAACTTTCAAATTACATTTGGGAATTGTTCTTATATAACAGCATTTATTGCTCCAAAGATCATTATGTAATAACTACTAAATAATCTATATGATTGTACATTTGGGAAACCATGAAAACTTTCTAAAAGAGCTCTGCTGTTTTATGTAACAATCATGAAATATTTCCAAATGCATAAATATAAATAATTACAATAGAAAATCTGAGAGACAAAAAAAGCTATGATAGTATACCAATGCAATTTCTTGAAAACAGATACACAAGAAACAAAGAATAAAGGAACAGCAGGAAAATGTGCCACTATTGTGGTTACAGCTTCGAGGCAACACATTAAAATGCCAACCAGACACAGGTGGCAACAGATGTATCTACCACCAAAAAAAAAAGTTAAATCAAGTGAAAAATTTCAAATGAAGTAACTGTTCAATGAAAAGGAAAAAGAATAAAAACCACATCTGCTTACATGGCAATGAAACATGAAAGATTCTGCTAAACATTTATGTTGAAAATTAAGATGGAGGTAATTATGCACACTCATCCAAAAATAGAAAACAAGGAATTAGTGGACCAATGCCAATGTTAATTTTGAAAACCTCAAGAAGAAGAAAATTAAGATATGGTTGATAGGTTCTCTACAATATAGCAAGAAAACTCTGCCCAAATTCTAAAGGATACAAAGTCTACTCAATTTAAAAACAAATGGCACGTTTCTGTTTCTTAAAAGACATACGCATAATCTGTGAGTGCATTTTCTACTTTAGAGACCATTTGAATTAAAATCCTTAAGTTCTTATGAATGTTTTCAAAATATGTACAGTAAATGAATAAAGCCCACAGTTATTTAAGGATAACATTTAAAATTATTTACTAAATCTTTAATATTAAAATAATAGTACATGCCATCCAGTCATAATCAAAAAAGCCAAGGTGATTATGGAGTATTGAGGCTGAAAAGAGCAAGATCTAAACCAACCTATTCTGGACTTCACTGTCAAGGAAAAAAATTGAGAGGAAAATTTTCAAAAAATACTTATACTTGTGAGATTGGTGATGAGAAACAATCTGTGAAATATTGCCATTTCTCTGGAGTAAAAATTTTAAATGATTGGTTATCACGATGTCCCTTTCTCTTCACACTCAACATCTTTCTGATTTGCTCCTCAGATCTCAGGCATGCTGAGGCTATAATGTCTTTCCGTCTACCTTAGGTTTACTATTTTAAAATTGATTTTTGATGTTGTTGTGAACATGAATTTTGTATTAATACAGGAGGATGGGGTGTGTATTTCTGAAAGTCCAGAGTTGTAGGGGCAAAGAAGAGATTTCTGGAGTTCCCCTGCGTGCCTGCTTACAGAGGTTTCCTTCCTGATATTGTCAACTTCTACAATTCTTGCTCTGGCTCCATTTTAAAGCCCTGAGCAGTTAAGTGTCTTTTCCCGACCCTCATTTATACTACCATGAGGCTCCTTTGTAACAAGAAATGTACAATGTGACCAATTGTTGGCTGCCCAAACAAACATACGTTAGGACTTTTCACTCTGGCCTCCTATACTGAAACATCATTCACATTTAGTAAAGGAAGGGGCACTCTGTTAAACTCACCACATTCTTTACTTTATGGAGTCAGATAGAGATATTCCACTAAGTCCTTTTGCTTGATCCCATAGAGACCATCCTAGGAAAACTGAATTAATATGAAAGCAGGTAGAGTGAATATTCATTAAAGTCATTTACAACAACATCCAATAGTGTCTCCAAGTGGAACAGATATTTAGAGACCATTTGGCAGGAGATAGGATGGGGAAAGAGAGTGGCTGATGCATGCTGAGAAGTAGGAGGAACAATCCAGTTTTTAAAATATTGTTCTTGTTAAGAGTCTGTTTATCAGGTTAAACACAGTCAAGTGGTCAGTTGGGTCTAATAATTCAGTAACTGAGAACAGATGGAGAATACATGGATATGTGTCTGTGTGTACACTCACATGCAAAACCAGTTGCCCTGACTTTATCTTACTTACATCAATCTATTTACTGATTTTGATAGGAAGAGTATGTATTTTAGATACCTCAAGAGTATCTCCTGAAATACTTCCATATTCTTGCCTTTTGAAGAATCTTTTTAAAGGAAGAAAAATAATTATTAGCAAAGAATTCACATTCCCAATGGCTCCATTTTCATCTCCTTAATCAGGTGTTAAAATTCATGGCTTGGGAAAAGTGGGATGTTTACAAGGCCTATCTATACCATTTATCTATACCATTAGTTTTAATAGCCTGTTCACTTGAACAATTTCTAAGTATGTGGTAAAAGAAACTAAACTAAAATAATAATGCATTATATTTGAAAACATCAGTATCCTGTACACAAAACTTCCATAAGTAGTTCTTCCTAGATTGAAACTAGAACTAATCCATTTCCAAAATCATCTATATTTTTCTGAAGACAAAAAAAATGTTGCTACAGATAATTGCCATAGGCTGCAAATATTCTGATTCATCCAGTATTTCTCTCTTGTTGCATGTTGTATAGATAAATATAATGCATCAATATTAGGATAGCATATATTTTGTTAAATGTTAATGCAGAATTCTAAATTTTCTAGCATTCACAGAAAAGCAAGCTACTGATAGTAAGTAGTATTTAAAGAGAAATCTTATCTACTACAATGAATTGAGAAATCCAGGATATTAAGACCACAAAAATGATTGTTTAGATGATTTAATTATAGCACAACAGGCTTTTCTGCTGATAATGTTATAATTATGTTTTAATAACCCAATCTCAACAAACATAGCTAGAGTACAAATGATGAGCACAAAAATCCATCTCATCTGTAGCTCAGACTAGTATTTCAAATGTAATTTCTCTATTAGTAATTTAGTCTGATTTTTATAATTCATTAGAATAAATCAATAACTGACTTAGAAATCACTTCTGTGATTTTTTTTCCACAGAAACATTAACAATACCACAAGCATTAAAATGTTGAGAAATATTTGTATATGATGATGTCAGTGGATGTTCCTTTCCTCAGCTAATAAATTCTAGTATAAAGTTTTCAGATCTGTACACAAAAATGGATCATAAAAATATAATCATGGTAGAAGAAACTAGCAATTTTATGAATGTGGAGAAAGAGTTCAAATAGTACTTTTGTGCTGTACTGTGTCCATGCAAAGCTTCATTCAATCAAACAAAAACAATACTGAATTTATTATGTTAAAATATTTAAGGACACTCTGGTAGATGAGATCATTTTCCTGCATTTGTTCACACTCTCTCCTATCTCCATCTCTAAGGGACAGATATAATTCCCCACTCCTTGACTTTGATCCTTGCTGTGTGATTTTGCTTAAGCCAAAGGGGTATCTTAGAGGATTTCAGGCAACAGAAGCCTGGCATGTTTTTGCACAGGCAGGTTGCACTCCTGACTTTTGCCATAACAATAACATGCTTCAAGTACCCGGGAGGGCTGAGGAGAATCACAAATACGTAGAACAGATCTGGACACCAGCTGCAGCTTCAAGCCAATGCTAGCCAAGCCCAGCCTAGATCAGCTGAACTGCGTCTGACCAGAGGTGCATGAACAAGGAAGGCAACGCGGTGGACCTGGGCCAGATGAGCAGCTTCTACATTGGCCTGTGTTCCCGCCTCCACTGCAACATTTTCTCCTACCACTACTCTGGCTACGGTGCCAGCTCGGGCAGGCCCTCCGAGACGAACCTCTACGCCGACATCAACGCCGCCTGGCAGGCCCTGCGCACCAGGTGAGGGCGACCCCGGGCGCAGCTCAGCCTGGGCACACCCGAGAGGGGACCAGGCCGGGGGCCAGGGGCCGGGGGGAGGGGCGGGCTTCCCTGGGAGGAAGGTGGGCGGCCCTGCAGGAGAGGAGCCACAGTGGACGCATGCTGCCAGAGAGCCGGACAGGTGAGCTCAGGCATGCGGGTGCTGCCTCCACATGGCTGAGGTGTGGCCAGGAGGTCCCCCCACACCCTGGCCTGTGGAGCCAGGCTCCCTGGGATCCCCTGGCCTGAGGACAGGAAGGGGCTGAGCTTGTCACAGGGGCGTGGACACCACCTGGCGGGAGGGGGTGGGTGGTGTCAGGGGGTCTGTGCATGTGTGGCTGGGAGCCCACGGGCTGAGGCCGCACTTGGGGCCAGGTGAGGCGAGGCTGCTGCATCGAGGTCCCAAGGCCTGGCCCATGAGGCCCCGTGGCTGTGGAGCTCAGCCATCCCGGGGCAGGGCCTGCAGGGTCAGGTGCAGACCCCCAGCACACACCTGAGGTCTCGGCCAGCTTCGATTCCAGATCCAGCCCTCCTAATCATCCAGGTCCCCAGCCCTGCGCTTGCCTGGGCCCTTCACTGGTGTTTGAGCACCACCCGGGCCAGTGCTGCTCTGGACTAGAAGACCCGCGTGGGCCTCTGGGGGCCTTTCCTGCTCGCCACCCGCTGGGGCTGTCTCGTCCTGGCCCTGCCCTGCCCAGCCCAGTGGTCTGACCCGCTCCTGCAGGGGCCAGGCGCAGCTCTGAGAAGTCAGAGGCCCTGGGAGGTGGGGTCCTCGTTGCCTTGGAGATATCCCAGGCAGTCCCTGCTGTGGGCGTGGGAGCTGGGTCCCCTGGCACCACCCTGGCTCTGGGGGCCTCCCGGCAGTGTGGGGCGCCGAAACCAAGCACCACTTCATGCAGCTTCCTGGGCCCCTCCTGTCTCTACTGCCCGGGGCACTGGCAGAGTCACACACCCCATGGCCAGCTCTGAGCTCTGTCTACTCCGCCGTCTGTCCTGCTGTCGCTTTGTCCTGCAGGATCCTCAGCCCAGAGCCGTGAGGGGGAGGCCAGATAGCGCTCAGGGCCTCTATGGAGGATGTGTCTTGTTTGATTGTGTGAGTGGTGACATCTAGGTGGCAGCTGGGGGCTCCTGCCTGGAGCAGGTGACAGGGCTGGGCTGGCTCAGCACACTACTGGCCTTGGCTGCCAGGGAGCAGGCCAGGGAGGCTGAGGCAGAGCTGCAGCCACAGGCACAAGCCAGGCAGCATCCTTTGGGGCATGGGTGAGCAGTGAGCTGTGGAGTGCTGCCAGGAGGCTGGGATTCCAGGCCAGGGAGGGAGACAGCCCTGCTGGTGGAGTCCGAATGCCAGCCAGACGGGACGCACACCTGCCCATGCTCCTGCCTCGCAGGAGGGCATCTGCCTGGCATCAGAGCCTGGAGCTTGTGGGAGGAGAGTTCTGGGGTCTCGGCATCGACAGGGTGGCAGGTGGGTCCCGCGTGGTTGGGACTGGGCATGAGGAGGCCTTGGGACTGGTGCTGGGTCAGCTGGGCCAGGGGCCGCACACCAGTGACCTGGGAGTGGGGGTGGCCCTGGGTGGGAGCTGGTGGTGCTGAGGTGGCGGAGGACTTGTCCACTCCCAAGGGAAGGCACTGGTGGGAGGAGATGCTGCCCCCGCAGCCACCACCCTCGATGTTGACCTGGGTTGGGCTGGCAGCTCATTGGGCATGGGACTCTGAGAGTCCAAAATTGGGTGGAGACATCTGGGGACACAGCTGCCTGAATTCCTCATGGCCAAGGGGGTAGGCAAGGGCTGCAGGGAGGAAGAGTGTCCCGGCCAGTGCACCAGGAAGAGCTTTCTAACCTGGGCAGGAAGGCGTGAAGCATTCAGGATGTGGGAGGCCACACAGTTCCCAGTGTGCGCCTAGGGGTGACCAAGAGGAGGAGAGGTGCCAGGGCTTCCCCTACCCTAGCCCGAGGGGGACTCCCTAGCCAGGATCCAGCAGATCCTGGCTAGGAAACGCCAGTGAACCATAGTGGCAGGGAACAGGACCAGGCCGCCGGCTTCGCCCACCGCTGCGGTGTTGGGGGGCTTGGGGGTGGCCCTTGAGACTGGTGTGGAGCCTGGGCCTGACCAACTGACTTGGCTGAGCGGGGAGACTGGAGAGTCGCATCCGGAGCTGGGCCCGGGGACGCCCGCTGGCAGGAGGGGTGCGCGCGCGTTGGAGGCCTAGGCTGACCCTGCTCAGGTGCCGCCAGGTACCGCATCAGCCCGGACGGCATCATCCTGTACCGGCAGAGCATCGGCACGGTGCCCACCGTGGACCTGGCCTCGCGCTACGAGTCCGCCACGGTGGTGCTGCACTCGCCGCTCACCTTGGACCTGAGCGTCGCCTTCCGGACACCAAGACCTACTGCTTCGACGCCTTCCCCAAGTGAGCAGGCTGGGGCGGGGACGGGGGCGGGGGCGGAGCGGGGCGGGGCCCGGGCCGGGCGAGGTCTCACCCGCCCCACGCCCCTCCCGCAGAATCCAGAAGGTGTCCAAGATCACGCCGCCCGTGCTCATCATCCAGGACACGAAAGACGAGGTGATGGACTTCTCGCACGGGCTGGCGCTCTACCAGCGCTGCCCCAACGCCGTGGAGCCGCTGTGGGTGGAGGGCGCCGGGCACAAAGACATCCAGCTCTACAGCCAGTACCTGGAGCGCCTGCCCGCTTCATCTCCCAGGAGCTGCGCAGCCAGAGCGCCTAGCGGCCGCCAGGGCCCCAACCGGCCGGACCTCAGCAATAAGGCGGCCCCCGGACCTCACCCCGCGCCGGCCTCCCCAGGGACTGCATGTGGACCCCCGGGCGGCCCGGGGGACCCCGCCCCAACCCAGGGGCCGTGGACGATGTAAAGGCAACAGAGCTACGCACTCCTTTCCTTTTGGAAGCAAGAAGAAAAATCGTGAAAACGGAAATTAAAGATTTAAATTTTTTTTAAAAAAAACACAATGTTTATTAATATACTCCAAAGTTTTTCTTTTTTTTTTTTTTGAGACGGAGTCTCACTCTGTCTCCCAGGCCGGAGTGCAGTGGCGCGATCTCAGCTTACTGCAACCTCCGCCTGCCAGGTTCAAGCGATTCTCCTGCCTCAGCCTCCCGAGTAGCTGGGACTACAGGCGCGTGCCAGCATGCCCAGCTAATTTTTTGTATTTTTAGTAGTTACGGGGTCTCACCGTGTTAGCCAGGATGGTCTCAATCTCCCAACCTCGTGATCCGCCCGCCTCGGCCTCCCAAAGTGCTGGGATTACAGGCGTGAGCCACCATGCCCGGGCGTTTTGCATAGATTTTTTAATGCAGAATCATGGTGGCAATGGCTAATGGCTACCAAGGTGCCATCGTTCAACAATCCTGTTATTCAGTCATCACATCTACTATGTGTAAGCCATAATATCTTCTAAAATGAATTATAACTATTTTCTAATTGAAATAAATGGTATCACAATATTTCACTAAGTAATCTCTGCTAGTTTAGTCTCTATTTCATCTCCACGGAATGCCTTCTGAGTTCCTATAATTGTGACTAATTCTCTGAGACGACATCAGAAATATCAGTATAAACTATGAAACCTACAAAGGGGATTCCTCTTTTTCCTTTTTATTATAGAGATGCTTTTCTGTTTGTTTTCTGCACGCAAGCATGGTCTTAATCAATTTTGTATGCCCGTACCTAGGAGAGCCCCTGATTCATAATAAGACCTCAATAAGATTTGTTGAATAAAGTGAAAATATTATTTTTAGCTTTCCCTCACCATTTTCTTCAAAACAGACTAGTTCATAACTGAAATAGGCATTGTTTCTAGAAAACAGTCACTCCAACTGATCCCCTCATTTAATCATTTTTGTACTCCCTGAATCTATCATAATACCTGGCACATAGTGGGTAAGTAATCAATATTTGTTCACTGAACTAATGGAAGCATGAGTGAATGAAACAATACAGGCATTTTAAAAGTATAATTCAAGAGTGAAAGCATATTACTTGTCATTAGAGTGATTTTAAACAGCTAAGTATATGATAATTAGGAAGATTTACTTTCCTGCTTCATTTAAATTTTAAATATAGTGATCGAGGTAATTATGATTTTCATTCATTTATTCAATAAATGAATGTTTAATATTTTTTATCTCACATGATAGATTGATACTGGTCAAAGACATTACAATGATATTATACATAAAGATTTGTTTTAAATTTACAATATCTTGAAATTTTTCTCTTGTTAATCTACAAAGTATATTTATAGGTTAGGAAATATACTTTTTAAAATGTCAGATAATGATATTTTTATTTTCTATTTTATATTATTATTATTTTTGATACAAGGTCTCACTGTGTCACCCACACTGGAATGCAGTGGCATAATCATGGCTCACCACAACCTTAACCTCCCAGGCCCAGGTGATCCTCCTACCTCAGCCTCCTGAGTTGCTAGGACTACAGGTGCCCGCCACCTTGCCCGGCTAACTTTTTACTTTTTTTTTTTTTTTTTTTTGGTAGAGATGAGTTTTCACCATGTTGCCCAGGCTGGTCTTGAACTCCTGCGCTCAAGCAAAACGGCAGCCTTGGCCACCCAAAGTGTTAGGATTACAGGCATGAGCCACCACTGTGGGGCAGATAATGATAGTTTTTCAAGAATCGGTAAAACATTGTCCTTCAATGAATTAGTGCAGAAGCATGAAAAACATCTATTATGAGCAAATCTGTGAAACAGATGTTGAAATTAGTATTCTAATAAGGCTTTTGTGCTTTTTGATGATACAAAATAATTTTGCTATGACAATACAGTTACTTAAATGAGAAGTATGAATAACTTGCTTTGATATGTTTGTGGTATGTTTCACTTATTTTTTGAGAAGGGTAATTATTAAATTTAAACTATATATGTAAAGAGTGCACATCAAATATTTTAAAACCCTGAAGAGTTAGGTCTTCATTTCAAGAATTGTTAAGTGTCTTAAGAACATGTTTATTTTCTAGAAATGTTGAGCCTCTTCTTGGGTAATGTGATTCTTTTAAAAATTTTGGAAGGATTTCTTATTACATTAAAAATGAATGTATACAATAGGAAGTTACTAGGATAAAGTGAATTTAGCAGCTATCTTGCTTTGTTATATGTCTTATAAATTAAAATTACATTTTCATAATTAAAAGCCAAGCTCATTTGCTTTGATAAGACTAAGAGGAAAGGAGTATTAAATGAAGTTAAATTAGATTTTACCGTCTTTTTAATAAGTTTCAGGCCTGGTTTGATAATATATTCCCAGATGCATAATTTAAAAATGATCTTTTGGCCGGGTGCCGTGGCTCAAGCCTGTAATCCCAGCACTTTGGGAGGCCGAGGCGGGTGGATCACGAGGTCAGGAGATCGAAACCATCCTGGTTAACATGGCGAAACCCCATCTCTACTAAAAATACAAAACATTAGCTGGGCGTGGTGGCCGGCGCCCGTAGTCCCAGCTACTCGGGAGGCTGCGGCAGGAGAATGGCGTGAACCCGGGAGGCGGAGCTTGCAGTGAGCCGAGATCACGCCACTGCACTCCAGCCTGGGCGACAGAACGAGATTCTGTCTCAAAAATAAATAAATAAATAAATACATAAACACATAAATATGAATTTAGTGAGAGCTGGTTATAGTTTGGAACCTCATTTGTGAAATAAACCATATTTCAAAATATTTTAAGCAGAAATACATTTAAGTTTTAGCCTATAAATCACCAGAATTTATCCTAGTCACCTAAATAAAAAATATAAAAGTTCTACATTTTAACGTCCTTTCAACATTTTATGACCAGAAAACCCAGCAGATAAACAGCTCAGGTCTTAATGGGAAATGATAACATATAAGATCAGAGGCATCCGCATAAATAAATTTGTATCCAACACAAAACAATTACATACGCTTTAATCAAAAAGAAATTACCAATGGCCAACCCCAATCCCACTACTTTCAAAAAAAAGTCCTCAAGCTTTCCTTTCCAGTTGAATGTACACTGATGGAAATGGTTGTTTTATGCAGACAATTGATGTTTTTAAATGAAATGTCTAATAGGGAAGTCAGTGCATTACACTACCCATTCGAGAAAGCAGCCTTCCATTGAATTTACTCAGACAAACTAATTGCTGAATTAGATGACCATGGAAAGTTATTGAGGGCATATCCAGCGCTTCCTTCTGAACCAAAACTAAATCAGTTTTGGTCAGTACTGCATTTCTATTCAAAATCAAGAACTGTTCGTCTCTCTGGAATATTAGTATCATAAGCCTGGGGAGGTGACAATGTCATGTAATGGAGTTGTGGGGAAAGGAGTCAGAGTGTTGTGGCAATTCCCCGACCAAGGGAAAGAGTCTGTAGAAGTTCATAGAATCAGCTGACGTGCTATGGTCAAAGAATTCGGAATTAGCAATTGACCAATCAATTATGATTAACTCATTCTGTATGACTATCATAGGCTATTAAAAATAGGAAAGGGTGTTTCTAAAGTGTGTTTCATAACAAGTGATTTAATGATAAAAGCTTGGACAGTTTTCAGAATACAAAAATTCCGAGATACTAATATCTTTAAAAACTCCTGTCATTGTGTGTGTGTGTGTGTGTGTGTGTGTGTGTGTGTGTGTGTGTAAACACTACCTGTGTAATCATCTATTGAGATTTAAATTAGAACTTTTCTCAGTGTATCACAGTTCTAAAGGTACTATTTATTATATTGGTATCCTAGGAACAGAGTGAAAAAAGGCAAAGAGGTAATTTAGCACAGTCTTTTTCTACTAAAATCAGAGTGTCTCTCATCTCTGCCTGAATCCACTACATTGTGATTACTGAAATACATATTATAGAATATCTACTTATTTTGTGGATTTAGGCAATGATTATGATTATTGCTTTTCTCACATCTAATTTATATTATACATGAAGACATTTTGTAAAGAAGTTTTGGTCTCTATAAAAATGAATGCTTAATAGAAACGTAATATTACTTTATGTTATTTGAATTGTTAGGTTTAAGAAAATAAAATGTTTTTTAAATCTATTACTTTTAACGACACTGTAACATTTATTGGTTTTGCAATAAAATAAATCCAGAAAATTGCTGTGATATTACTTTTTATGTTTCTTATTGAAAGTAGGTCAATTAATTTCTAAGCAATGGGGCAATATAATTGTCAACTAACAGTGCTCAAGCAGTTAGGATTTTAACTGCTGACATTATTTTCTTTGAAAAATGATAGATGTCATTTAGTGTTTAAAGATAAATTGCTGCATAACTGTGACTTTTTTGCTGATAACTTTGCCGTAAGCAAACATAATATGACCAAGAAATTTCAAAGTAAGTTTGCTAGGTGAGCAAATCTAAATTAAAAAGGGTCTCATATTTCCTCAATCAGATATACTAAGATCAACCAAATGTTGTTTTCAACCTATAATATTAAAGGGCAATTGAGTCTGACTCAAACATCTGGAAACGTTAATGTTAACACTTAGGAATATGTCTCCCCATAGGAAAATCTTCACTGGCCATGGGCTATACCACATTTATCACAGGTGATTTTCAAAGGGACAAATATTGCCTATTTCACAAACAGGTCTGGAATGCAGGAAACTGCCAGAAATTAAGTGAGAGTTTGCACAATGGCTGACCCAGAGGAAGATGTCAGAGTCACAGATGGAAAAGGGAGGTTCATGACTCCCCTCTGTTGCCAAGGTTCCCATTCTCAATTCAGAAGGATTTGCAGAGGGGGTGAAGGAATATTGAAGTTTCTGAGATATTCCTTATGGACCAAGCTATAATCCAGTTATCTATTTACATCAGATCTCAGCTTTTTTTTTTTTTGAGGAGGGTGTGGGAGGGGATGTGTGCAGAACATACATATAGGGCTTGTCCTAAAGGATGAAATAAAATTGTGTATGCTATGACCTCTCTAGGAAGCCTCTAAACTTTTCTTATAAATTGTCTTCTAACTAAAATATTTCTTTTGGTCATCCTTGGAGTACTCCCAGGTGACACACAGCTCAGGCTAACATTTCTACAGGACTGCTGCCTTGATCTCTAGAGAGTCCAATGGTGTTCCATACCAATATGTCTGAGAGTCACTGCCAAGCTTCCACCCACAACCTTAACACACAGAGAAAGCTGACACTTTCTGTTATCTATAATTTTCCTTGAGAAAAACGTGGCAATATGTATCAAAATACAATTATTAGTTTCAATATGTAGAATGCATTACAAGAAAAAAAAAGATGCCAAAAACATTTTATGTCTGCTGATATTCCTATTAGTCTTTATTATCATGAAAATCTGGTCACAAGCTAAATATCCAACTTTAGGTGACTGGATGAAGTAAAACTGTAATCTTTCCATATGATAGAAAAATATGCCAGCACTGACAACCAGATAGCAGGATATTTAATGCCATGGTAAAATATTTGTTTTGTGTGGTCAGGTGAGCAGTTCAGATCATAAAATCAAACGTGCCCTACGGTCTTATTTTTTTAAGTAAAGTATTGATGTATTTATATGTATAATTAAGTATAGAAAAAAAGCCTAGATGGCTTCTCTTATAAGTCTTTTCATTGTTTTATAAATGTATCAATATTTATTTTTCACTTTTTCCATCAGATTTCCTAGAATAATAAAATTCAATTCCCTCTGATGAGCATTCATTATTCTTTTATTTTTTGAGACGGAGTCTCACTCTATCTCCTGCAGCTAGAGTGCAGTGGCCTGATCTCAGCTCACTGCAGCCTCCGCCTCCTGGGTCATTATTCTTACAGTAAGAAAAAATGAATGTTACTAAGTATCTTCTCTGTCCTAGATCAACTAAGTATATACAAGGTGCCAAATACAATTAATAAAATGTTTTATCCATTCATAGGTTTTTGCAGTACAATTTTTTTTTTTATGATTCCATTGTCTTATAGTCTCCACTAATAGTTTTGGTGTGAATTTATACTCTAAAGGAAAGGTGACAGCCTTATACAATCTCAGAGCTTAAGTACTATCCACATGCTAGTGCTTACAAACATACACTTTCAGTTGTGTGGTCTCCCTGAGTTCTGCACATCCCTCTTGGGTATCTAATAAGCATCTCACAGTTAACAACACCACTGATTTCTAATCAATCCCAGGGACCCTCCACCAGGCCTGCTCCTCTCTCAGAGTTCCTTTTCTCACTTAGTGACACTATCATCCCACCAAACCTTGCTATCATCTTTCTTCTGTCTCCCAAATTTCCAATCCATTAACAAATCCCAATAACCCTGCTTCCAATATTTGTCTAAATCTATGCACTTCTCAGCTTATCCACTTTTATTATTCTAGTTCCAATTATGTGGTCTTCTGTCTGTATTACTTTCTTTTTTCATTCTTTCATGCAGGGACCATTTTTCATAGTGAAGTCCTCATAAAACATAGATTAAATTGTATCAGCTTCTGCTTACAGTTTTTATTTATTTATTAAATTTGTGATGTATTTGTATTTATTTATTTATTTTGAGACAGAGTCTTGCTCTGTCACCCAGGCTGGAGTGCAGTGGCACGATCTTGGCTCACTGCAAGCTCTGACTCCTGGGTTCAAGCGATTCTTCTTCCTCAGCCTCCCGAGTAGCTGGGATTACAGGCATGTGCCACCAAGCTCGGCTAATTTTTGTATTTTTAGTAGAGACGAGGTTTCACCATGTTGGCCAGGCTGGTCTCAAACCCCTGACTTCAGGTGATCTGCCCACCTCAGCCTCCCAAAGTGCAGAGAGTACAGGCATGAGCCACTGCGCCCAGCTAGCTCTGCTTACAGTTTTTAAATGACTTCTTAGTCTACTTAGGAGAAAATATAAACTCTTTACCAGAGCCTACTGGACTTCCCAAAACATGATGTATGTTTATCTCTTCCCTTTAGCTCACTTGGTTTTAGCCGACTGACCTTCTGTTCTCTGAGTAAAACAAACTTATTCCTGCAACGGGGCCTTTACGCCTACTTTGCCTTCTGCCCCAGAAACAGTTCTCACAGGTTTTCCCATGACTCTTTTCTTCTCCTTATTCAGCATCACCCCAAACATCTCCCCCTGAGTGGCCTTCGCCAGGACATTCTTCTTAAATATCTTTCCTTACCTCATCCTGTTTGGTTTTGTTTATAACAGGTGTCAGCTACAATACTGGTTTTGTTTGTTTATTTACTTTTTCTTACAATGGAAAGCCCATGAGAGCAGGGTTGTGTCTGCTTTATTCACAACTTTAACCTCAGTGCCAGTACAGAACCAGGACCGTACTAGAAACTCAATGAACATTTGTTGAGTATTTTGAATGAATTAATTATTAAAACATTAAAAAGTGCCATTTTCCAAGTAAAAATCTTTTTCTACTTCCTTAATGACTCTAATTGCAGACAATTCTAGGTAGAAATGAGGTTCATATTAATGGCAGGCCGAGAAAGGCATTTTTGGGTGAGTCTATGCAGGCAATTTTTGCTTTTATGGCTGATTTCCTTCCATATACTTCAATACAGGTATGTCCCTATTGAGAGAGATGGCATTTTTCATAGTATAAAGGTGGACAGTGAACTTAATATTATAATAAAAAATAAAGTAAATTTTATACAAACACTAAGAAGTGATCATCTAAATCTACAGTTTAGAATCTGAAACCTATTCCTATGTTGACATCTTCCATGGCCCTACTCCTAAATTAATAAATTCTGACTTACAGAAGGCTATTTTCTGAATCCTTTCATAGCTGACATTGTGGTGGGTGCTGTTACCCATTCCTTGATACTGACAGTACAATGGCCATCCCTGCCAGGGCACGCGTACATTATCAGTAGTCAAAAGTTTGGCAAAGTAGGCCGGGCATGGTGGCTCACGCCTGTAATCCCAGCATTTTGGGGAGGCCGAGGCAGGTGGATCACCTGAGGTCGGGAGCTCGAGACCAGCCTGAGCAATGTGGAGAAACCCCGTCTCTACTAAAAATACAAAAAAAAAAAATTAGCCAGTCCGTTGTGGCACACGCCTGTAATCCCAGCTGCTCTGTAGGCTGAGGCAGGAGAATCGCTTGAATCCAGGAGGCAGAGGTTGCAGTGAGCCGAGATCGCGCCATTGCACTCCAGCCTGGGCAACAAGAGCGAAACTCCATCTCAAAAAAAAAAAAAAAAATGGCAAAGTAAAACACTTCTCTTCATCTCCAGGAGAGCAGTTTATGAAAGAGCATACTCTTACACATTAAAGGTGAATGTTTCAGTGACACCTGTGCAAGATAGGACTTTCTGCTCTCCTCTATAAAAATCTAAATTTCTATCATATAATTCTAGCAGACCTTAAAAGGATAGACCTCAAAGGCAGCGTTGCATTTGATATTCTCTTGCAACCCCAGAATGAAACTTAAGCATGAATAATTGGAGATCTGCACACTTCCATAAAGAAGAAAGAATGGGACTCAAGTTCACACAGAAACTAAAAAAGAAAGGCAGGATGACTTCCCTCTGCCACCTTGAAAAGGCTTTGAAACCTACAAAACAAGAAATGGGGAGGGGAGTTGCTGAATGGGTAATAAATATGTGAACCCTCCTCCTAAGGGTTTTTATAATCCTTTCTATCTTGGGTATCTACGTGTTCCTCTGTGAATGTGTTTTCTTCTAACTGCACTTCTTATGGAACAGCTCCATCCTTATTATCCACAACAGGGTTTCTGTTCTGCTTTCATCTTGTATATATCTTAGAAAAACAACCTGAACAGATGTCCAGTTAATATGTATATTTATGTATTTATAAATTATATGTATGTGCTATTGCACTAGTATATTACATATTTTATATACCTTACTACAACCAAAGAAATATAAAAGAATGAGATGGAATAAATATATACTTAAGTTCTAGGTTTTCTTCCTCCACCCTCTGTGGAATGCTTACCCCACTTAAGAAACCCCTAAGATTTCACCGTGTCCTCACAGTGAGATTGTACTCACTCCTCAATGAGAGGAGCTGATTAATGTTAAAGCTCTTTTGGTTTTGTTATCAATTATGCACTTGAATTTTCAAATAATCTAGCTGTACATATTATACTACAGTGGACGATACTATGAGGTACCAACTGGACCAGCTCAGCAGAGGCTGGGAGGTTTGACTCATCAGTAGTCATGACACCACTTCTCTCTTAGACTTTTCCAGTAGAATTTATTTTTGGTTTTGACAGCAAGGGTGACAGCTCTGTTCTCTATAGGTATCTATGGTAGAATAAGCATTGTTACCTCGCAGAAGGGAGAAGTCTATGGTATTCGACACCAACCCCCAAGTCCTTCTTACACATCCTCTCTTTGAGATATAGGGACTCTTGTGAAAAATGGAAACCCAGGAACTGGCTCTGCATAAACTTAAGCTTCGTCTTGGCAGGACAATTATGAGAAGCCTACCACTGACTCTGAAATATGTTGTATGCAATAAAAACTCTGTACTATTTAGGTGTTGTTTCTGACCCACGATACTAGAAATAAGCATCAACTACCCATACAAAGTTTTGCTTAGGAAAAATGAAAGTATATTCAAATATAAATTTTTATAAAATGACCATTAACTAAAAAGAAAAGCCTTCCTTTCCCCAAACATCAATAGACGCAGAGTGGAGGATAATATTTACAACATGCAACATAATGTTTGGTTCTAATTAATAGACTATTTCAATGAAATATTATTTTGATAAATATGTTCATGCTTCATTTGCCATGTATTAAAAACAGCAATACACATTCACTTGATGAAAAATATTATTGAAGATAAGACAGAAGTATTTCATAAACAACCATTAGGTAGATTATAAGATAACATACGAAAGGTGATATTGTAAATCAATATTAGAAACACATATTCTTCATCTATGACCTAACTTGTATTGAAATGCTGCAAAAACCTTAGAGCAACATTCAGAGAATTACCTGAAAGATAACTCTGGCATCTTCCATGGCCTTATATGTGTTTTCTTTAATGGTCACAGTGATTCCCATGTTCAAAGTTATTCACTGAGGACAACGCATGTCCTGAGATTCTCATCATTGAAAGGCCGAGGCTGAGGCTTGCTTTTCACATATACAGATTGTCCAACATTAAATTACAGCTGCATATTGACTGCATACAAAAATCATTAAACTAAATCTTTCCAAAAGTCCTGATGTAAATAATGTGCTACAATATTTTAGGTAGGATTATCTGATAGGATTAACAAATTTATCAAGTATAACAGAAAGTAACCACTTATTATTTATTATTGGCTATACCAAAAAATATAGGATCAGGACTTACCTGAATAACATGCTTCAGTTTATCAATAATCTGATTTATCACAGGATCAGTTCCTTTGACTTTGACTTCAGGAGTTCCAGACTGGGCTTTGATTCCATTTCCAACCACACGCTGAGTATAACTAGCAAAGGGAAATGTGAAAGATATATGACTTAGTACCTGATCAGAGTATTATCTGCCACAGCTATCTGAACATAGTTGAGGTCAGAATTTCCTCCTTTAGAGAATACACCAATGTATTTTTTTCTTGGAACAGAAACTGGCACAGCTATAATGTTTTTCCAGGTAAAATGCTAAAATGTTTATCGTGCCATTAGATCATTCTAAAAATACTGTTATTCTCTCAATGGACCCAACCAAAAATTACTTGTTTTTTAATACTACTTAACAATATGCTACAAAGAGTTAACATATATCTCACTTTGTTACCAGTTCTTGCTGAAGTATACGTATGTCTGTACCCCTATGGTCTGGGTCAGCTTATTTTAGGCAGTCCCAATCTTATGTTTTAAATATTAGGCTACTATATGTGTGTGTGTGTGTATTTATATAGAATACATATATAGACTATATATAGAATTATATATAGAATATATAGAGAGAATATGTAGAGAATACATAGAGAATATATAGAGAGAATACATAGAGAATATATATAGAATATATAGAGAATAAATATATAGAATATATAGAGAATATATATATATAGAATATATATAGAGAATATATAGGATACACATAGAGAGAATACATATATAGGATATATAGAGTATATATATATATTCCATATATATATACACACACATTATATATATTTCCTAATTAAGTCCTTCAAGAAATAAGTGATTAAACTTTTTAATAATGATAGTATCAATTGGACATGATAAAAAATAATATTATTAATAAACTCTTTGATTTTTAAAATAACCTTGAACCCATTTTTTGTAGGCATAGAGGGGCTTAGAGATAAGAATTTCAGTATCCATCAGGGATTTGGCAGTATACACCAATAACAAATAGTAGAAGGAAAACAGTTATATCTATTTTGTTAATGTGTAATAATATTCTTTATTTTAGAAAAATAAAATTATACATAGTATAACCATATGCAATATATAATATGTAAACATATATATAACTGTACAAGTCAATATCATAAACTATAACTGTACAAATTAAAATCATCACATTTATAAGCAACTAAAATACGCAAAGTATTTCCTAAGTAGAGGAAACAATCCGCTTTCACCTAGGTTCACCTAAACAAAGATCTGGTAAATCATGTGGTATGTAAAAGGGTCATTTCACAGGTGGTGAAAGCCATTTGAAATTTCACTACCTTCCCCAAATTACAATCATATGTCAACTTAGAATTAATAAAAATATTTAAATTCATTAGTCACAAAGATGTCTTAAGTGCATGCTATATTCCAAGTCCTGTACGAGGTCTTTAGGATTATAAGAAGGTGTAAGACTCAATTTTTGTCCTCATAATGCTTATTACTTAACCAAGAATATAATATATTAATTAACTCATTCATTTGTATGTTTATTCATTACATTTTATTACACTTAAAAAATACCATAGATTTCAGCCATGCGAATACCCTTGTTTGCCTGACAGAATAGTGAAATATAAACACAACTGAACCGTTAAAATACAACATTATGAAAGTAGCTGGAAGGAACTGCACGTGCCAAGTGTGAGGAAAAATAAGACAAGTAGTAGATATTCTGGATATAGAGAAGTCCATTTGGACTCAGACACTAGGGAAAAACTAAAGGAGAAGTTATAACTTGAGGTAGCCTTGGATGTATTGAGGTAAGAAGAGGACATCTATGGTATGGTTAATGAGAACTTCAGGGCAAACGATGTCATCCTAGCAAGGAAAACGGCAAAGGTACGTGAACAAGGCAGACAGGGAGAACGGACCTCTATTTACAAAGCAGAGAGTACAAACGGTGGAAAGCAATGGATAGAGGGTCACATCCTGAAGATTCCACCGTGAATGTTGAAGACTCTCCACTGAGTGGTATAATGGGCTCTGGAGATTCGTAAGGGGGAAGTTGGCAGGCGGGTGAGGGATTAAAAAAGCTACATGTTTGGTACAATGTACACTACTCAGGTGACAGGTGCAATAAAATCTCAGACTTCACCACTATACAAATTATCCACGTTACCTAAACCACTTGTGTTCCAAAAGCTATTGAAATAAGACATTTAAAAAGTTAAAACAAAACACTATCATCTGAGTAATTTGCTTACATTAAATATCGTAATACTTTTCAGCAAAAAAAATATTTTAATGTAACTTTCATTCCCTATATTTGAGCAGAGTACTGCACTATCCATAAACACCCTCTGAATTTTCTACAGTAATGGAAAAAATCTTTGAAAAACATAAAAGAAGGTTCTATGTTTGAGAATATGGCTATATGAAAGGGGTTTCAAGAAATATCCAGTTCTTCCCAAGACGATGTACTTCCAGTGACCAGTTTTAAGAAGTGGAACAGGCCGGCAGCCGTGGCTCACGCCCGTAATCCCAGCACTTTGGGAGGCCGAGGTGGGCAGGTCACGAGGTCAGGAGATCGAGACCATCCTGGCTAACATGGTGAAACCCCATCTCTACTAAAAATACAAAAACTTAGCCGGGCGTGGTGGCAGGCGCCTGTAGTCCCAGCTACTCGGGAGGCTGAGACAGGAGAATGGTGTGAACCCAGGAGGCGGAGCTTGCAGTGAGCCGAGATCGCGTCACTGCACTCCAGCCTGGGTGACAGAGTGAGACTCTGTCTCAAAAGAAAAAAAGTGGATTGAACATTTCCTAACTAGGTCTTTCAAGTAATAATAAGTGATTAAACTTTTTGATAATCATAATATCAATTGGACATGATAAAAATAATATTAATAAATCTTTCGATTTAAAAAATGACTTTGAACCCACTTCTTTTTGTAGGCATGGGGGGAGCTTAGAGTTAACTATTCCAGTTTCCGTTAGGGATTTGGCAGTATACATCAATAACAAATAGTAGAAGGAAAATAATTATACCTGTGTCTCATATATATATATATATATATATATATATATATATATATACATACATATATATATAGAGAGAGAGAGAGAGAAACCATTTCTTAAATTATCTGTAGCACTGCTATGTTATTCTTTACTCTCCCAATACCCCAAGTAGATTAAGTAGATTGCATATGTGGCTCTTTTATTAATGTGTTGAATATTCATAATGATAATGAATAATATGAATAAATAAATTGATAAGTGCATAACTATGATTTAGGCATTGCTTTACTCTATCTGGAGATTTCCATTCATAATAAACATCTTTTAGTGACCGTGAGTAAGAAACTCATAGAACTTCATTAGAGAAATGCAAATCTAAACCACAATGAGATACCATCTCACTCCAGTTAGAATGACAATCCTTAAAAAGTCAGGGAACAACAGATGCTGGAGAGGTTGTGGTAAAATAGGAATGCTTTTACACTGCTGGTGAGAGTGTAAATTAGTTCAACCATTGTATGGAAGACAGTGTGGCAATTCCTCAAGGATCTAGAACTAGAAATAGCATTTGACCCAGCAATCCCATTACTGGGCATATACCCAAAGGATTATAAATCATTCTACACATTCTCACGTATGTTTATTGTGGCACTATTCACAATAGCAAAGACTTGGAACCAACCCAAATGCCCATCAGTGATAGACTGGACTAAGAAAATGTGGCACATATACACCATGCAATACTATGCAGCCATAAAAAGGATGAGTTCATGTCCTTTGCAGGGACATGGATGAAGCTGGAAACCATCATTTTCAGCAAACTATCACAAGATCAGAAAATTAAAGGCTGCATGTTCTCACTCATAATTGGGAGTTGAACAATGAGAACACATGGACACAGGGAGGGGATCATCACACACTGGGGCCTGTGGGGGGTGGGGGGTGGGGGGTAGGGGAGGGATAACATTAGGAGAAATACCTAATGTAGGTGTCGGGTTGATGGGTGCAGCAAACCACCATGGCACGTGTATACCTATGTAACAAAACTGCAAGTTCTGCACATGTAACCCAGAGCTTAAAGTATAATTTAAATAAATAAATAATAAATAAATAAATAAACTCATAGACCTCAAAGTATGGGAAGCCTAACTGCCTATGGCCACTTGCTGCTTCACTCTAAAATCTGTTTCTGCATCTGCCCCTCAGTCAATGACTGAGGGCCACAAGGTGGCTAATGCACATCCCTCTTTAGGAGACACAGGGCTTCTCTGAGGACCAGTCTTGGCTCAGGATTCCTGAAGCCTTTTCGTACCCTTCCTTAGACTGCACATTACGCTCCAATGCTTCCACTCAACCTTCCTTTCCTCTTTCCTTCATTCTAGGTCAGACTTGCCTCATAGTTGAGAGCTCTTCCAGGCTTACTCAGCTTCCTCTCCATTTTCTCTCACAGGGATTTCCCTTAATAAAATCCTCTTGTGTATAACTCGTTTTCAACATCTACCTCTTGGAGGACCTGGACTAACCCACCATATAATATCTGTATTATAATTACTTCCATTCTACAGGTTGAGAATCTGGGATCTGGAGAAGTTAAGTAACATAAGTTACTCAAGTAAGGCCACACAGTGTATATAAAGTGTGCTGCAAGGAGTTAAACCCAGGGAAAGCGCACTCCAAAATAGAACCATCAATAAGTGTCAATCCTGAAACCAACTAATAAAAGGTAAAGATACAATTAGCTTGGTGCAAAAATGTTATTTTTTTCTCTAATTACATTTTCTAAGGCTTCACTGGTTGTAGTTAAGAAGGGATGAATGATTTTCATCAAAACTCTCCTCAACAAGCTGGGTTTGGTGGCATGCACCTGTAGTCCCAGCTACTCAGGAAGCAGAGGCAGGGGGATCATGTGAGCCCAGGAGATTAAGGCTGCAGTGAGCTGTGATTACATCTCATTGACCATGTGACTATGAGTATAAAACTCATAGACCTCAAGCCTGGGCAACAGAGCAAGACTCTGCCTTAAAAAGTAAAACTAAGCAAAACAAAACAATCCTCCTCAACAAATGGTTGCATATAACCAGCTAAACAGTAATATAACAGTTGTTGGCAGGGTGAGAAGAAACTAGCAGACTGTAGGTTTGTCATACTGTTTTTCTGTTCCTGCAGAAACACAGATATAATATAGGCAATGAAAACTGAGACTCATCTCTTAATTTCAGTTAAGCTATTAATTGATTTACATCATTTACTTACAGGCCAGAAAAGTTTCTTTCAAAAGGCAGGAATGTTGTTTCATGTTAATCTAAGGACTTGCTTACCTTTTGTTTCTGTTCTTAATGATCACAGTTACTAATACAGTAAAATAATATTTAGATAAAATACATTAGAATTATAGCTGATCAAAAATCTCATTCCAAGCTGTTATATTGTTGACTATCTCACAATCACTCTTCTTATGAATCATGTAAATAAGGGAAAATACTGCAAAGTAGACACACATTACTTCAAATGAAATATGATTTAATAAAATCAGTTATTCTTTGCCAATTTTGTAATGTTCAAAATAACCACAATTGAAATAGTGACACATACACATCAGAACAGTTCAAATGAAAAAGAGAAATGATACCAAGTGTTGGCAAAGATGTGGAGCAACTGGAACTCTCTCCCATTGTGGATGAAAATGTAAACTGACGGACACCACCATTTCCCATGTGTGCTAAATCTAACCATATTCTATGACCCTGAGCATATACGCAGCAATATTTACAAAAGACAAATACATGAATGCTCAGAGAAGCACCGTTCAAAATAACCACGAATTGAACATTATATTTGTATAATGGTATAGTATATAGCAATGAGAACTAACAAGTTACAACTATATGCAAAAAGATTGACAAATCTTATAAACTAAATATTGAATGAAAGAAGCAAGATACAGAACATATTCTATGATCTAATCCACTAAAAATTGTAAAACTAATCAGTTATGTTCCAAATTACCATAGGAGCTACCCTATGAAATAGTGTCTAGAAGAAGTAATAATATAAAATTTCATGATTTGAGTACTGGATACGCAGAAGGGCTAAGTTTGTTTAAAAACAAAAAAAGTATTGGGCTGTACAGTTAAGATTTGGGTATTTTACTGTTTGCACATATTTTCAGCCTTAGAAAATTATGTTAAAAAGTCTTTATGCTCTTTTTCTTAATATATTTACCATAGACAAATTTTCATTAAGCCACAGTATAAATAAAAAAGACCCACACCAGTATTTTTAACATGACGTGGATGAAGTGGTTCTGTCATCATTAAATGAGTACTTTCGGATCCAAGTCTGACATAAAAACTTACTTCCCTGAAGACTTTAATTTTGCATGCAAAATACACTGTTTCTAAATTAAATTTTTTTGTAACAAAGAGTTTTTGAGTTCCCCTCATGAAATTTTAATAAATCATTAATTTCTTCTTTTTCTCTTTAATGCACAAGCAATGGATAAAACATTTCAAAGATCCCTACAGATGTTTCTTCACTTGAAATATTGTTCACATTACAATGAGAAGGATGGAATAAAACATAAAAAAGATAGGCAGTTTTGTTTTGTTTTGTTTTGTTTTGTTTTTAAGATGGAGTCTTGCTCTGTCGCCCAGCCCGGAGTGCAGTGGCGCGATCTCGGCTCACTGCAAGCTCCGCCTCCCGGGTTCAAGCTATTCTCTTGCCTCAGCCTCCAAAATAGCTGGGACTACAGGCGTCTGCCACCACGCCCAGCTAAGTTTCTGTATTTTTAGTGGAGACGAGGTTTCACCGTGTTAGCCAGGATGATCTCGATCTTCTGACCTTGTGATCCGCCTGCCTTGGTCTCCCAAAGTGCTGGGATTACAGGCGTGAGCCACCGCGCCCAGCCAACAGGCAAATTTTTCGTTGGGGAAGTAGTAGACCAACCATCTGTGCTTATTTCTTCTAAACAGAGCTAAGAATGAGTGACAGCAGTTGAACGGGAATACTTGCTCCCCAAGCGCGACTTGTTTTTCATGAACAAGGAAAAAAGGCAAAAGCCCTGCTACATTTCCATTCACAAAATTGTTTTCAAATGATGATTAACAAGATCTTAGTTCCCTCTCTGTTGAACACATAACATATTAAAAGGCAGTGCTAATAAATCTATATACGGCACGTAAGGAGGAAGGAGGAAGTCATTTCTCCTGACCTGACCAACTTGTCTTATTTGAAACTGATACCAGGCCCTATTGGCTGACAGGAATTTCACTTTATTTGGAATACAACAGAATTTGGCTCAGATTCACACTAAAAGTATAGTATTTTGATGTCATTAACATTACTTTAATAAAGGTATTATCATGCTTTGTACAGCAACCAACACGAAAATGTTAACATACCACTGCAATAAATAGAATAAAAACATGTTCAGAAAGACTTAGAAACTCATTAAAGAATGGATATTAATCACTTTTCACCCTAACTCCTCATTTGGCGAGGTATGAATCTATGCATTCCAGTTTAGTCAGGTGGCAAGTAAGTAGTCCCATTGCATTTCATAAAATAAGCTGCTGTGTGAATTTGAAAGATAATATTTCCACATGAAAAACTAATGACTGCACATGTAAAATCAGTAGTGTTTAGGAAGCTGTCATTAAAAAAAAAAAAAAAAAACTACCTAATTAAAAAGTAGCACAAATGAACTTTTGCCTATGTAAAAAAATAGAACATTGCTTAGCCTTTTCTTAAATCTCTCCCCAATTCTTACCAAGAAAGGATAAATACCTTTATTATAGTCAAAGCTCTGTTTTTATGGTTTTAAATTTTTTAATCTAAAATTCAAAGCAAATAATAAATCCTTAATTTATAATTATCCCAATTGGATTCAAAGTGATGGTCCAAACATAAAATGATCAATCATAACTATAATCAATCAGATAATGCTATATGAGTTTGAAATGTTAATCTAACTTGCCTTTTCCAGGTATGCATTTTAAAATTAAACTCTTCTCAGTAAGATCAACGCTATCCTTCATGGATTTATGATGTTTGATAATCACCACGTTGTACTGATTTGCTGTCTCACTTCACTGTTTGATATCAACATATGAAAGTAAAAATGCTATTGAGGGGATAACTATTATCTGAGCACTAATAAATTAAATGCTATTTTAAGCCAACAACAAAATTGTGTAGGGTACAATTTTTATTTAACCAACTTTCCATTATAAACATTATAAAATTCTGAAAGATCCTAGAATCTTATATAGCTATTTTGTATTTTTTTAAATGTAATTGACACCAGCAAGAATTAAATTTCATATTTAAAAAGCTTCTGACTACATTACAACATACTTAAAAATGACTTGCAAGATATGATAATTCTAAGATTACCAACATATCATGCAAATGAAACACCCAGGTACTTCCTACCAACACATGATATAATAAAATCCAGAAGAACTTCTGAATTAGAGTGTAGTAGTTGCCTAGGACCATCATACCTAATTATCACACACTTGGTGGGTTAAGAGGACAGAAATATATTCTCTCATAGTTCTGAAGCCTGGACCTCTGAAACTAAGATGTTGGTGGGGCCATACTCCCTCTGAAGACCCTAGGGAGGAATTCTCCCTCGCTTCTTCCTGGCTTCCAGTGGCTCCTGGCAATCCTTGGCCTTCTTTGATTTATGACTGCATAACTCCAATTTCTGTCTCCATCTTCACATGACCTTCTCTGCGTGTGTCTTTTCTTGTATCTTATAAGGACATTTACATTGGATTTAGGGCCCACCTTCATCCAGGATGACCTCATCTCAATCATTGGGTTAATTATATCTGCAAAGACCCTACTTCCAAATAAAGTCGCATTCTAAAGTTACTAGTGGACATAAATTTTGGAGGTACGGTATTTAAATCACTACACAGAACATGTAAAGACAAAAATCTGGAAGCTACCTAAATGAAAATGGATATTCCCTTGAACTTCAACAAAATCATACTCTATTTTTCCGTGAGAAACATTCTATTACTATAAAACAATATTCATATTTCACAAGTACACCTCTTAAATTATAGCTTGGCCTTAAGAGAAATAATTAGCTTTGAAAATTATCAGTACGTGATATCTAGTATTTCCTGTATTTTTGATAACTTCTACCTCCTAGCAAAAATAAACAATGCAATGGACAATTTCTGTGTTCTAAATTCACACACACAAACAGGAAAGGCACTTTAAAAAATGATTTGTTCTCTTTGAAAGCAGAAGTCCAACCACCTGCTCTGAATCTAAAAGTTTCCTGAAAGCAATGAAGGGCTAGTTTATTATGAAGTTGTTGATAGCTGATTCTGTGGAGACTCACAAAGAAACAAAGAATAAATTTTAATCACACTGAATGCTAATGTGATAGTAAGGTTGTGATGATATTCAAATATGACTAATTTCATTAAATTAACTACACTCAGGCTTAGCTTTGTTGTCCAAATTTATTACAAATAGCTCAAAATAAATAATTCAACTCTTCTGTTTCTATTTATTTTTGTTGATCCTTAAGAGTAAAAAGGTATTTCAACTGAATTTTTTTTTTTTTAGAAATCAGTTCTCTTGTTTTATCACCATAAGACTGTAAACGGCCGAACAGGTCACTGCCTTCAACAAGAAATGCACCTAGAGCAGGAATATAGTACTTGGCACTCATCTCTAGACCTATAACCTAATAGATTTTTTTTTTTTGTCTTTGGTGACAGTAACGTAAATTTAGAGCTGGAAAGGACCTTAGAGGTCATCTAGTCCCACTCAAGTATCTTTTAAAACAAAATAAAGAAGTATGTTGGCCTGGTGCGGTGGCTCACACCTGTAATCCCAGCACTTTGGGAGGCCAAGGCAGGCAGATCACAAGGTCAGGAGATCGAGACCATCCTGGATAACACGGTGAAACCCCCTCTCTACTAAAAATACAAAAAATTAGCCGGACATGGTGGCAGGTGCCTGTAGTCCCAGCTACTCAGGAGGCTGAGGCAGGAGAATGGAGTGAACCCGGGAGGTGGAGCTTGCAGTGAGCCGAGATCCTGCCACTGCACTCCAGTCTGGGCAACAGAGGGAGACTCCGTCTTAAAAAAAAAGAAAAAAAAAAAAAGAAGCATGTTTATTTCATCATTTTGTACTTATACACTGTGTGTTTCCAGAAAAGCCTCTGAGACAGCTTAGAATGAAAGGCACAGACGCTATAAAACAAGGGCAAAATGACAGAATAATGAAGAGAAGGAGGTGACAATTACATGGGACAACCTAGGGAAGGAAACACTACCCTTCAGCCTAAAATTTAGTCCTAAGCCTCTTGTTCTTTAGGGCCAAAAGGAAAACCAGAATTCAAATAGGTGTCGTTAGTTAATAAAATAGTATCTGCATATGTCAGCAGCTATTTTTTGGTAACTCTAAACTCTTAAGCAAAATATATAAGTCTTTAAGCAACAGACAATGGACAATACAATAAAAATAATCTTCAATAGTAATTTCAAAACTTTTAAAGATGTAAGTACAAATGACCTTTTCTTACAGGATGCTTTTGAAAGCTGCCCGCATGATGGTATTTTAAATTACATGATGTTACATTGCCTCCATGATGGTATTTTATTGGGACCTGGTTATATGACTTGGTGAAGAATGTAACCTTTGAGAACTTAGAAGAGTGAATGGTTAATATTTCTCTGAATTTTTTTGTTTTTAATTGACATTTTATTTTATCCCTCATAGACAATATATGTTCTGGGAAATATACTGAAGTATAGTAAAAAAGAATCTCAGGGTTAAAGTGTTGAGGTAAATGAGAAAGCAGAGGTTGTGTCTGAAGAACCGTGTGGTCGCACTGCACCACACAGCAAACAAATATGCGTGAGCACAGGCCGGGCGCGGTGGCTCACGCCTGTAATCCCAGCACTTTGGGAGGCCGAGGAGGGCGGATCACGAGGTCAGGAGATCCAGACCATCCTGGCCAACAATGGTGAAACCCCGTCTCTGTTAAAAATACAAAAAATTAGCCAGGCGCAGTGGCGGGCGCCTGTAGTCCCAGCTACCGCAGGAGGGAGGCTGCCGCAGGAGAATGGCGTGAACCCGGGAGGCGGAGCTTGCAGCGAGCCGAGATAGTGCCACTGCACTGTACTCAGGCCTGGGCGAAAGAGCGAGACTCTGTCTCGAAAAAAAAAAAAAAAAAAAATGAGTGAGCACTTTACCAGCAAATAAACACCAATGAGAGAGGGAACAGCAGTCACAAGATGTGTTTTAACAGAGATAGTTAATTAAATATTTTCTAATACACTTATTGAACCTAGATTTAATGGAATTTTTTTCCTTTCCTGACTTTGGCAAATGTGTGTATTTTTATAGAGAACATGGTTTTACATATGCAATTTTCAGACTTTAAGTCAGGCCCATCACCAACGCTCTATGAGTTGAGTGGCCTTGATATGTGGTCCATGTATTTTTGAATCAGGGGTGGGAGGCTATCAAATGAGTCAAAAGCTGATTTTCCTAGCTTTCATTATGAACACCTCTCTGGCTGCTCTTCTTTTTGACTTTACCAAACAAATTAGTTAGTATTCCTAAATGCAAGGTATATTAACATAAGAACTAAATAAATTTTTAAAATAAACACACACACAGACACACACACACACACACAGCACTCTCCATATTTACTTCTACTTTGAATAGCAAACAAGCTGTGTTCCTGGGCCTGTGGAAGAAATATGAAGCTTGAAAAGATTTTTAAATAACTTTTTCTTAATGAAAATAACTCTGTAGTAATTACTGTTTTAAAAAGCCATTAGAATTTGAGCATAACACAGTTTCAATCTTGTCTCTATTCCAACTTAAAGTCCTGTCCAACAATCTCATTTTATGTTCTGTTGAATCACAAAATAAAAATTTGTATATTTTAAAGTATTTGATGGAGGAGGAGGAGGGAAGAAAGAAGAGGAGGAGGAGGAAGAGCATGCCAAATGCAGCTGGAGAAGGCCATGAAAAGAGAATTCTCACGCACATATGCCTGATAACAAGAACTATCACGAAAGACTGCAAAAACCACAATCTTGCCATTGCAACCTTGTAAAAAAACACTTCTGCAAGGACATATGTCCAGCAAATGCCTGTCCAACCTTGGACTGGCACCACCCTTGTTATTGATCCTTGTAATCAAGGATAACTATGTCAAAACAATTGTGTAATCCTCCACATTTTTTCTTTAAATACCTTTGTCTTCCTTTACCTCCCTGAATGCATACATAGTTGACTATGGCACATGTATTCCTACTGAAATACCCTATCCCCAACCCAGTGTTCTTTACAGAGTCTCTCTCTGTTCGTTATTTAGGTTGACACCTTGCACCTATTGATTGATAACATTTATTTTCCAGGATGCACTTATCATTGTTGTAATTAAGTATTAATTGTGCAATCATTTGCTTAATGCTCATAACTTCCTTCTTGACTGTACATTTGTTGAGGTCAAGTAGTATGTCTGTTTAAATCATTCCCTAGTTCCAGGGCTTGGCAAATTCCTTGGACCAGATGAGCTCAATACATATTTGTTATGTGAGTGAATATATGACTGATACTAAAGTAACTTAAAAAATAATTTATACCAATGATTTATCTCTCTCAGAGTTGGTCCTTATAAATGCTATATGAATCACTCCAAAACAGTACCGACTCTCGTAACAAATCCCATGAATGTGTAATTTCATTTTAATGCTGAATTGGCCCAATTTTAAACAGCATCTGGATGATCCTTTGTAATGGAGTCCCATCTAAGTTCCTATTAAAAAAGAAAGAAAAAAAAATCAGTAAAACAAAGCAAACAATGTAAACTTAAAACAACACTAATTAGTAAAACTGACACCCAATATGCAGACTAATCTAGAAGGAATTTTTACTAACTATAAGAACAATTAAGTTAAACTGGCCCATCCATATTTTGTTTTATGAAATGGAAGAATTTCCTCAATATAAAACTCATGTAAGACGGTAGTTGCCTCTTCCCAGCCTGTCCCTGAGTCAGACTCTCGGAGTGTCCCAGAAAATGGACACTTACTCCTTTACGGCTCCATTCTTACTTTTTGAGGGGACAGGTCCTAGCCACTCTCACATATCTTACATACTAAGCTCCTAGAAAGATAGAGGATACAATAAAAACCAACCAACCAACCAACCATGTGTCAGGTGCCTGTCAGGCCTGGGCACACAGTTCACTCAAGAAAAGCCCTGGGAGGGGAGGCAGCAGAATTGCCAGTCTAGCAATTTGTAACTCCAGTGGCCCAGGTCTTAGCCACATGACCTGGCTGGCATTGTTCTCTCCCTTCTTGCTTCCCTCCAAGCATGAACTCAGCCTCTTTTCTTTCCTTCCCTCCCTATGTTACATTGTTATTTCATACAATGGGATTTTAATAAGTTTGGGGAGCCAGTAGAGAGGGATTATAAAGCAAAACAGGAAACTACTGATAAGCAACTTGCATCATACCAACTGGCCATTGAAGATTATTTTTCGAGTAAAATACAGCCTTCCTTTAGAACCTCTACCCAGAAAGCAGTAACATCAATAATCTATAAAGTAGCACTCATTCTTGCCACCACCAGCACGCTGCATTATCCGTGCATGCTAGGTATTGTGTATGTCTTGTACGACAAGCCAAACAAAATACTAGAGGTCTCCACTTTAGCTTAGCTGAGCTATTCCAATAAATACTTGCTCACTACTGAGAGGAGCTGTGCATCCCCTGCAGATCAGAGAAAGGGCCTTAGCCAATTTCTCAAAGGTAGAAGAATCATTTAAAAAATGATCATTTCCTGTTAGATATTAATGATATGGTTTTGCTGTGTCCCTACCCAAATTTAATCTTGAATTGTAGTTCCCATGATCTCCATGTGTCCTGGGAGGGCCCAAGTGGAGGTAATTGAATCATCAGGCTGGGTTTTTCTATGTGCTGTTCTTGTGATAGTGAGTAAGTTTCACAAGATCTGATGGTTTTATACGGGGCAGAAAGGGAAGTTCCCCTGAACACACTCTTGCCTGCCACCATATGAGACATGCCTTTGCTCCTCCTTCGCCTTCGGCCGTGATTGTGAGACCTCCCCAGCTACCTGGAACTGTGCGTCCATTAAACCTCTTTTTCTTTGTAAATTACCCAGTCTCGGATATTTCTTCATAGCAGTATAAAAATACACTAAGACAATAATTGGTACTGGCAGAGTAGGGTACTGCTATTAAGATATCCAAAAATGTGGAAGCGACATTGGAGCTGGGTAACAAGCAGAGGTTGGAACAGTTTGGAAGGCTCAGAAGAAGACAGAAAAATGTGGGAAAGTTTGGAACTTCCTAGAGACTTGGAGGGCTCAGAAGACAGGACAATGTGGGAAATTTTTGAACTTCCTAGACATGTTGAATGGCTTTGACCCAAATGCTGATAGTGATATAAACCCTAATATCTGGGCCGGAGATGGAGATGAGGATCTTGTTGGGAACTAGAGCAAAGGTGACTCTTGTTAAGCTTTAGCAAAAAAGACTAGTGGCATTTTGCTTCTGCTCCAGAGATCTATGGAACTTTGAACTTGAGAGAGATGATTTAGGGTATCTGGTGAAAGAAATTTCTAAGTGGGAAAGTGTTCAAGAGGAAGTAGAGCATAAAAGTTTGGAAAATTTGCAGCCTGATAATGCAATAGAAAAGAAAAACCCTTGGCCGGGCGCAGTGGCTCACGCCTGTAATCCTAGCACTTTGGGAGGCTGAGGCGGGCGGATTGCCTGAGCTCAGGAGTTCGAGACCAGCTGGAGCAACATGGTGAAACCTCATCTTTACTAAAATGCAAACAATTAGCCAGGTGTGGTGACGTGCACCTGTAGTCCCAGCTACTCGAGAGGCTGAGGCAGGAGAATTGCTTGAACCCAGGAGGCAGAAGTTGCAGTGAGTCGAGATTGCGCCACTGCACTCCAGCCTGGGCAACAGAGTGAGACTCCGTCAACAAAAAAAAAAAAAAAAGAAAAGAAAAAAGAAAAACCGACTTTCATTAAAGCCTCCTGCAGAAATTCGCATAAGTAACGAGGAGCCAAATGTTAATCACCAAGACAATGGGGAAAATGTCTCCAGGACATGAAAGACCTTCACATCTTCACAGCAGCTCTTTCCACCACAGGCTCAAAAGCCTAGTATGGAAAAATCATTTCCTGGAGCAGGGCCAGGTCCCCCTGCTGTGTGCAGCCTAGAGACGTGATGCCCTGCATTCCAGCCACTCCAGCCATGGCTTGGGTGGGAGACACCATGGTACAGCTCAGGCCATGTCTTCGGAGGTTGCAAGTCGCAAGCCTTGGCAGCTTCCACAAGCTGTGGAGCCTGCAGATGCACAGAAGTCAAGAATTCAGGTTTGGGACCCTCCACCTACATTTCAGAGAATGTATGGAAACACCTGCATGTCCAGGCAGAAGTTTGCTTTGGCAGGGCGGGGGGCAGGGGCGGGCGCAGGGGCTCATGAACAACTTCTTTTAGGGTAGTAGAGGTGTGAAATGTGGGTTCTGTCCCCCATACAGAGTCCCTACTGGGGCACTGCCCAGAAGAGCTGTGAGAAGAGGGCCACCATCCTCCAGACCCCAGAATGGTAGTTACACCATCCTCCAGACCCCAGAATGGTAGATCCACCAACAGTTTACACTGTGTACCTGGAAAAGCCATACAAAATGCCAGCTAGTGAAAGCAGCCAAGAGGGAGGCTGTGCCCTACAAAGCCACAGAGGCAGAGCTGCCTAAGGCCATGGGAGACCACCATTTGTGTCAGTGTGACCTGCATGTGAGACATGGAGTCAAAGGAGATCATTTTGGAACTTTAATGTTTAATGACTGCCCTGTTGGATTTCAGACTTGCATGGAGCCTGTAGCCCCTTTGTTTTGACCAATGTCTCCCATTTGGAACAGGTGTAAATACATTGGGGGTACCCAATACCTGTACCCCCATTGTATGTAGGAAGTGACCAACTTGCTCTTAGTTTTACAGGCTCATAGGTGGAAGGGACTTGTCTCAGATGAGACTTTGGACTATGGACTTTTCAGTTAATGCTGAAATGAGTTAAAACTTTGGGGGACTGTTGGGAAGGCATGATTGATTTTGAAATGTGAGAACATGAGATTCAGGAGGTGCCAGGGGAAGAATGATATGGTTTGGCCATGTCCCTACCCAAATCTCATCTTGAATTGTAGCTCCCATAATCCCCATATGTCATGGAAGGGACCCAGTTGGAGGAACTTGAATCATGGGGATGGGTTTTTCCCTGTGCTGCTCTTGTGAAACAGAATAAGTCTCACAAGATCTGATGGTTTTATAAAGGGGAGCTCCCCTGCACATGCTCTCTCTCTTGCCTGCCACCATGTAAGACATGTCTTTGCTCCTCCTTTGCCTTCTGCCATGATTGTGAGGCTTCCCCAGCCATGTGGAACTGTGAGTCCATTAAACCTTTTTTTCTTTATAAATTACCCAGTTTCAGGTATTTCTTCATAGCAGTATGAAAGTGGACTAACACAATATCAAGCCCTGGTTTGGGGTAATAATCACTACCTTCTAGGTAACCAGAATGCAAAAAATATAACAGAAAAAAAATCCTAAAAATCATCCTGCATACAAGAAAAATGAAACCGCCATTCTCCATTCTCAATTAACCAGGGACACAATGCACTGCAGAAAGCCTCAGGGACCTCTGCCCAAGAAAGCCTGGGTGTTGTCCAAGGTTTGCCCCCACTGAGATGGGATAGAAGTCTCTGACTTCTGAACTGGACACAGGAGTTCTCAAAATCACCAGACAAGGCAGTGAGATGGCATGGTAAATGGTAAGGGAGGTCTCTTTGCAGTTGAGATAAGAGGAATGCTTTGGTCTCCTGCTCATCCCTGGGAATGGAATGTCTCAGTGTAAAGCCGACCATTCCTATTCATTCTATTCTGAGATAGGAGAAAACCACCCTGTGGCTAGAGGTGAGATATGCTGGCAGCAATACTGCTCTGTTACTCTTTGCTAAACTGAGATGTTTGTGTAAAGAGGAACATAAATCTAGCCTATGTGCACATCTGGGCACAGTACCTTTCCTTGAACTTATTCATGATACAGATTCCTTTGCTCACATATTTCCCTGCTGACCTTTCCCCACCTGTTGCCCTGCTACACTCCCATCACTAACATAGTAAAAATAATGATCAATAAATACTGAGGGAACTCAGAGGCCAGCGCTGGTGCGAGTCCTCTGTATGCTGAGCACCGGTCCCCTGGGTCCACTGTTCTTTCTCTATACTTTGTTTCAGTGTCTTATTTCTTTTCTCAGTCTCTCCTCCCACCTGACGAGAAATACCCACAGGTGTGGAGGGGCTGGCCCCCTTCGATGTCTATTATGGTGGAGTGTTTCCAGTTCTGTCTTTCCTAATACTGCCCAATAGAAACTTGACTCCTAGAGTTTGTGTAATTTTAATATATTTTAGCCATTTCCCTGTCAATTTTTATACCATACAATAACAAGGAATTTGACTAAATCTCTTAGGGTTTTTTAAAAAATTATATGAGAAGCTAAAAAATTTATTTTTACTAAGGTAAAAGAAAAAGGAATAATCACAACAATAGCCATAATTCTTCTGTCTATGAAGAGCCCTTCAGGTGGTGACATCAGAACTCACAACAACAGCATAAGGGAAGTAGAACAAATGCAGCCAAAGTCCCCCGTACACCTCCCTTTTCTCTTCTAACCACAGAATTCAATCGTGTATCCGTTTACTCTGGAATGAAAGTATCTGTAGAAACCATGAATGTTTCATCTGTTTTTCTTTTCTTTTCTTTTCTTTTTGAGACGGAGTCTTGCTCTGTTGCCAAGGCTGGAGTGCTGGTTGCTCTGTTGCTCTGTTACTCTGTTGCCCAGGCTGGAGTGCAGCTTACATCTTTGCTTCCTGGGTTTAAGTGATTCTCCTGCCTCAGTCTCCCGAGTATCTGTGACTCCAGGTGTGTGCCACTATGCCTGGCTAATTTTTTGTATTTTTAGTAGAGACCATGTTTCACTCTGTTAGCCGGGATGGCCTCAATCTCTTGACCTTGTGATCCACCCGCCTCGGCCTCCCAAAGTGCTAGGATTACAGGCATGAGCCACCGTATCCAGCCTCATCTGTTTTTCTAATGTGTAGTGTCCAGCCCTACGGGGTTTAGCAGGTGTTCTCCCTGTGTGCGGAGACGAGAGATTATAATAAATAAAGACACAAGACAAAGACATAAAGAGAAAGCAGCTGGGCCCAGGGGACCACTACCACCAAGACGCAGAGACCACTAGTGACCCCGAACAGCTGGACGGGCTGATATTTATTGCATACAAGACAAGGGGGCAGCGTAAGGAGGGTGAATCTTCTAAGTGATTGACAAGGTGAAGCAAGTCATGTGATCACAGGACAGGGGGCCCTTCCCTCTAAGGTAGCCGAAGCAGACAGAGAGAAGGCAGCATACGTCAGCGTTTCCTTCTATGCACTTATAAGAAAGAACAAAGACTTTAAGACTTCCTTCTACCATTATCTACTATAGACTTCAAAGAGGAACCAGGAGTATGGGAAGAACATGAAAGTGGACAAGGAGTGTGACCATTGAAGCACAGCACCACAGGGAGGGGTTTAGGCCTCTGGATGACTGTGGGAAGGCCTGGATAATTTATCCAACCTCTCACAAGAAGCTGGTGGAGTAGAGTGTTCCCTGACTCCTCCAAGGAAAGGAGACTCCCTTTCATGGTCTGCTAAGTAATGAGTGTCTTCCCAGACACTGGCATTACCACTTGACCAAGGAGCCCTCAAGCGGCCCTTATGGGGGCATGAGAGAAGGCTCACCTCTTGCCTTCTAGGTCACTTCTCACAATGTCCCTTCAGCACCTGACCCTATACCCGCCGGTTATTCCTAGGTTATATTAGCAATGCAATAAAGAGTAATATTAAAAGCTAATGATTAATAATGTTTATAATAATGATTGATAATTGCCCATGATCATCTCTATATCTAATTTGTATTATGACTATTCTATTCTAACAATTTTCTTTATTATACTGAAACAGTTTGTTTCAGTCTCTTGCCTTGGCACCTTGGTGACCTTTCGCCCACACTAATGGTCATATAATATAGTTTAGATGTCTCCTCCAAATCTCATATTGAATTTTAATCCCTAATGTTACAGGTGGGGCATGGTGGTAGATGGTTGAATCATGGGGATAGATTTCTCATGGCTCTGTGCTGTCCTTGTCATAGTGAGTACTCACGAGATCTGGTGGTTTAAAAGTGAAGCATATCCCTCCCTGATCTTTCCTGTTTCAACTCCTACCATGTGAGATTCCTGCAGCTCTTTCATTTTTCATCATGATTATAAGCTACTTTAGATGTTAATATTGTTACAAAATTTCACTGAATTTTCTTGTAAAATTACCTGACAAAGTTTATGTTATTATACCATTAATGTGATAAATAAATATATTATGACATTACAACATATTATGATATCATAATTCATATGTATTATGACATCACAATATATTATGACATCATAATGCACACACAACATGACATCATAATATATTATGGCATCATAATTTATACTACAACATCACAATATATCATGACATCATAATGCACATGTATTATGACATCAAAATTCATAGGCATTATCACGTCACAGTATATTGTGACATCATCATCAGTATGTGTTATGACATCACAATATATTATGACATTATACTTCATATGTATTATGGCATCACAGTACATTATGACATCGTACTTTGTATATAATATGATGTATCATGAATTATTATGTAATTGATATGTATTACATATCTATTAGATGGCTCTGGATGTCTTGGGCTCTGTGGGGCAGGCTGGGGGTCAGAGGAGACACACATGCTGCAGATGGGGAGACTGGGGCACAGGGTCCTGGGGTTCCAGGAGCAGTGAGGAGGCCAGGATTGGCCTGTGGGGACTTTGATGTTGGCTCTGGGTGAGGTGGCTACTGTAGGTGTGAGCACAGCAGTGCTTGGGGGCTCAGGTGGCTGCCAAGGGGCAGATGGATGGAGGGGACAAAAGCTACAGCCCAGCAGGAGGGCAGGGTGGCCATGAGGGTTGTAAAAGTGATGCCAACAGCATTTGTGGGGGATTGGCTGTGGGTGTGAAACAGCAGCAGCGGAACAATTCCGTCATTCTGGCCTGGAACAGTGGCAGGTGAACTCTGCCCAGTTGTGGAGGGGTCTGTCAGGAAGATGGGGCTTCTGGTTTCAGAGGAGCCCAGAGATGTGCTCAGGCAGATGAGGGTCCTCATGGGATAGGCATGGGAGAGGCAGCTGCAACTTGGGGACCACTGGTGGTGGGCTGAGCCCCTGAGACCTCTGGAGTGAGCAGGAAAGAAAGTGAGGAGGAGCCAGCCAGGGAGCCAGAGGCAGAGGGAAGAGAGGAAAGTAGACCCCGGGAGGAGCAGACAGGAAAGGATGAAAATTTCCCCTCACCTGCCTCAACAGCCTCTGCCCCTGCCCACACACCCTTGTGCACTCCCCCTGAGTCCCTGCTCACCTCTGCCTACCCAGCCATCCCAGGATGGTGTGGGCTCAAGCTCTGGGGGTAACTGAAGAGCCACTTTAAGAAGGCACAGTCTAGAAGTGAGCAGCATTGAGTCACTGTTGTCTCCCAGTCCTGGGAACATCCTGTGCCACAGTTTGCTGAGCTGTCTTAATCACCAGTGGGTCCCCATCTCCCACCCCTGGAATCCCAGAGGACAGCTCAGAGTTGTGATTGGTGCCTCTTCCCAGCGTCTCTCTACACAGCTCCCGGCTGTGCTTCAGCATCCTCCACCGAAAGGTGGGCCTGTCGCTGCATGTGAATGGCAAGGAGGTCACTGTGGGGAAGCGGCTGCCTCCTTTCTCTTTCCTGGGCCCCTGGTGCCTCTCTCCTGGGGGTAAGGCAGTTGAGCCTACCCACAAGTCCAGGCAGGAAGGCAGCCCCACCCCAGCACCCAGAAATTAGAAAAACTAGCTGAGGTGTGAGAGGGGGAATGGTGACAGCCCTGGAAGTCAGGATAAAAAAGAGACGAAGCCTCCAGGCCGCCATCCTCACCAGTGCCCGCCGGGCCCTGAAGCTCTGCAGGGGGTGGCTTATGGGCTCAGAGGCTTGTGGACCAAGGCTTCTCAGCTGCTTCTGAGGCTCCCAGCTCTGCAAGGGGCTGGGTTTCTTCTCCTGGTAAACTGCTCCCAATGCCTGTCCTGACTCACTCACTTAGCTGGGCTACCTGCTGGGCCTCCTTCCTGGTGGGCCCTCCCCATGTGCCTCCCTGTGCAGGTGGGGTATCCCCTTGAGACTCCATTATTCTTTGAGGCTTTCAGGCCAGGATGAAGAACCCCAGCCTCTCAGCAGGAGCAGCCACTTGGGGGAAGCAGAGGGAATAGAAAGGCACACATTGCCAGCTCTGAGCATGACTGGGTGGGGACATTGTGTTGAAGCTCCTGGGAGCCTCATTCAGCCCAAGTAGATGTCCTTGAAATGTCAACACTCTCCCTACACAGGAGAAAAACATGAGACTCGGAGTGGGCAGGGTGATCTTGAATCGGGGGTCTGGTCAGATGGGTCTCTGTTCCTCACCTCAGCTATGGCCTTCATGTGTGCTTCCACCAGCAGAGACCCCTTCCTGGACTTTGCCCCAGTGGATGGACAGGAAACTGCCAGCCATGCTGGCCACCACAACCAACTTTCACTGCCTGGCTCCTAGCAACCCCACTCTCTCCATCTCCTGGCTGAAGAACCACAAGAGGTCTAAGGAGAGCATCACATCAGGATATTGAGGTGGGCCTGGAAGTTGGTGGGAGTGTGGGCTGGATGTGGAAGGTGGGACCTGTCTTTTGCTTACCTGTCCTTCCACCTGGAGCTATGGCACCAGAAGTAGACCCTGATCATGGAGTGTGGTGCCCTCAGACTGCTTTCATCCCACCTCTGTGATGAAGAACAAGTGCAGCAGCCTTCAGCAGACATGCATGCTGGACAGCTGGGTGAGGACTGTGGCCTGTGGGCAGGGTGCAGGGAGCTAGGCAGCCTCTGAGCTCCCATCTATTCTCTCAATGTGCCCTCCTGACCAACTCTTTCTACCTGCAGGACTGCTGACCAACCAGATGCAGTAAGGTGAAATTCCACTGCAAAGTGTATGGCAACTTAGTATGTGGAGGTGAACAACAGCAAGGTGGGTGTCAATGGCATGCCCTATGTGACTGTGCTTAGGTTAGCTGCTGCTGCTTGTCAGGAGCATGGGGATGGCATGCCGATGCTCCACTTCACTAAACTCTACCATCATTATAGAAGTTTTGGAGTAGCCTATGAAAGACAGAATCATGTCATTATCCAAGAGACAAAATCCTCTAGAGTAAGCAGTTCTCCTGGATATAAACTTGGTGCTGGTTCATTTAGCATTTGCTACGAACCAATGTCTAAAATTAGAGGCAGTTTCTCCTAAAGTGAGATGACATGAGTCAGTTGATAAAAGTGTGAAGCACTCCTGTGAGTATTGTCCCTCATAATTCATTCAAAAACATTTGCTTCTGTCTTTGCAACTTCATGCTCTCTGAATTCCCACACTGAGTAAAAACCTCCTTGGTGGGCTTATAATCAATCTCACGTATTTAACAATTTGGATTTTATCTTACGTTCCGCTATAAAATATGGAACAAAATCGGTTTGATTTACAGTAGATGTAAAATAGAAAAATTAGGATGGGCTATTCTGGACATGTAGAATTAGTTCCTTTTATGAGTTTTCTACAAACCTGTATTTATTACACTAAAATAATGCTAAAATATATTTTGTTTTATTGTGTGGAGTTTAAATGGATACACTGGATAATGGAATAACATTAACTAAATAAACATTGATGCCTATTTTTTTCAGTGTTTTAAAATTTTTTAACAAAGATTTCTTTTTACGGTAAAATTGCACTTCATTAAATCTACTCCTAAATATTTCTTTCTTTTTCATACATACACAAATGGATTGTTTTTTTAATTTTATTTTCAGGTTGATCATTGTTAGTACATAAAAGTACAATTGAACTTTGCATATTGATTTTGTATCTTGTGACCTTGCTGAACTCATGTATTGGTTTTAGTGGGTTTTAATGAGTTTTTTATAAACTTTTATATTCACTTATGTCCTCTGCAATGATAGACAATTCTAACATCTTATTTTCCCACATTGATGATTTTGTTTTTTTCTCTCATGTAATTTCTTTGGATGTTAACATTTTTGCCTTGTTCTAAAATGTCAAGACACAACAACCAGTATTTTACTATTATGGCGTTAGGTGTAAGTTTTTCATTGATGCTCTTTAGCAGATTTAGGAAGTTTGCTTGTACCCTTCCTTTCCAGGGAGATTGTGAATGAATATTGGATTGGTCAAATGCTCCCTGTGTCTGTTGAAAGGCTCTTTCTGTTAATTTCCTTTATCCTATTACTTTGTGTAAGGCACTGATTGATTATCGGATAGATCAATATTGCATCTGTAAAATAATTCCATTTGGTCATGGTGTACATTCATTTTGATATATTCTTGATTCATTTCACTTTTTTGAGAATTTCTCTGTGTGTATTCATCAGGGAAATTCATCCATACACATATTTACTTCTGATGCTTTTGTCTGCCTTTAGTATCAGGGTAATACTGGCCTCACAGAACAAATTGGGAAGTGTTCCCAATAACTGTCCCGTATTTTCTGGAAGGCCTTGTAAAGAGTTGGCATTAATTCTTCATTAAATGTTTAGTAGAATTTACCAGTTAAGCCATGTGGCTCTGGGCTTCTCTTTTTGTGAAGATTTTTAATTAATTGAATCTCTTTACTTGTTATATGTGTATTCATATATTCTGTTCCTTCTTGGATTTGCTTTTATAATTGGTGCCTATTGAGGTATTTATTTCTAATTTGTAGTATTTCATGTGTTTAGGTTTTCTAGACAGTTGGCACAGAAGATTCAAGAAGTTTAATGTAGGAGAATGTTTAATGTAGGAGAATGAGGCTTTGGTGTCATCAATGAATGACTTAAGTTTCTTATGTTGTAAAGAAAGATATGACCGTAACTGCCATAGTTAATATTTATTGTGCAAGTCAAATAAGAAGGCAGGAGGAAAGGACATCCATCACTCAATCACACACCAGTGTACTCATTAAAGCCTTTGAGAAGGACCCTCAACATTTTCCAAGAGAATTCCTTTCCTGGAATCACCATTATAGAGAAACTGGCTAAACAGACAGGCATTTCAGAGTCCAAAATTTACATTTGGTTTCAGAACCAAAGACCTCAGCTCCCAGGCCACAGCAGAAGCGGGCTTGTGAATTCCCTGGCAGCGGGTCCAAGACCAAGACCTCATCTGACTGTTTGGCTGGAACAAAACATGTGCACTACCCCAGGCAGGTCTCATCTTCTTCCTGCCTCCTATTCTGTCAGCAGCCACCTGTCATTTGTACCAGCTCTTCCTTCACCTCCCACAACCTGTGATTTTTTGGATCCCTCTGCAGGCTGTGTGAGCCAGGCACCAAGGGTCACGATGCACATAGCACCCTGGCTGTGCAGATGGGAGAGTTCTCTCAACCTCTTCTGGCACTTAGGAGTCATATGTCAATGGTACCAACTCTAGGAGGGAGGCTCTCCCATACACAGACTTGTTTCTGGCCTCAGTCGAAAGGAAAACTTTAGGATGACAAGAAAAATAAGACACTGGCCTGGAAGTTCTGCCTTAAAGGGACAGCCACAGCCTGGTCATCCTTAGCCACAATTTTAGAGTCTGGGTCAACAGGACACATCCCACCTTCACAAGTGGTGGAGCTTAGGCAACGGGTCCCAGGATGCCATGATTCAATGGCAACCTGGAGCAGGAGCACCTTAGTAGCCCATGCACATAGGTCTACCTGTGGCAGAAACAGGCACAAGCCATGAAAGAGCCATCTATCTGCTGGAGCAACCACACCAGTCATCTGCATGATCTTCTACAAGTCCCAGAGTTTCAGGAAAAGGCACAATCTTTTCGGAATGCAGATCCACAAGAGGAGGGCCCTCCGTGGTCTGAATCACCACTCAGTGAGAAAGAATTTCAGGCTCTGCTTAACAGGCTGCAGAGCTCACCAGGGGATCAGCTTTAGCAGGCAGGCATCCTTCTCAGCACTGCCATCCAGGACTCTTTCCCTTGGACACAAACAGCAAAATGCCAGGAAGACGGGACCAGGAACACAGTGTGGTCAGAAGCAAGACTGATGCAAGAAGCAACCACTTGGAAATCCAAAGGGAGCATTTTGGCCCTCTCCTGTGGGCAGCCCTCAACTTTGGTGCTCACTTCCTAACCTCAGTGACGGTTTCTGAGCTTCATCCTGCCTCTGGAGTCCACATGGGCTCCAGGTGGTGAACAGTTTCACTGAATCCTGATGCAGCAAAGCAGCATTCTCATGACAAACAGGACCTCTTCACTTTGATCATAAGCTCCTGGGCCATCTGGACAATGCACAAACTGGAAACCCAGCACGGGGAGGAAAGTAGCTCTAAGGGGGACACATTCCCACTTCTTTCCCTTCTAGCAAGTTTGAAAGCTAATTGTAAATGCAGGTGGATATGTAGAAAATGAGGGCATGCTATAACATCTCATCACATGAGGTTGTGACCAGGAGTTTTTAATCCTAGCTCTGAGAGCTGCAAATGGGAATTGGAAGTTTTTCCACTAAGCATCTATCAATGACTGATTGTGCAAGCTTATCTTCATCATGCTGAGGAGTCTTCACTGAGAATTTTCCTATTGAACAAATAAACATAGAGATAGTGACAAGTAGGCCAGGCATAGAGGCTCACGCCAGTAATCCCAGCATTTTGTGAGACCAAGGTGGGCAAATCAGTTGAGGCCAGGAGTTCGAGACCAGCCTGGGCAACATGTCAAAACCCCGTCTCCACTAAAAACACAAAAAACAGCTGGGCATGGTTACTCATGCTGGTAATTCCAGCTATTCGGGTGGCTGAAGCCTGAGAATCTTCTGAACCCAGGAGGCAGAGGCTGCAGTGTGTTGATATTTTGCCACTGTACTCCAGCTTGGGCAACAGAGCAAGACTCTGTCTCAAAAAAAAAAAAAAAAGAAGCAAGTGAGTAAGAGAGAGAAAACTATAAAATCACTGAACAAAGTGTAAAGATGTTAATTTTCCCACAACGTTAGAAATTTTGTGTATATTTACATGCATATCTACACATAAAGCTGATCTCCTTATATGTTAAATCAGTTACATGTTCAGTGAAAAATACATTATTTTCTCTGTTTTAACACTGAAGAGGGGTGCACGTGGTCCAGACATGTCCTGTTGGAGTTGAATGGGGCATGTTCTGGGAAAAGGGGAAAGGCAGAGTAAGGGCCTGGTGCATTTAGGTGGGGTAAAGTGGGACCCTAATAGAGAGGCATCCAGGGTCTGGGCCCTAGCAACACTGAGGCTCACGGGGGCTTCTGCAGGTGAGGGAAATGGTGCAGGGTGCTGAAGGCTAAAATATCCTGTAACAGGCGAAGATCTGGCCAGATCGTCCTGCATCCCAGCATCATTGCCAGCCAGGCCTAACTTGACCCTATATTGAAGACACCTGGGATGGACAGGCGTGAGCCTCCAGGCTTCAAAGAGCCCCCAAATGAGATCCGCCCTGCGGCAAGGGTCCAGACCGTTACGGCCAGGCCAATTTAAAAGAGCCCCATCTCCTCTGTTCTCAGAGGCTTAAGCGGGTGGAGAACAGATAAGAAGTGAACTGAAGTCTCCTTGAAAAAAACAAAGTCCCATGGGGTTTGCCGCCCCCTCCCCCCACCCACCTAAAACTGGAACCAGTCAGCCACCTCTGTCTCTTCTCCATGCCAAGAACCTCTGTTCAGGGCTCCTGGCAAACCCCTCCTCCCTGCTGCCTCCCCGCCACAGTACGCTTGCCAGGAATGCCCGAGATCTGGCACCTGAGCATGTTGCGTGGCAGGCGGGGGAGCAAGCGGGACAAGGGCGGCGATGTGTCCTGCACAAAGGCCCAGGCTGCAGACCAACTCGCCTCGCAGCAGGTAGCAGCTGTGTGCCCCCTGCCAGGCCACTCCCCCTCCCGGAGCAGCAGCTCCCGCTGCCACTTCTGTTTGTTGAACACAGGATGTATGAATGACGGCTAGGGGGCCAAGGATGGGGATGGTGGCGACATCTGGTACTGTTGTAGTAAAACTCCAGCCAAGGAACACGAAGAGACCTTTGGAGACCAAAGAGAACTTTATTTAATTCAGGCACCTGAGCCAACAGCAGGCTCATGCCCAAAATGGCTGCCGACCCCTGCAAAGAAAGCAGGCTTGCTTAAGTGCCGTTTGAGGCGGGAAAACAAGGCAGGTTACAGGTTTCAGACAAAGACAGTAAATTATCCAACCCGTGACAATTCGGAGAGAACTTACAATTTAGTTATTTTGTCCAGTCAACTTTGAAGCTGAACAGAGCTGGGGTAAGGGAAAACACGAATTACAGGAATATGCGGGGGTCTGGAGGCAGGCAATAAGCTTGGAAGATTGAGATAAGCTCGCAGCTGCAACTTGTTAGCAATGCTGGAATGGACTGCTGGAATTTCTTAGCCTATGTATAACTTCTAAGTAACCTATGCTGAATGTTAACTATTACCTATGTTAGGTTTATTATTTTAAACTTTATTATTACTTATTTTATTTTATTTTCTTTCCACAGTATCTCTTACCATCCGGCCCAGGCAGCAGCCAGCCCTGCCTGGGCCGCGGCCGCCGGCCTCATGAGCCTGGCATTCCTGTCGCCCCCTCTCCCCATAGCTTGCCTCCTCCTTCTCACAGTCGGGCGCCCGGCTCCTCGAGACGCAGGACCACCTCAGATCTCCAGTCCTGCACCTGCCGGCTGAGCAAACGAGGAGACGGGGAGAAAAGCTGTCTGTCGTTCCTGAAGGAACAGGACCTCCGCACTCCAAGAAGGAATCGGGCGCCCAGTGGGGGCTGCAGGAGCAGAGGACGGTGGCGGCAGTAGCAGGAGAGGCAGGAGTAGGAGCAGTGGCTTCTCTGGAGGTGGCACTGTCTGCCCCCTTGAGCCTCTTCCTAACGCAGTCTTGATTCAAAATCCCTGCTCACCACGGATGCACAGTCACAGCTGAAGATTGTAGTTATCTAGGAGGATTCTTTCTTAGTTGTAAATCTATGTTTTATATAGGAGTTTTTTCGTTGTTTCTCTCATTCTTTCTTGAAATTTCATATTACTATTTTTTTTTTCTTTTTTGGTAAGTTCCTTGACATTCGTGTTTTGTGAGTTTGGTTTTACCTACGTATTATGATTTTGGATGTAAATCTGCAACTCTATGTACATGTTAAGTCAATGTGATGTTTAATCAAAATATGAATCAGCCATATCTACCACCAATAAAATCGTGTGTTTGTTTGCCTCTGTAAGTATAGTCTATTTCTTCTTAATTATCTTGCATATTTCTCTTCTTGGCTGGTGTCAAAAGTTGTTTTATCTTGTTCAGGACAGTAGTCATATAAGTAGTCTTAACTTACCCACGTATTTATTGAACAAATCTATATTTTCTTTGTGTGAGGAAAACACATTTATAATTTGAAGGTAATTTTCCAAAAAGTTTGTAACTCGGTATCTCTTTTATGTATCACTTTACAATATTTTAACTGTAATAAAACACAACAAAATTTACCAGTCTATACATTTGTAATTGCATAATTTATTAGTGGTACACATATCCACATTGTTATGCAACAGGCTTCTAGAGCTTTTCCATTGCAAAACTAAAACTCAATACCCATATACGTCAACTGCCCATTTTACCCTCTCCTGAGCCCTTAACATTTTACTTTCCATTTCTGTGAGTTGGACTACTTAAGATATCTCATAAGTGGAATCACACAATCACTGTCACTTTGTTTCCTGGCACATTTCACTTAACATCATGCCCTAAAGGTTTATTGTCATTGCAGCATGTGATAAGATTTCCTTTTAAAATCATATTTCATTGTATGTATATATCATATTTACTTATTTATCTGTCAAGGGACATTCAAGTAGCTTCTACCTTTTGGATTTTTAGAATAATTCTGTCATAAACATGGGTATGTAAATGTTTCTTTCAGGTCCCGCTTTGCACATTTAGATAGATATCTAGAAATGGTATTGCCAGACCACATCATAATTCCAATTTTAATAATCTGAGGAAACTCTGTACTATTTTTCATAATGGCTGCATGATTATTTTTTCCACCACCCAGTGCACAAATATACCAATTTCTCTACATCCTTGAAAACACTTGTTATTTTCTCTTATTTGATAGTGGCCATCCTAATGAATGTGAGGTAATATCTCACTGGGGTTTTGCTTTTCATTTCTCTAAAGATTCATGATTTGCAGCATCTTTTAAAATTCCTCTTGGCCGTTTGTATATCTCCTTTGTAGAAACATGTGGGTGTGAAGGATTACCTAGGTGCCGAGGCAAGAGACTGAAGGTAAAAACTGTTGCAGTATAATAAAGAAAACAGTTAGAATAAAGAATAGTTATAACACAAATTAGATATAGAGATGATCATGGACATTATCCATCATTAGTATAAACATTATTAATCACTAGCTTTTAATATTACTCTTTGTTGTATTACTCATATAACCAAGGAATAACTGGTGGGTATAGGGTCAGGTGCTGAAGGGACATTGTGAGAAGTGACCTAGAAGGCAAGAGGTGAGCCCTCTGTCACACTCACATAAGGGCCGCTTGAGGGCTCCTTGGTCGAGCGGTAATGCCAGTGCCTGGGAAGGCACCTGTTACTTAGCAGACCATGAAAGGGAGTCTCCTTTCCTTGGAGAAGTCAGGGAACACTCTGCTCCACCAGCTTCTTGTGGGAGGCTGGATATTATCCAGGCCTGCCCGTAGTCATCCGGAGGCATAAACCCCTCCTTGTGGTGCTGTGCTTCAGTGGTCACGCTCCTTGTCCACTTTCACGTTCCTCCCATTCTCCTGGTTCCTCTTTGAAGTTCTTAGTAGATAGCGGTAGAAGGAATAGTGAAAGTCTTAAAGTCTTTGATCTTTCTTATAAATGCATAGAAGAAAACACTGATGTATGCTGCCTTCCCTCTCTGCTTTGGCTGCCTAAAAGGGAAGGGCCTCCTGTCCCATGATCACATGACTTGCTTGACTTTATCAATCACCTGGACGACTCACCCTCCTTACCCTGCCCCCTTGTCTTGTATGCAATAAATATCAGCGTGCCCAGCCATTCGGGGCCACTACTGGTCTCTGCGTCTTGGTGGTAGTGGTCCCCCAGGCCCAGCTGTTTTCTCTTTATCAGAAAGCTTATTACATTTGAGGTAGTCCCATTTTCCTGCTTTTTTCTTGTTACTTCTGCTTTTAATGTCATGTTAAAAAAATTATCAAGACAAATGTCATGATTTTTACCTTATATTTTAAGACTTTTATAGCGATCTTACTTACATTTAAGTGTTTAAGATAGTTTTCTATATGGTGCAAGTGAAAAGTCCAATTTTATTTTCTTCCATTTTGATACTCAATTTTAGAACACTATTCTGTTCTTCCCTGTTGTTCGGTCATGGCAGCCTGATTGAAGATTATTTGATGATATTCATAAAGGTTTATTTCTGGGTTCTCTATTCTGTTCCATCATCTATTTGTCTTTCTGTTTGTATTGCTATAGCTTTATAATATATTTTGGAATCAGGAAGTGTGATACCTCTAACTTTGTTCTTCTCCACAGCTACTTTGGCTACTCATTGTCCCTTGAGATTCCATATGAATTTTAAGACTTAATATTTCTGAAACAAATGTAACATTGAGATTTTGATAGAAAATACTTTGAATTTGTGCTTCACTGTGAGTAGTATTGACATCTTAATAATATTAAATTTTCTGACCCTTGAACAAGAAGTCAAGAGTGTTCTGTTTTAAGTTTCACATATTTTTTCATTTGCCAGTTTCCTTCTGCTTGTGATTTGCAGCTGAGGTCTTTTTACGCTGCCCATGCTGGTCTCCAACTTTTGGGCTTAAGCTATTCTCCCTCCTCAGCCTCCTGATGTGTTTCAATTACATGGATGAGCCACTGCACCTGGCCTCTTTATTGTTTTTCTGATATTTTTAGGATTTGAAGGTAATTTTTGAAAAGATTGATAAATATGTATCTCTTTAGAAAGTTTTTCACTATTAATGTAGTCAAAACCACATAAAATTTACCATCTTAAATATTTTAAGTACATAGTTAAATAATATTAAATATATTCACATTGTTATGCAACATATCTCTAGAATGTTTTTATGTTGCAAAACTAAAATTCAATAGCCATGAAACAACAACTACCCTTTTATCTCCTCCCCTGAGGCTCTGACTGATACTATTCTACTTTCTGTTTCTAAGAGTTTAACTATTTTAGATATTTAACTGGAATCACACAGTGTCCTTTTATGACTCATTTATTTTATTTACATAATGTCCTCCAGATTTATCCTTAGTGTAAAAATAATCAGATCTCCTGCTTTTAAAAAACTGGATAATATTCCATTATTTGTATATTCCAATTTGTCTTTATTCACTGATTCATTGAGGGACATTTGGGTTGCTTCCACCTATCAGCTGTTGTGAATAATGTTGTGCAATGAATATGGATATACAAATAACTCTTCATTTGGCCATATATATGACAGTTTATTTCTGTGCTCTATTCTGTTCCATTTGTCTGTGTGTCTGCCTTTATGTCAGTACTAAATAGTTTGGTTACTGTAATCTTGTAATACATTATAAAGTCAAGGAGTGTGATGCCTCCAATATTATTTCTTTTTTTGAAGGTTGTTTGGCTCCTGAGAGTCACTTTAGATTCCATATAAGTGTTAGAAATGTTTTTTGTATTTCTGCCAAGTGAAATGACAGTTAAAATTTGATAGAGATCTCATTGAATCTGTAGATCATTTTGGGTAGTGTGGACATCTTCACAATATTGTCTTCCAACCCTTGAACGAGAGCATGCAGAAGAGTGTGTTGTTTAATTTCCACATATTTGTAGATTTTCCATATTTCTTCTGCTATTGATTTCTAATTTTATTCCCTTGTAATAAAAAATGATTGTAATATTTTAATCTTTTTTTTGAAACAGAGTTTTGCTCTGTTGCTCAGGCTGGAGCACAGCGGCTCAATCATGGCTAACCAGAGCCTCGATCTCCCAGGCTCAAGCAATCCTCCCCCGTCAGCCTCCTGAGTAGCTGGACGCACAGGCATGTGCCATTATGCCCAGCTAATTTTTAAATTTTATATTTTCTAAAGAGAGGGTCTCTTTATGTTGCCCAGGCTGGCGCCGAACTCCTAAACTCACTAATCCTCCCACCTCAGCCTCCCAAAATGCTGGAATTATAAGAATGAGCCACAATGCCTAGCCCATATTTTAACATTTTAAAATTTGGTAAAACTTGTTTTGTGTCCTAGTAGGTTATCTACTCAGGAGAATGTTTCATGACCTATTGGAAAAAGTGTGTATTCTGATATTGTTGTGTGAAGTGTTTTTTTTCTTTTTTTTCACTTCTATTTGTAGCCTACACAGACCTATTGGACTGAACAAAGCAGGGTGAATGCAGGAATAAAAGACAAGAGACAAAGGGGTATATTTGGAAAAAGGGGTCAGGGGCACCTTGCCTCTAGTGAACAAGGTACCTGAGCTTTACACAGCCCTCCATATTTATTAGGTAAGAGAGATAGTGAGAAGCGGGGGGTGGTTTTCCACCAGCAGCTTGATTCACAGCTGACTCGAGAGACTACATTCTTAGAACAATAGGCACTGGATTTCTCAGTAGATAACTTCAAGGAGCCTGGTGCCAGGGAATGAGGCCCTCAGCAAACCTTTTGGTGGCAGGGCAGTGTGAGTTTGCCCACATCCTGCATTCATGATAAACAGTTTGCTGTTTGATCATATAGCCTCCAGTGGAATGCTGAGTTGGTCATGTCCCATGGGCCTTCAGCTTCCTGAATCTATTCACTGTGATGAGTGTTTTCTATATGTCTGTTCGGTTTACAGAGTTTGCTACTGATAGTCGGATAATTATGTCTCTTACTATTTTTGCATAGCTATTTCTTTCTTCATCTGGGTCGATCTTAGCTTTATACATTTGGAAACCCCGATGTGAAGTGTACATATATTTATTATTAACACAGCTTCCCCAGTGAATCAACACTTGTATCATTATATACTATCTTTATTTGTCCTTTAATTCAGTTTTGACTTAATGTGTATTTTGCATAATTATGACCCCTCTTGCTCTCATTTGATTGCAATCTTCCTAGAAGATATTTTTCATACTTGCACTTTTAGCCTATCTGTGTGCTTAGATCTAAAGTGAGTTTCTTATAGACAGCAGAAAACAAATCGTTTTTTCTTTCAATCTCTTTAGCCAATTTACACATTTCTGTTGGAAATTTTACTCTATGTATATATTCATTTTAATTGTGAAAAGAATGGACTACTTCCATTTTGTTAATAGTTCTATTTGTTTCTTGTAGGTATTTTCTCCTCTTTTCTGCTCTTACTGCCTTCCTTTTTATTTAATTGATTTTTATAGTGACATATTTCTATTTAATTTGCCAAGGCCAAGTTGCAAGATAAAAAGTTTGCCTTTAATCTAGTCTCTCCACATCAGATCAAGCCTATGGACAGATCTAAAAACATGAGGTTTCCCTCTTCGGGGGCCCCACTTTTTGGACTGCTGTATGATCTCTGGAGGATTGATGAGTCCACACCAAGCAAAAGTGGACAGCAGTGTTCTACCTGTGAACACTTGTTTCTTGTAGGCCCTACTGTCTCTCAGGGCACCACCTCTCTTATCCTTTAAACAGGAGTGATATTGGCAGAGAAGGGGCATTCACTCCTATCTGGCAGAAAAGGAGGATTCAGGCCCTTTAACTTCCCTAAGGTCAGAAAAGTCAGAGCCCTCAGAGATGCACTTGCAATGTGGCAGCCACTGGGCACAGGGGCTACTGAGCAACTGTATTGTGCCCAGCATGAACTAAGATATGCTGGGGAGAAATACAAGAAAATATTTAAATATTTAGTTACATATACATATGTGCATAAAAATATATAATGCTGGGTTAAAGAAACATATGTCTATGTGTGTGTACGTATATATGTACACATATATATGTTTCTTTAATTATTTCATTCTGATTATATGTTAAAATATTTTGGATATATTGAGCTATGTTGTTAACATCAATTTCACTCATTTTTCTTTTTCTTTATGCTGCTACTAGTAAATTCTAATTGTCACATGTGGCTCACATTTTACTTCTATTGCACATTGGTGCAATAGAGGATTGCCTAATTTCAAAGCTCAGTTTGCCTCAAAAGCCAAGAGGCCAGAAAGATTGTAAAATCTAAAAATTAAAAATAATTGTAATTGGTTGGGCATGGTGGCTCATGCCTGTTATGCTAGCACTTTGGGAGGCCGAGGCAGGCGGATCACTTGACCTCGGTTCGAAACCAGCCTGGTCAACATGGTGAAACCATGTCTCTACTAAAAATACAAAAATTAGCTGGGCAACATGGTGGATGCCTGTATCCCAGCTACCTGGGAGGCTGAGGCAGAAGAATCACTTGAACCTGGCAGGCGGAGGTTGCAGTGAGCCAATATCTCATCACTGTACTCGAGCCTGGGTGACAGAGTGAGACTCTGTCTCAAAAAAATGTAAATAAAAATAAAAATAATTGTTATTATTTTGTTTCTATTTTGAATAATACACACACACACCCCTCCCCCTTCACACACACACAAATAAGGCAGAGAAAGAAAGAGAGAATCTTGTTCTGTCACCCAGGCTGCAGTGCAGTGGCCTGATCTCAGCTCACTGCAGCCTCTACCTCCCAGGCTTAAGTGACCCTCCCACCTCTGCCTCCCAAGTAGCTGGGACCACAGACACGTGTGACCATGCCTGGCTAATTTTTTCATTTTTTTGTAGAAAAGTTTTGATGTGGGGCCCTCACATTCTGTTGCCCAGGCTGGTCCCAAACGCCTGGATTCAAGAGCTCCTGTCCCCTCAGCCTACCAAAGTGCTGGTATTAAAGGTGAGATCCACTATGCCTGGCCACATATATACAACTTATAAATAAAAATAACCTTATATACAAGGTTAAATGCAAATATCCCACAGTGAAGGCCGGGCTTCAGCATAAGGAGGAAGTCCTGCCTGAAAAAGGCTGCGGCTTGGAACATTTTACCCTGTTGTCATCTGGCTATGAGTTGGCTCACATCTTCTCTCATTCAGAACCTGAAGGGGTGGGGCCTGGGGCCGTATTATCCAATCACTAGTGCTGGGGTAAAAACTGTCTTAAAACTATTCTTTTAATGCTTAGCAATACTAATTTTTAGTGAGAAACTTAAGATTACTTAATTTAACATAACCAGACTTTAAGATTTTAAATTACTAAAAAAAAAAAAAAAGAAACTTAAAACGATGACAGAGTTACTTCCTCTAATGTTTTTTGGTGAGGGTTTCAAATACCTATGTCATATATTGAAACCTACAGTTCTATAAGCCCTACCCTTAAATCAAAACAACCCTGATGCTATTGTGAACAGGTACTTAGCATAAATCCTACCCTTAGGCAAATTTATATAGTGATTTCAATTGTCCTTCACATTCCCTTTCCTGTGATAAGTGTCTGGGTTTAGGGGGTCACAGTGTGAGGTTCCACCATCTTCAGCTATCTGAGACATAGCTTCTATTAATAAATGTTCCTCTTAAATGTTTCTTTCTGAGAAACTTGATTTGTCAGCCTCATTCTTCAAACTCTCAGCTCCTTTGGCCTTTAAAGGTAGGTATATATATATATATATATATATATATATATATATACTCACAAGAAAACACCCTCATATATATAGTCTGTCAATTTCTCAAACATTGTTATGTGGTTCATGACTGTAATGTGTGCCACATGTAGTTTTGTACATGAATAGTATATTTTTTATAGCTACTTTCTATTACACATCACTAAAATACATGTTCAGTAAGTGCTCACTTAACATCATTGATAGGTCCCTGGAAACTGACTTTAAGTGAAACAAAATACTATATGCCATGGAAAATTAACTCTTGTTTATATCAATTAGCCAATGGTAAAATTGGTTTTATTATATAGTACATTGTTTTACTTAAAGTCACAGTTTCTGAGAATCTATCAAAAAAGGGAGAACATACTGTCATTAGTATTACAGTATATGGTACATTATAGCATTACACTATTATAGTATGTTATTGTAGTCTTAGCAATTGGTAGTATAATGTGTTTCAGTTTCTCCCAAGGTCACAGAATTATCCAGACCAACCAATAACAACTTCCTGTGGGAACCAGGTGCATCTCACCCTCTTGATACTACAAAGCCTTCCCCAACACCCCCTGTTTGTTCTCTCTGCTCCCAAGTGCAATCCCTGTGTGGGTCTGTATACCTTATATAATTTCCTTCTTCCATGATTATATGTAACGAATAACTGCTGTCAATCTCATTTGTCCAATGATTGGTGCCATGGTTTTAACTGTTCCAGTAGTACAAGGGTGGTAATTTATCCCTCACCAATGGGGTAAAGGGGAGGCTAATCAAACAATTCACAATACAAACTGGATTAACCAACTATGACTGAGGACATCGGCTCAACTTTAACTGCTTTTGGCCTACTGATTTCATGATACATTAAAAGTCACCTCAGTCAGAGCCACCAGTTTCTGGTGGGCTTTTGCTTTGGTCTAAATAGCCATTTGTGGCCTTTATCATGAGTTGCCTTCCCTGACCACATTAAAGCACACTCATCACCTAGACATATATGGTCAGTTGACTCTGCTGCAGCCTGATGTGTCATCATATTTAGCCTTTGTTTGGCATGCAGCTTGCAAGACACTTGCCTTTCAAGGCAGTGAAAACACAGAACCTTAATCAGTGAGTACTTCAGTCCTGATTACCAAGAGTCAGGCTATATCCCTGTGGTCACTTCATCTGGTCTGCTTACCATTACTAAATGCCCGGGTAGTCATATGAACATTGCTTATTATTGCACACTCTCAGGAAAGGCCCAGGGATGGTTTTTTGTAAAATTGCAAAAAACAAAAAGGACTTTTACTTTGGAGAGAATTATGCACGTCACTCAGTTGCTCTAACAAGTGCTACCGTCATGGGAGCAAGAACAGTGACCTTGTCTTTCCTGAGCTGCCGCTTCCTTTGCTCCTGTCACATGCACTCTCACGATGAGGGGCTCATTCCTTGTGCCTTATGGTTCAGGCACTGATGAGAAATAAAAAAGAGAAAGATAACTTAATATTAGTCCCTCCCAAAACTTACTGGGTAATTCTCTCATCCTAAATCCCCTACTCATCGTGTAGGCTTTTAGCACTGCTGCTTACCAGTATGCTAAAGGTGCAGACTTAGGATCAGAAGTTTGATGAACTCAAACAAAAAGACCACAATGCATATGGGTGCTAATCCCAGTGAAATGGAGTGGCAGTAAACACCTTCAACCAAAGAGAAAACAGATCACAAATAAACAAATAATGACACAACTCAAGAAACTAGAGGAGGAAGAACTTATCCCAACGTTCCCAGATAATAAAATTAGTAAAAAAAATCGGAGCAGAAATGAATACACTGAAGATTAGAAAAACAATAGAAAATGTAGAAAAATTGTAAGAGCTTGTTTTATGAAAACATGAAGTTGACATATCTTTAGCTAGACTAAGAAATAAATGCTTAAATAAATAAAATCAGAATTAAAGGGAATACATTACAACTGGTAAAACAGAAATAAAAAAAGGTCATAAGACTGCTATGTACACAGACTCCTATGTACAATGATATCCCACCAAATGGGATAAGGGAGAAGACATGAATATATTTCTAGACAAGTACCACCCACGAAGACTGAAGCATAAAGAAATAGAAAATATGAATAGATCAGTAATGGGTAAGGAGTTTAGATCTGATGACTTTGTTGCTGAATTTTACTAAACATTTAAAAAGAACCAAATCTTTGAAAAAATTGAAGGAGGAGGAATACTTCCAAACTCATTTTATGAAGCCAGCATTACACTGATACAAAAACCAGAGATGGACATTACAAGAAAAACAATTACAGGCCAATATCCCTGATGAACATAGATGAAAAATCATCCACAACGTAGTTGCAAATGAAATTCAAAAGCACTTTAAAAGGATCATTTATTATGATCAAGTTGGATTTATTCCTGGGATGCAATAATATTTTAATATGTGGAAATCAATAAATGCCATACTCCTTATTTACACAACAAAAAGATTAAAAATCATGACTTTTTTATGCATGCCTAAAATTATTTTGACAAAATTTAAAATCCATTCCAAATAAAATCTATAACAAATTAGGTATAGAAAGAATATACCTCAAAATAAAGAGATATGTTCTTTATAAGCTATAGGACAATCCCATGGTTAACATTATTGTCAATGGTGAAATTTTGGAATTATTTTTAAGATTTATTATAAGAAAAAGATGCCCACTCTCACTACTTCTTTCAACACCGTATTGGAAATCCTGCTCAGAATCTAAGACAAGAGAAAAAAGAGCATTTAAATAAGAAACAACAAGTTCTTCTATTCATGGAGATTAACGCTCAGGTTTTTGCAGATTAGATTTAACAGCATGAAATCTGGTACCATCCAGGAATCAAAGGATATAGGACTTTAGGGCATCAATTATTAAGAGGCTATAGGAAAGCAGAAATGCTCCTGGATGTTTCCATTGTCCACACACAAAATTTCAACAGACCAGCCCCAGGAAGTAAAGGCACATTCCTGACTACTGTTAGTTGATGAGCTTTTCACCAAAAGCAGAGATGTGAGACCTGGCAGGTTTCAAAGACCCCTCAAGTGCTCCATACCTTGAAATTCACTTCCACAAAGCTAGAACACCATCTGTTCCTGAGGGATCAGGTTATCGTCTGTTTCTTTTAGGCACTGGCCAGTCAGGCTTTAGTGGACACGAAGCCACAGATTTTTAGTGTAAAATGCCTAATCTATCATAATCTTTAGGTAGATATTTGGAGGCCTGCACACTTAAATGGGTTGGTGAAATGTCATACCAGACACATGGCTGGGAATTGGGTTTTTCTCCTCCGCTCTTAGCAGCACCTTTGTAACCCAGTGATTACCCCCCTCATGGCTCCACGGCCACATCCGCAAAAAGGGTACTGGTGAACGTGACATTTTCACGAAGCCACAGCCCATGGTCACTCCCTGCAAAGCTCTGAACTTGCGCATTCCCAGGCCAGGCCGTGGTTGTCTTTCCAAGGCGGCTCAGCTTGTGCTTTGCTTGGAGAGAGCGGAGGGCAGCAGCACAGTGACAGCGTCTGGGACCTCAGACCAGTTTCCACAGCCACTTATGAAAGCAGACGGCTCCATGGGCTGGAGGAGGTGGGACGCTCTGGAAAGAACTCGGGTGCAAGTGGGAAAGAAAATCGAGCTGAGCAGCGGGAAGTCGAAGTCGCGTGAGTGAGGACCAGACACTCTCGATTTAGGCAAAGGCGGGGTGCACTTCCCAACAACACATCCTCCTCACTGGCGAGACCAGGCCTGCCCTTCAAGTTCCTCTCCTGATTTAATCCCCTTGGCGAGGGTTTGGCATGAAATCAATGGCCAGCAAGCTTGGTAAACGAAGCCGCCTACACCGCCCTCCCCCTCCCTGCACGGCCGCGCCCCGCCTCCGCTCCTGTCTCAATCTGGGATTGTCCTCCTGTAGCCCCACCATCCACCGTGGGGAACGGTGGAGAGACTACAACTCCCAGTATGCACCGCGATGCGCGCCTCACCCTGCATCTCCCAGCCCGCAGCCAGCTGGCATCCTAGACCCTCTGCCCTGCGACCAACAGCCGGGAGCGGACCAGACACCAGAACTCCCGGAACGGTTGAAGACGGTTCCGCTCCCTGTCCCGCCTTTCGCAGCCCAGCAGTTTCGCCCTGCGGAGAGGAGCCTTGCTGTTTCCAAATCTCTCCTGCTGAAGAGACATTGGAGCTAGGGCGGCTAGTTTCACCTGGTAATTGTGACACCCTGTCTCCTCGAGCTGCAGGCTTTTATGCTTGTCATGTTCGAAGTTTGATACCTTGCAGATCAACAAAGGGTCGGTGGCCTCTCACTGCCTCCGCCGCAGGGTTGTCAAGGTAACGCTCCTCAGACAAGGGTGGGGCGCGGCCCGCCCCTTTTCTCACCCCGCCTCCTCCTCAGCCCCACCCTCCTTCGCTCCTCCTCTTGTCACTCCCTTTCAGACATGCGCAGTGCGGCCCGTCCCTAGGGCTGGGTTAAGGGCCGCGGATGTGGCAGTTCTCAGGCCTCTTGGGATCGCCTCAAGAAGCCCCCTCACGAGTGTCTCGATTTCCTGTCAGCCAACAAAGGGCCGTTCGCCTTTCATGGCCTCCACAGCAGCGTTGCCGTGGTAACGATCCTCCGCCGGACGTTGGCCGCACCGCGCCCCTATTCTTGCCCATCTCCCGCTCCGCCCCGTCCCTTCTCGCTCCTCCCTCTTGTCACACCCGTTCAGACATGGGTAGTGTAGCCCGTCCCTAGCGGCGGGATAAAAGTCCTGCCCTTTCACACATGCGCAGTGCACCCATTCCTAGGGGTGGGGCTAAGGGGCCTGCCCTTTCGGAAATGCGCAGTGCAGCCCGTCCCTAGGTGTAGGGTAATGGCGGCCGACCTGGCAGGTCTCAGGCTCCTTGGGATCCCCTCGAGAAGCCCGTTCATGAGTGTCTGAAACTGTCACTTGACTGCCAGAAGTGAAAACATCGTGTCCCTAGTCACCTGCCATTTGCCTTTTCAAAACCATTTCCTCTGTTCTCTAGGCTGTCACAAATCCTCTGCACCCCAGGAGTGCCGCTTGGACCCCCGGGCTCGCTGCGTGGTCCATATCTAGGTCGGGCCTCTCACGGAGACTTTCCCACCAGTGTAATAAAGAGGAGAAAACGTCACAGCGGAAGGGCCTGACCCTGCTGCATCCACTAAGGAAACAGCTACGGGGATGGGACCCTGGAAGCTGCTGTGGGAGCCTCATCCACCGCTTCTCTGACCCCACCCAGGCTGCTTCCCAGGCCTCAGGGTCTTAGTGTGGACCTCCGGGCCGTGATTAATGCAGGTCAGCAGGACCAGAGCGCCCCTTGGTCCCTCCCAACACATGAGGGTAGTTTGTGTGGTGAGGTCAGGGATAGTGTCTGCGCTTCTACCCTGAATAGGGCTCCCTTGGAAAATACTTTAATATCTCTTTTTAAATACCCCCTTGGACCACTTTTAATAGTTTTCTGATAGAACTAAACAGTGATCATTCTCTTAATTCATGTTTCCATTAAGTTTTTCAGGTTAAGTACTGCACGACTACTCGCTTCTGAAACTGATAGACACTGCCTCAGCTCCGTGCAGGGCAGACGCACAAGAGCAGAATCTCCGTGGGACATCTCTCTGGAGCATCAATATTACTGCAGTATTTGGAAGAAACAAATTTAAATAAGTTCTAAGGTGAAGAATGGAACATTTAAGACAAGTCTGGAAAGTCATCTGCCTTTAATAACTGTCGTTTGTCCTTAACGTCAGACTTTCTCCAAGACCAAAACTCTAAGAACTTATTTCCATTCTTACAAATAGTAAAAATGATAAATCATATCAAGTCAATTGAAAGTCCTGCCTGCTGCTTTCCTAAATCACAATATGGCCTTGGTATGGTTTTATTTGTACTTTTGTGGGGGATTCGTGGATCTTTAGATTAAAAAAAAAAAATAGGTTTTTGAACAATTTTTGCAAGTTTGCAGCTGTTAGTTATTGATTTATTTTTGCAACCCATCTAATTCTTCTGTCTCTCTCCTCTCCTCAGGCTCAATAATTCCATGGGTCTCTAAGGCTGTGTTTATTTTCTTTAAATTTTGTTGATTTACTTTTATACTCCATTTGATTTTTTCTATCTCTCACCTTTTCTCAGACTCAGTCATCCCACAGGTCTGTAAGGCTCTGTTCATTTTCTTTAAACTTTTTTTTTTCCTCTCCTCAGATTGGATAAATTATATTGCTATGTCTCTGTTTCTGAACTATAGAAAAGCTCAAAATTACTATTTTTATTTCTCATTTTTTATATGGCTATTTTTTCTCTGCTGATGTTTCACATCTATTCATTTATGAGAATATTTTCCTTTGCCCTCATGAGCGTGTTTATAATAGCTGCCTTCAAATTCTTGTCTGCCGTTTACATCTTGGACATCTTGGAGATGGCTACTGCCTGCTTTTTATCTTGTGTATTTATTACATTTTCACGTGTCTTCACGCATCTCTTGAATTGGAAATTGTGCCCTGGAGACTGTATACAAGACTGGATTAAAAAGACTGGATTCTGTTTTGTCCCTGTGAAGAGTGTTGTTTTTAAAAGATGGTGTTAAATGGGCTGGATTCTATCTTCAATACTTATCTCTCCTATGGAAGTCATAGCCAAAATATGCATTCAGTTTTTATATACACATATTTCATGTATGTATTGTATATAGAAATGTTTCTATAATGATATATAATAATTTACCCAGGATTCATCATTTTTCTGTGTGAGAGTGTTAGTTCAGTTAGCTACTTCATCATTAGTGGAAGCCAGAACCTCAGTTTTGATTTTTGAGTGTAATATAAAAAATTACACAGTATGGATACTTTTACATCAATTTTTAATGCAATATTATATTTGTGATATTTATGCTGTTACAGATATCTACAGTTTGTTCATTTAAAAAAGTCCTTTTTTACATTGTGGTAAAATATACATAAAATTAACCATTTTAACAATTTTTAAAAGTGCAGGACAGAGGAATTAATCATACTCACATTGTTCTACAACCATCATCCACATTCATAGGGAAATTTGTTCATTTTGCAAAACTCAAACTCTGTTCCCGTTACCTTCCTTTTGGCCTCTAGGAACTACTCTTCTACTTTGAGTTTCTATGAATGGAACTACTGTAAGTACCTCATATGAGTGGAATCATACAATGTAGTAAAGAAGTCACGAGGAAGAATAATACACACTGTATAACATGCTTATTAATTTAAATAAACAGAGATCAGTAGTACATGGTGATTATAGAGAAAGACAGATAAAAAAGAAAAAGCAGTTAGAAGGGTGTGTAAAATTTATCACTATGGTGTCTCAAGTTTTAGAGCAGTGAGGCCCCGGCCCCAGACACATTACTGGTCATGGTGAAGCTGGGAGCCCAGTGCAGCTGTCTGACTCCCAAAGCCAACACTCAGGCCAAATGTCACTGAGCCCTGAGGCACTCTGCCCCTGCCAGCCCAGGCACTCAATGGCCCTGAGATTCACCATGGCCTGTTCTTGGTCTTGAGGGTGTTGCTGGCCTGCTGGAATAGGGGCCCGTCTGACAAAACAAGTAGGAGGAGCTTCAGAAAATAGTGGCAGCTGTGAGGCTACCAGGAGCCACACCTCAGGCTTCCCACTGCCTGCCCAGGGTCCCCATGCAGCAGGCCTAATGTTGACCAGGGAGCTATGGCCCCAGGTTCTCTGAAGCTGGCCACAAGATAGAGTCTTCTCCTAGTCTTTGCTAATCTGCTAGGCTCTCATCTTTTATTCTGACTGTGCAGCTTCATGCACTGGAACCAAACCCCAAATTCCTCCTCAGTCAGAAGATGACAATTATCTCTTGTCACTGAAGCAGCTGCATTTCCTGGAGGACTTTGATCTGGAGACAGAAGGAAGGGCAGGATTCTGACAGGTCCTGGGTGGAAGATGACAAAGGGAACTTGTGGGGGTGTGAAGGGGTAGGGACAATTTCTAGGGCCTTTCTTTTAAGGGGTCCTACCCTCCCCTCCAATCCCATGTAGCCCCAACCTGTTCTCAAGAGTTGGATATAAACAGTCCCTCCTCTAGGAGTTTATCATTGATTCTATTCCCCTAATCAAACCCTCCATTGGGATGGGTCTCCTGCTTCTCTGTGTATCAAACCTTCCCAATAAATCTAAGATGCAGAGGATGGAGCCAAGGAGTGTCTTCCTCAGGGTGGTGTCTGACTTTCACATCCCCACCCTCCCTCAAAGCGACAGCGCCAGCTGCTCACCTTCTTCCTTTATTAGTGTTGATTATATGTTCTTAGGAGGTAGACAGCCAAGATTCATGAGAAAGGCTTCCTGACACAGGACTAGACCTCATCCCTTATACTTCCTATGCTGCACCACCACCAGGGCCACCAGGGTCAGAGCATGTGCATAAAACAGGACTTAGACCTGCATCAGGTTCTGGGCTCCACAGAAGGGACACTGAGGCTCAGTGACCTTTCTCCCTGATTCTCTGTGATGATAGACAGGGAGACAAAGGCCTTGGAAACAAAGAAGTTACTCAACAATTTAGGACCTGCCTGTCTTAGGAGGGGCCCAATTTCTCTCTTCTGCAATGGGTACCAGCTAAGGCAGAGGCTGAGACTTAGCTCTGCAGCTTTACTACTCAAGGAACAGGAAATGGTGTCTTTGCTGGAGGCTCCGTCACTCATAGATAAGACGGAACTGACACTGCCATTTACAGGGGCATCTGGTAGGCTCTCAGGAAAGGGGTTTGCTGAGTGCTGCAGTCTCAGGATTCAGTCCAGGACTCTGTCCTCGCAAGCTTCAGGATCCTGGTCCCCACCCTGCCTGCCTGCCCCAGTCTCACTCACATCTATATAATCCTCTATGGCAATTTCCAGCATCTGCAGGTTGTTGAGAAGTGTGCCCGGGGTGGGGGGTGGGGGGGAGGGGAGTGGGGGCACAGCAGCCTGTGTTATCAAGGTGGTAGCAGTGATGAGCACCAATTCTCAGCTAACTGCACAAGACCTCTCCTTTGAACTCTCACCAACCTATTTCTCCTTGACCCCCGTACCCAAGTCTCTCACTCAGAGCATCCAAGGACCTTTCACCTCCTTGCCCAAAATCTTTCCCTCCTCTTTCCACAGCTGACCTCCAAAGATGCTAAGCACTTCTTAGTTACCTCTATGGTGTGATTTTAATAAATCACAAAGTCAGATCGTCCCCACCCTCACTCTTCGTCTAATCTACTCTGAGCCTAGCTCTCCCAGGCCCTTTCTCTAGTCTCTCTAATGAAGGCATTCCAAGCATTGTGGCCACAGGAGGGCAGGGCTGGAGGAGGAAGACACCCTGGTCTCTTGATGTGGAGAACTCCAGCTGGGAGGGAGGAGCCCTGTCCTTGACTCTCTGGAGCCCCTCCCTACCATAGGCCAATTCACCTGCTGCTGCAGCCCCATCTGGACTCTTTAAAAAGGTTCCTACCTAGTAGAGTCAGAAACAGGGTCAGTGAGACTGTGCCTGTCTCACAGTTACACTCCAGCCCCAGCGACCTCAGATCTTGGATAACTGCCTGAGTCAGCCGGTGTAATGCTCCCACCAGCTCCAGTGAGTCCTGATTCTAGATTTACTCCCAGCTTTAACACTCACTGTGTGTGTAACCTTGGGCATGCAGCCAGGCCTTCCTGAAACTGTTTTTTCATCTAGGAAGTGTGATGAGAACAACACCTTCCTCACAGTACCTCCTGAGGACTCAGTTGCATGTGGCTATCACCATTGTTCTCACCATCATCCCTCTCAGGAAGAGGTGGGCACAAGAATTCTGAAGTTTCCTTCATCCTTTGCCCCTTATCATGACCCTGTGAGGCCTGCACAACAGGCTTTCTGCATTTTCCAGTTGAGGAGACAGGCCCAAAGAGGGTGTTGACTTGCCCAGGAGCCCACAGGAGAGGCTGTCTTCTCCTCCCACCTGAAGAGTCTGCCCTACCTGGCTTCACACCACACACCAGCACCATCACTGACCAGGGTCCCATCCTCTGGACTCTGGGATAGATGTTCACATCCCAATCCAGGCCCAGCTGTGGTGGAAAGAAACCTGGTATCTTGGGAGGCCTGGTTGAGCAGTGCCAGCTTGTCCCAGCTTCACTGGAATTGCTATCCCACAAATTGGGTTTGAGGCTATGAAGAAGACTTCACCTCTTCGATGATCCACCGAGAGAGATTCCCACACAGAGCTCTCTCTTTATCCACTCCCTGCAGTTGGCCTGCCAGTGAAATCACACCTGTGCAGTAGTCAGGCCTCCTGGCCCACCCGCCAGCTGCCAGCCTCCAGTGTCTCTGATACCCATGGGTAATCATGCCTTCCTTGGCAAGGCTGCTGAGATTCAGAAGGACCTAAACAGATCTTTGGCTCAGATGGGTTGCTTCAGCCTTGTGTCCTTGGCCATCTTCCCTTGCCTTCCGAAGGGCCCTGCCAGCCTCACTGTACCAAGCCCTGACCCTAGCGGTCTCTCCGTGGGGACCACATCTCACCCACCCTCCATTGCCAGGGCTCCTGCTCAGCTCTTCTCACTTTCCCAGGACAAGCCTGGCTTCACAGACACATCTAGATCCAGCGCTTTTCTCTTCGTGGTGTTCAAAGAAAGAGTATTATTTTTTCTCTAACTTGACCTATAACCTACTTATTTTGAAGATATCCAGGCTGCAGGAGATCTCTACCCATCTACCCAGAAGGCATCAGCCCTTGCTTCAGTACCTTCTCATTCCACTCTGTCACTAAATGTTTATGACCTCAAGAAAATTTGAAGAAGCATAAGCAAGTGCAATTCCATTGGTACCAGGGCTGTAAGGGTGGGGCCAGATGGGTGAACCTCACTGGGGATAAATAGAAATTGTGTACAAGATGGACATTTCAAGGTTGGTTTCAAGAAACACAGGGAAAGCTAACTTTCATAGGTGACAGTATGCACAAGTTAAGCTTCCTAACAGCCACAAGTTCACAGGTTCTTCTATCTAAATGTGGCAATGTGTGACGATGTCTGAATGGCCATAATACACATACATAGAGTAATTTATAGCATTCATTTTTGTATTAGAAATTGTGCATTTCAGCCACAAGTTTTTTGTACATGATGGATAGTCCCACATTGCTTGAAGATTGGAAGAGAGAGCACTTTATGAAATGTCCTTTTGGACACATTTTCATTGACGTTTCTATGTCCCAAGAGGCAATGAGACAAGTCATGATAAACTGGTCGTGTCTTCTGGGGTTACACCTGAACTTCTTGGTGTCAGGACCGAGGAAATCAAGGACACAGATATGCCAAAGGTGAGGTTAGAGCAAAAGTTTAATGGGTGAGAAAAAGAGAACAGCTCTCTGCTGCAGAGAGGGATCCAGAAAAAAAGAGTTGCCATTCTGCAGTGAAATACAAGTGTTTTTATAGATGAGCTAGTGGGAGGGGGTATGTTATCCACATAGGGCATGAAAAACTGGTTAGGACCAGGTGTGTCATCTGCTTAGAGCATGAATCTCTGGCAGCTCACACCCCAACCTTTTATTATGCAGGCAGATTCTCAGCCTGAGCTACTCCAAGTTGCTTATCTCTTTTCTACTGTGCATATGCTACAAAGAGGGGTGGGGCCCCCCATGTTGGATATGTCTGGCCCAAGGTGGTCATTTCTACCCATGCAGCTGCAGGCATCCCTGCCCACACAAGCTTCCAGCTTCCTTTTGTATGATTGCAGCCCAATTTTCCAGGCTGCTCTTTGTTAAAGAGAAGTGAATTCCTGGGTTGCTTTCTGTTAGAAGGGATGTTCTGTTGAGAACTCTTTGCTCTATCTGCCTAGCTAGTTTCTTTCTACATCTGCTCTCAATGACAATTATTCAGTTTTAATGGGGTCCTGGGGGTGGGAACAGATAAATTTGAGACCACAAAGTACCTTAGAATAAGAATTCACCCTTTAGTCAGCTTTAGTGTGAGTTGCACATCTATTATAATATTGGCTTCATGCACTACTGAATATAACAAGAAGGGAAAATGTGTATCTTTTAAAAATCTAGATGACAAATGGACTTTCCACAGATTCTTTGTGTGTTCCTGATTTAGAATTTGTTCATTCCACTGTAGTTTGTTTTCATTGAAATCACCAACTGATGAGGAAGCCTAGGCTGGCAAGCAGGACACGGTGGATTATTTGCAGGAAAGATGTTTTTGTGGGGACCCTAAAGGGTCAGGCACTGCAGCCCACAGGAAAGCCTCAGCCATGATTCTCTGTGGCGCTGCTCTGGTGGGGTAAGGCAGCCATGCAAAGCTCTGATTCCCTGTCCTGAAGGGTGACATTGGCCGGGCAAGCCCCAGCCTTCAGGAAAAAAGGACAGACAAGGGAGTGCTTCACGTTCCGGCCTTGTTCCGGCCTTGTCATGAGCTCCACCGGCAGCCTGCAGTGGGGCACAGCTTCTAGGTGCCTGGTCAGCTCTGGTCCTTCAGGAGGTGAAAATGACTTTTCTCCTGGATTCTCTGCCCTGTTGGCTGGGCCTGGGAAGGACTCAAGGTCTGCATGGCAGTTTCTGAGTCTCCAGCACCCAGCTGTCTCATTGTGATGATGACAGGGAGAATGGCCAGAAGTACCGGGGTGGGGAAAACGAAGAGCCAGCAGGAGAAGGCGAGCTTCCAGAAGCCCCACCACAAATGCTTAGTGCCTGGGTAGGCACGGGGATCGCTGGGTTTTGCCTGGGAGCAAGTCCATAGGCCCTGCTGGAGATTGCCAAGATAACCACCCCCTGCCAGAGGTCACCAGGGATTGCCTGAAAACCTTCGGAAATGATGCATGCCCCTATTGCTCAAAAACTGGAAGAAGCTGCAGCCTCAGCAGGTTATCCAGGCCACTGAGTGGGGCAGCGGGCCTACACTGAGTGGACTCCTGCATTGGCAGTAGGCAGCTCTCCTGACCCATCCACCAGCTGTCTGCTTCCAGTGAGCAAGATCTTCAAGGCTGATCAGACCTCCAGTTGGCAGGGCTGATGAGATTCAGTGCGACTTGGTCAGATCTTTGGCCCAGATGAGCCACTTGAGTTTCAGTGTCCTGGGCCAACTTTCCTGGCCTTCAGAGGGCCCCTGCCAGCCTGAGTGAGCCAGGCTTGGCTGCATCTTCCTGGGAGCCCCATCTCACCTGCCCTCCATCCCCAGGACTCCTGCTCAGCAGGACAAGCCTGGCTCCAACAGACATCTCTAGATGCTGTTTCTCTTTGTGGTGAGCAAAGAAACAGAATGAGTTCCATTTTTTAATTTTTTTCTAATTTTACCTATAACTTATTTATTGTAAAAAGGTTTGGGCTGCAGGAGACCTGACCCACCCACGCAGGAGGCCTCAGTAGCCTCCCAATCCACCCTGTTACTAAATATTTCCACTCCTAACAATATAGGGGGAAGCAGGAACAAGTGCAGTTTCACTGCACCAGTGCTGTGAGGATGGGGCCAGAAGGGTCCTACCCAGTAGGATTCAATAGGAATTATATAGAAATAAACATCTCAATGTTTGTTTGGACGGATTGACATGGAGAAATTTAATTTTGATAGGTTCTAGTACACAGAAGTTAAGCTTCCTAACAGCCATGAGTTTACAGCTTCCTCTTTCTGAATTTGGCAGTGTTTTTGATGTCCAAATTGCCACGATGTCCACACATATTTACAATAGTTTATATTATTCATTTTGTATTACTAATTGTGCACTTTGGCCAACAGTGTTTCATACATCATGGTTGGTTTCCAACCTCGCTTGAAAATTGGAAGTGACAGCCCTTTATGGAATGTTGCTTTTGACACTCTTCCATTTAAGGCTCTGTGTCCCCACAGTGCTACGAAGACAAATAGTCATCACTCTTCCATTTTGAGGGGGCCAGGGTAAGCAGATGCAATTTGAGAATACAAAGTACCTTGGAAACAGAATCATCTTTCAATCAGTTTTAGTGTGAATTTCATTTACATTAGAATAGTCTGTTCATGCACTCATAAGATTTCAGGGAGGGACAATTGTCACCTTTGAAGAATCAAAGTGACCAATGGGCTTCCCTCAGTATTTTGTTTATTTGTTTCTGGAACTTAGTCATGCCATTGTAGATCGTTTCTTTTGGAATCACTGGGTGATGAGAAACCCCAGGCTGGAGAGCTGGACACCGTGGAGTCCCTGCGGGAGAAGTGTTATTAGGGTGGCCTAACTTGGAAGGCACTACAGCCTGTGGGAAAGCAGCATCCAAGATTCTCTCTGGCGTGGCCGGGTGCTGGGTGAGGTAGCCAGCCCAACAGCTTATTCTGTATCTGGAATGGTGTCTCCCAGCCTGGGCATGGCTTCAGTTTCCAGGAAACAGGCACGGGCCAGGGAGCACCTTACCTGTTTACTGCTGCGATGTGTGGGGCCTGTATCCGCCACTGGGCACGCCACCTCTTCAAGTGGGGTCCTGTGCATTCCTTTTGGAGGCTTCAAAAGACTTTCCTCTCTGACTCCCGGCGTCTTCACCTGGACACTGTAGGATCCCAGATCTGTGTGTTTCCCAAGTGTCTATAGCGCCAGGTGCCCCATTGTGACAGGGAAGATGACCAAATTAAGTGATTAGGGCCGTTTGAAAAAAAAGCAGGAGAGATGCTGTATGGAGGAGGCCTGACATGACTGCCTCTAGCCTGCGGCTGCTTGTGCTATGCGCAGGCAGGACTGGTCTCTTCCAGGGTGATGTGATCCGCTGTGCTGAAGATTCTCACCATTTCCTTCCTTTCCCCATCGGGGCACCTGGGTAACCAGCTGAAGCAGTAGTTCCCCATCCGGAACAAAGACTGCAGACCCTCGCATGGGCTCCAGCCTGCAGGACACAAGCGTGAGCCTTGGAGGACCCCACATACCTAGGTGGTTGTGGGCTAGACCTGTGGCCTTCACTGGGTTCTTGACTCATTCCTGGAGTGTGAGGGTTTTGTTCTTTTTTAACTGGAGGTGGCAGATGACTGTCCTTCTGGACTTCCTATATGCTCACCTGACCCCTGCGGGACCTGAGATCATTGGGGTTCCCAGGTCTTTATGGTATCACGCCCCCATTGTGACAACAAGAAGGATGACCAAAAGTATGCCGGTGGTTGAGGAAGATAAAAAAGAGGAGTGGAGTTGCAGGGAGGAGGCTCGACAAGATCACCTCCAGCCTGGGGCAGCTGGATTGGCGAGTCAGGGGCTGGCTCCTGCCTGGGCAAGACAATAAGCCATGATGAACAATGCCATTATCCTCCTTTTCAGTTGGGGGTACCTGGGCATATCTGAAAACCTTGAAAAAGTGTTTGCATTTTCAGAGCTTAAGAAAAGGAAGAAGCAGCAGCTACAGTGGGTTTTTCATGCCTTCCAGTGGCATTGAAGAACCTGCACTGAATGCCACCTGGAAAACAGCCTGGACCTGCACCTTTGGGCCGGGGCACCCGTGGGAGCTCAGCCCTTGCTGCCTCAACCCTTTTTGGATTCTTTTCTCCCCAGACTGTCCCAGAGTTCAGGTCTTCTCGTCTCTTGTCTGTCCAGTGAAGGTACAAGGGTGGAAAGGTGAGGGTGTGGAGTCAGGAGCTTTGTTCCACTGCTGGGCATAGTGAGAAGTCAAAAGAGAGGTTATGATCTCGTTGTGCTTGAAGGGGAGAGGCCAAAGCCTAAGACATTCTGCCTTTTTAGGGGAATTACCTTTCAAGGCTTATTTGGTCTTCACTAGCCTTTACATCTGAGGATGAAGGAGTTGAGGCTCTGTTACATGGATGTCTAAAGAGATCATAACTCTCACATTGAATGACACAGAGACTGATAGCTCTAGCACAGTACCTAGGTAATGTGACTCTCTTTTGCTACGTGTGCCCTTCCTACATAAGGAAATGTGACATACCACTGGGCCAAGCACCCAGGAAATGTGACTCTCCCGCCTGTGCCCTGCCTGTATTGGGCAATGTTGTGACACATCTCAGAGCTGAGCACCTAGGTGATGTAACTCCTTTTTTGGGAGCTGTCAATGGAAGGGATTGTGACATATGTTTGGCCAATCACCCAGATGATGTGACTCTCTTGCCTATAACTCAAATTGGGGAGAAATTATATCTTGACAATATTGAGATTTTATGTTCATGCACATTAAATGTCTTTCTATTTATTAAGATCTTCTGTGATCTTTCATGGCTCTTTCATTAGAAATTTGTAGTTTTCATTGTATATAGATCTGTGTGTCACAAAGGTCTATATGACAAAACTGAGACAAAGACAAACTGACGGATTCTTCCAGTTTTTGTGGATGGCTCTGGGCTGGGGCATTCCTTTAACACACATGCATACTGTTGAAAACTTTGCTTCAGTCTTCACTTTCTGCTGAGCTGAGCCTGAAGGTCAGCCAGTGCTGAAAATGAGGGTCTTCTTGGGTCTTTAAGAAAATGTGTTTTTCGTGGTTATGCACAGAGTGCTTTGTCAATTTGCCAGCATACCTGGGTGCTTTTTAATAGCCTAATTTGTAAAACAAAACAAAATCTCACGTTAGCTTTTTATTCTTGGCTTTATGTGACCTATTGCATGTGTCATCTGTAATCTGTTCTCCAGGGGGCTGCTGGCTTTCAGTTTCCTTAAAATACTCCCAAGTAACTCGTGCCAATTTTTTAAACTGATTTTTTTCTGACTTAGAGAAAAAAGAGAGCCTTGTTTCAGACCTTTGGATAGCCCTAATACAGATTTTAATGTAACAACACAATACTTTGCAAGTAAGACCTCCTCTTTTCCCTCTGGAACCACTGAGCAGAGGCCCATACTGGCAACTCAGGATGTTGTTTTTAAGACTGCCATCAAGTAAGGGAAGGATTTGGGCAAGGACGTGTAAAAAGTCCACGAGGCTTTTCTCCTGTTCTTCATTGTTTTTCTTGATTTTGTATTTACATGGTTGCTGTACAACTTGATGGTTTTCAACAGGTTTTACAACATCGTTTCTGACAGTTCTGCTTGTTTTTCCCTGTTTCTGTGGAGGAGCAGGTGTTTGGAGCTGTACATTCTTGCCATTTTGCTGATTTTACTCTCTCTGGGCTCTCAGTTGTACTTCGTTGATCTAAATGACTTTCCTTGTGTCGTTACTACACCATCTTGATTAAGGTTGCTTTGAGGCAAATTTTGAAGTTGTAATTTGTGAGTCCTCTTATTTGGCATCTTTTTAAAGATTTTTAAAGATATTCTTAGTCCCTTTTAATTTTATATGAATTTCAGCATCAATGCTTCAGTTTTTACATGGTAGTCACCTTGAATTCTAATTGTACTGAATCTAATTGTACTGGATGTAGACTGTTTGGGGAGTTATTGTCATCATAATGTATTAAACCTACTGATTCATAAACATGGAATGGTTTCTCATTTATTTAGATCTTCAACCTCTTTCGATAAGGTTTGTAGTTTTCAGATTACAAGTTTCTTTCACATTTTTAAAAATTTATTTCTATGTATTTATTATTTAATTGCTATTGTAAATGGATTTGTTTTTGCCTCAACTGCATTATTAGATATTTCGTTGCAAGTGTATAGAAGTATAATTGATTTTTGTATAATAATTTTGTACCTCTGACTTTGGTGAATACATGATCTTGGTTGCTTCCAAGTTTTGTGAAAACTACAATTAATATTACTGTAAACTTTTTTGTGCAGGTTTTTGTGTGGACTTACATTTTCAATTCATTTGAGTAAGCTAACCTTTAGGAATTTGTTTGGAGTTCAGAAGACACCACCCTGCCACATAGGATCGAGTTAAGAAAAACTCATTTTGTGCAAATCAAGTTTATGTGGGCCTATGATGAGGTTCATGGAAAAGCACTGTGTATAGTTGTGTGAATTTGAGCCCAGTGATTTATTATGTATTAATCTTGCCCTGTGTAGCAGATGTTCTAGGAGGTGCTGCAATGACTAAAACAAAACAAATAATTCTGCCCACTTGAAGCTGATATTCTAGGAAAGAATAAATATATAATACAAGTAAAATAAACAATGTGTAAGATAGTGGTTACTGCTAATGTGGGAGGAGAGTGTGGTAAAGAGAGCAGAGGTCTAAACTGGGTGTCTCTCTGAGCATTTATTTGTGTGTTTCAGCTGCTAACTCTGACAGTTAGCAAGCTTGTGTGTCTTTGTCTGCATGTATCCACCTTTACGTGCAGTGAAAAGTCTGCTTTTGTATTTATGCCTGGGTGCTATGTGTGTATTTGCTTTGAAATCACTAATACTTTTATGTTCTTGCCTAATTTCCTAGCTAACAGCTTTTTTTTACCATGTTGAATAGATGTCGTGAGAACAGACATCTTTGTCTTATTTCTGATCTTAGGTAGAAAGCATTTTGTCTTTTAACATCAAGTATGATGTTAGCTGTGGGGTTTTTATAGATGTCTTACAATATCTTTTCTATTTCCAGTTTATTTAATGTTTTTATCATGAAGAGTGTTGAAGATTTTCAAACCTTTTTACTTTGTATTTTCCCTATATTAATACCTTGCCAGATGTATTATTAGAGTATTGTTATGGAGTATGTTCTATTATTCAGAGTTGTCCTGTTACTCTATTGATAGTGTCCTCTGAGAGACAAATTCACTATTGATGAAGTCATGTATCTATTTTGTTGTTGACTGAGCTTGCATCATATGCAAGAAATTATTCCCACATCTAATGGTATGAATATTTTGCCCTATCTTTTTTTTAATAGTTGTTCAGGTTTAAGTTTTTCTTTTAGGTTTTCGATGCACTTCGATTTCATTTTGTATACAGTGTAAGGTATAAGTCCAATTTTATACTTCATTATGTGAATATCTAGTTTTCCAAGCAAATTTTTTTTTTCTGAAGACTTTCTTTTCCCACTGAATAACCCTGGCAACTTGTTAAACTATTTTATCATATATGTGAGGATACCTTTCTGGGCTCTATTTTATTTCATTTGTTTGTAGTCTCTATCCCAGTACCACACTGTTTTGAGTAACATGACTGTGAGTAACTTTTGACGTTAGGAAATTTCTCATTATGAAATTAGAGCTTTGAACATTTTTTTCTCTTTTTTTTGCGATCGTTTTGACTATTCTTGGTTCCTTGAGATTTCACTTGAATTTTAGAATGTTAGTTTCTGTTTCCATTTAAAAAAAGTTATTGGGCTTTTGATTGGGATTGCACTGCATTTATAGATAATTTTAGGAGAAATTGCCACATTAGTACTTTTAAGAGAGTTTCCAAGATGGCTTACTGGATGCAGCCAGGAAGTGTTGCTCCCAAAGAGAAAGACCACAATTTTGACTACATCAACATAGTTTGAATAGATATTTGGAGAGAAAATGCATAGTGTGGATGGAGAAAAGGTGCGTTTTCTAAGACTGAAGAGCAAGGAAGCTGGGGTGCCCTTATGGGGTGCCTGAACGCTATGACTGCTTTTTGGCCCTGAGTGGCATCTGGGGAAGAAGTGAGTAAAGGGACTGGGAGGCTGCTCACTCTCGCTGCAGACCACTGGGATCCTGGCTGCAGGAAGCTCCACACCCCCATGGACATGTGAGTTGGCAAGGAGCTCTCCCTGGAGAGTAGATGGAGATGGAGCTGTAGCAGGCACAGAGCCAGGACTTTTTATCATGGGTCAGATCTGGTGGAGCTCAACCATAAAGTCCCACCTCCGTGGCTGCCTATCTCTCTCAGAGGCTTTGGCCCCAGCTAAACTGCAGGGAGAAAGCAAGGCCTGCTTACCCGCAGGATTGGGACATGTCTATCCTGTAGGCATGCCTGTCCACCAGCCTCTTACATGGCCCCTGCCTGGCTTCCTGGGAGAAGCATGTATACATTGTAGTTTCTGCTACCCAACCTGGATGCTTGGCTCCACCTGAATGCATTCTGGCGGCCCAGAAATCCCTCAGATCCCTCACCACACTTGGAACCTGGCCCTAAGCATCAGGAAGAGGGAGTCATAAGCAAGTCGTGGCACTCCAGTGCTGTGGCCTGTGGTTCAGGAGTGCCAAGCTGGGATCTGTGCTGGGCAGTTGAATTGGGGAGGAACCCACACTCTTCAGAAACTGAGAGGCCAGATTCACACAGGTTCACAGGCTGGCGTGGGCCCTAGGCACACCTCCTTCCACAGGGCTGTTATGGTAAAGATGCAGGGTATTTTTCTAGAAGACATCTCCCTGAGGGAGCCCCACAGCTTGAAACACCTAACAACAATGACAATAATGATAATGATAGTAATAGGCCGGGCGTGGTGGCTCACGCCTGTAATCCCAGCACTTTGGGAGGAGGAGGCGGGCGGATCACGAGGTCAGGAGATCGAGACCATCCTGGATAACACGGTGAAACCCCGTCTCTACTAAAAATACAAAAAAATAGTCGGGTGTGGTGGCGGGCGCCTGTAGTCCCAGCTAGCCGGGAGGCTGAGGCAGGAGAATGGCATCAACCGAGGAGGCGGAGCTTGCAGTGAGCCGAGATCCTGCCACTGCACTCCAGTCTCTGGGCGACAGAGCGAGACTCCGTCTCAAAAAAAAAAAAAAAAAAAAGGAGATAATGATAGTAATAATAATGGGCATAGTGCCAGTGATTGAAAGTGAGTCTCTCAAGACTCATGAACAGACCTGTACCACAGAACATAGTTGCAAATAAAGAAGATACACAAAGGAACTGCATGGTAAAGAACCTATCTACATCCCACTGCTCTCAAGTGCTATCTACTGGATCGCAGTAGAGATTACACCACCAAAAATCACTTTACTAATTCTTCCCCTGTGAAACCAAGAGCAAGAATTCAACAACAAAGACACTGTACAGAGTCCTAGTCCTCTGAAAACCTTCAAAAAAAGAAAGCCAATAGACTATACTCAATTTATACCCCAATTAGAGGTATACCAGTTCTCTCAGATGAGAAAGAATTGGCTCAAAATCTCTGGCAATGCAAAAAGCCAGAGTGTCTCCTTCAAGAGAGCCCACTAGTGCCCCAGTGATGGTTTTTAACAGTCTGAATTGTCTAAAATGACAGACATGGAAAAAAGAGCAGGGAAACTCATTTAAATTGAGAAGAAAGTTGAAACTTAACCCAAGGAAGCCAAGCAATCCGGTTAAATGATTCAAAACCTGAAAGATAAAATAGCAATCTTAAAAAATATCTAAACTAAAAAATTCTTGAGCTGAAAGATTTACTGTGAGGATTTTATAATAAAATCAGAAGTATTTCCAGCAGAATAGACTAAACTGAGAAAAGAATCTCAGAGCTCACTGTTTTATTGAATCAACATAGTCAGACAAAAATAAAGATAAAAGAATTAAGAAAAATCAACATCCCCATTGAGAAATATGAGATTACTTAGAGAACAAATCTACAATTTATCAACATTTCTGAGAGAGAAGGAAAGAGAATAGGCAAGTTGGAAAATATGTATGAAGATATAGTTCATGAAAGTACCTCTAATCTCACTAGCGAGGTTGCCATTCAAATCCAAGAGAACCCCAGTCAGCCCCTAGTCAGATACAATAATATATGACAGTCTGTATTAGTCAGTTCTCACATTGCTATAAAGAAATACTTGACACTGGGTAATTTATAATGAAAAGAAGTTTGGTTGGCTCACAGTTCTGCAGGCTGCAGCGGAAGCATGCAGCATCAGCTTGGCTTATGGGGAGCCCTCAGGAAACTAACAACCATGGCAGAAGGAAGAGGGGGGCAAGGCATCTTACATGGAAGAACAGGAGCAACACAGAGAGCGAGGAGGTGCTACCCATTCTTAAACAGCCAGATCTCATGAGAACGTTATCGCGAGACAGCACAAGGGGCTGGTGTTAAACCATTCACAAGGATCTATCCCCATTATCCAATCACCTCTCAGCAGGCCCCACCTCCAACATTGAAGATTACAGTTCCACATGTGATTGGGGCAGAATCACAGATCCAAACCATATTGCTATTTCCATGTCACATAGTCATCAGATTCACCAAAGTCAGTGCAAAAAAAAATTTAAGATCAGTTAGAGAGAAAGGGCAGGTTACTCACAGAGTGAATTCCATCAGACTAGCAGCAGACCTCTCAGCAGACTCCTTGCAACCAGAAGAGGTTAGGGGCCTATCTGCAGAGTTTTTAAAGGAAAAAAAAATTAACCAATAATTTTATATCCCTCTAAACTAAGCTTCATAGGTGAAAGAGGAAAAAAAAATTCCTTTGACAAGCAAATGCTGACGTGATACATTTAAACTAGACCAGCCTTACAAGAGGTCTTTAAGGTAGTGCTAAACATGGATTCAAGTGAATGATATCTGCTACCAAAAAAGCTCACTTAAGCACATAGCCCACAGGCACTATAAAGCAATAATGCAATCAACTCTACATAACAACCAGCTAACAACATGATGGTGAATTCAAAATCACACATATCAATACTCACCTAACATGTAAGTAAGCTAAACACCACAGTTAAAAGACACAAAGTGGCATCCTGGATAAAAAGACAGTACCCATCCATCTGTTGCTTTCAAGACACACCCTTTGCCTCAGAGTAAAAGGGTGGAGCGTATTCTACCATGCAAACGAAACAAAAACAAGCAGCAGTCACTATTCTTATATTAGATAAAACAAATTTAAACCAAAAAAAAAAAACACTAAGAGGGACAAGAAGAGCATTTTGATAAAGGGTGCAATCTAACAAGAAGCCTTAACTATCTTAAATATATATGTGATTACCACTGGAGCATCCAAATTCATAAAATGACTTCTTCTTTGCCTACCAATGAAAAGAAGAATAACAAGGGCATATTGATAAAGGACAAAATCCTGTGAGAAGCCTTAAATATCTTAAATATATATACACTTAATATTGGAGCACCCAGATTTACAAAATGACTTTTTCTTTCCCCACAAAAAGGCTTAGACAACATCACAATAGTAGTAAGAGTCTTCAACACCCTACTTACAGCATTAGACATATCACTGAGGCCAAAAAAAAAAAAAAAAAAAACTAACAGGAAAACTCTGGAGTTAAACTCCACACTTGACCAATTGGACCTAATAGACATCTATTGAAAACTCCATCGAACAACCACAGAATGTACATTTTTCTCATCTGCACAAAAAAAAATTCTAAGATCAACCACGTGCTCAGTGATAAATAAAGCCTGAATAGATTAAGGAAAAATGAAATCTCACCAAGCACACTGTTGGAGCACAGTACAATAAAAAATACAAATGCATACCAAGATCTCTCAAAACTACAGAAATACATGAAAATTAAACAACTTACTCCTGAATAAATCCTTTGTAAACATCAAAGTAAGGCAGAAATATAAAAATTACTTGAAATTGATAGAAATAGGAACACAACTTACCAAAATTTCTAAGATGCAGCCAAAGCAGTGTTAAGAGAAAACTTTATAGCCCTAAATGCCTTTATCAAGAAGTTAGAAATGTCTCAAATTAACGATGTAACTTTGCACCTAAAGGAACTTGAAAAAAAGAACCAACCAACCCCAAAGCTAGCATGAGAGAAGACATAACAGCAATTAGAGAAGAATTTAATGAAGTTGAGATGCAAAAATGTATACAACAGTCCAAGAAAACAAAAAATTGGTTCTTCAAAAAAAATTGATAAGCTCCTAGCCAAATTAACAAATATAAAAAAGAAAGAGAAGATCCAAATAAGCACAATAAAAATGACAGGTTATATTAGAATGGATCAGATAGAGATACAAAAGATCCTCAGCGAGTACTATGAACAGCTCTGCACGCAAATTAGAAAATCTGGAGAAAATGAATAAATTCCAGGAAGCACACAGTCTCCCAAGATGGAATCAGAAAGAGATCAAAACTCTAAGTAGACTAATATCAACTTCTGACATTGAGTCAGTACTAAAGAACCTACCAACAACAACAACAACAACAAAAAGGCCTGAAACAGGTAGATTGGCTGCTGAGTTTTACCAGACATACTAAGAAGAAATGATATCAATCCTACTAAAATTATTTCAAAATATCGAGGCGGTGGGGCTCCTTCCTAACTCATTCTTTGAAACCAGCAGTAGCATGATATGAAAATCTGGCAGAGACACTGTGAAAAAACAAAACTTCAGACCAAGATCCCTCATGAACAGAAAATGTAAAAATCCTCAACAAAATACTAGCAAACCAAATTCAGCACCACATCAGAAAGGTAATACACCATGGTCAAGTAGGCTTTATTCCTGGGATGCAAGCTGGTTCAACATATGCAAACCAATAAATGTGATTCACCAGCTAAATAGAATCAAAAGTAAAAACCATATGATTTTCTAAACAGATACACAAAGGTCTTCTTAATAAAATCCAACACTACTTCATGGTAAAAATCCTCAATAGACTAGGCATCCAAGGAACATACCTTAAAATAATAAGAGTCATCTATGGGAAACCCACAGTCAACATCATACTCAATAGGTTAAAAACTTAAAACTATTTCTATGAGAACTGAAACAAGACAAGGATGCTCACTCACAGCACTCCTATTCAGCTTAGTACTGGAAGTCCTATGCAGAGCAATCAGGCAAGAGAAAGAAAAAGTAACGAAACAGGAAAAGAAGTCAAACTATCTCTCTTCGCTGAAAATATGATCCTATGCCTAGAAAATCCTAGAGATTCTGCCAGAAGGCTCCTAGAATTAATAACTTTAGTATAGTCTCAGGATACAAAATCAGTGTAAACAGTACTGATTATGGTGAAATAAGTAGCATTTCCATACACCAACAATGTCCAGGCCAAGAGTGAAATCAAGAACACAATTCCACTTAAAATAGCCACAAAAAAGAGAAATACCTAGGAATACAGATAACCAAGGAAATGAAAGATCTCTTCAAGGAGAACTACAAAACACTGCTGAAAGTCACACACCTACAACCATATGATATTTGACAAGGCTGGCAAGAACAAGCAATGGGGAAAGGACTCCCTAGTCAATACATTCTGGGATAACTGGCTTGCCATAGGCAGAAGATTGAACCTAGACCTTTACCTTGCAACATGCCCCAAAATTAAATTTAAATGGATTAAAAATTTAAGTGTAAGACCTCAAACTATAAAAATTCTGGAAGATAACCTAGGAAATACTTTTTTGACATCAGCCTTGGCAAGTCGTTTTTGGCTAAGTCCCCAAAAGCAATTGCAACCAAAACAAAAATAGACAAGTAGGACTTAATTTGACTAAATAGCTTCTGCACAGCAAAATAAACTATCAACAGGGGAAAGAGGCATCCTCCAGAATGGGAGGAGATATTCACAAACTATGAGTCTAACAAAAGCCTAATATCCAGACTCTATAGGGAACTCAAATCAACAAGCCAAAAAAAAAAAACCATTAAAAAATAAAAAATGGGCAAATGAGATGAACAGATATGCCTGAACAGAAGATATACAAGTGGCCAACAAACATGAAAAATTGCTCAGCATCAGTAATTATCAGATAAATGCAAATCAGAACCACAATGAGGTACCATCTCATGTTAGTCAGAATGGCTATTACTAAAAAGTCAATAAATAACATGTTGGCAAGGCTGTGCAGAAAAGGAAACACTTTACGTCACTGGCAGGATTGTAAATTAGTTCAGCAATCATGGAGAGCAGTCTCGAGATTTCTGAAAGAACTTAAAACAGAACTACCAATTTACCCAGCAATCCTACAACTGGGTATATACCCAAAAGAAAATAAATCATTCTACCAAAAAGACATATGCACTTGAATGCATCACTGTGCTATTCACAATAGCAAAGATGTGGGATCAATCCAGACGCCCATCAATGGTATATTGGATAAAGAAAACCTGATATGTATACACCATGGAATACTACACAGCTGTGAAATATAATGAAATCATGTCCTTGGTATGAACATAGGTGGAACCAGAGGCCATAATTTCAAGCAAATTAATGCAGAAACAGAAAGCCAAATACTGCATGTTCTTACTTATAAGAGCTAAACATTGAGCATATATGGACATAAATATGGGAACAGTAAACACGGTGGACTACTAAAGTGTGCAGAGGGGAGGACAAGTTAATATACTACATATTGGTTGCTGTGCTCACTACCTATGTGCTCCAAACCTGAGCATTATACAATATTCCTACATAACAAATCTGTGCCTGTAACCCCTGAATCTAAAATAAAAGTTGAAATTTTTTAAAAAGTCTTTTCACCTATGAACAGAAGATACTGTTCCATTTATTTGTACCTTTGATTTCTTACAGCAGCATTTTGAAAGTTTTTATTGTACAAATAGTTTGTCATCCTGGTTAAATTGATTCCAGAGCATTTTATTCTTTTTAATACTGTTGTTCATGGTATTGTTTTCTTAATTTCCTTTTCAGATTAATCATTATTGGTGTGCATCAATGCAACTGAGTTTTGTAAGTTAATTTTGTATCCTGCAACATTACTTAATTTGTTTAAACTGTTTTGAGGTGTTTTTCTGTTTGTACAATCTTCAGAATTGTGTGCATACATGATTACTGTGAACAGAGATATTTCTATTTTATTCTTTTTAACATACGCATTTTTGTCTTTATTTTATTTTTGTTATTGCTTAAGCTAAAGTTTTATATACTCTGTTGAGTGGAAGTGGTAAAAAAGAGGAACTATTTTTAGTTCCTGATATTAAGGGAAAACATTTTTTGTATTTCACTGTTGATTATGTTGTGTGTTTGTACCATGAATGAGTAATATCTTGTAGAATGCTTTTTCTGTGTAAATTGAGATATTGTGGTGTTTAACAGTACTAATGCGGTATATTATGATTATTTGTTTATTTATTTATTATTTATTTATTTTTAGAGACAGGATATTATGATGTTGTTTAGACTGCTCTTGAACTCCTGGACTGAAGTGAACCTATCACCTTAGCATCCTGGGTAACTGGGATTACAGGCACAAGCCACTGTGCCTGGCTACATTTATTGATATTTATATGTTAAAGCATCTTTGCACTTCAGTAATAACTCTCAATTAGTCTTGGTAGATAACCCTCTTATTATTCTGCTAAATATATTTTGCTAATATTTATTTTATAGTTTTTATATTATTTATAAAGAACATTTTTCTTCAACTTTCTTTTCTTGTAGTGCTTTTGTTCATTTTTTATGTCACTGTAATTTTGGCCTACCTCATAGAATAAATTTGGAAGTGTTTCTGCATCTTCAGGTTTTTGCAAGAGTTTGAGGATAATTGGTAATTAATTCTTAAAATGTTTGATAGATTCAGCAGCATAACAGTTTTGTACTTTTTTTTTCTGGAGGGGTGATTTTTGCATCAATCTGCAACTATAGGTCTGTTCAGATTTTCTATTTGTTCATGACTCAGTGTCAGTACATTGTGTATTTCTACATATACATGTGTCGACTTTATCAACATTATTCAATTTCCTTGTGGTCTCTTAGAGACTTATTTAACAAGATCTGAGGCATACAGTTCTTTCAGTTGTATTCTGCTACCATGTATTTATTCTGCTGTTGATGTAGTGGTTATGTGAGAGCTTAGGCAAAGCACTCTATTGACTTATGCATTAGCCTCATTAAAACAAATCAAAACAAAACAGTGTATCCCTAGGCTGTGAATTTCATGAGGACTTCTCACTCTTTACCTCTCTTAACTGGATCAAGAAGGTTAGAGGGGGATGGAATTGGGCATTTCTCTTACTCCAGGAAGTCTGGCTCTGGTAAAATCTCAGTTGGTTAGGCTTTTGATACATAGTTTATATTGAAGATAGGAATGTTAAAAAGAAAATTTTCTGGGAATAGTTAAAAATGGCTACATTTCCCTTCCTCCTACTGGAATCAAGAAGCATTTTTTCTATCATCTTCCCTGTAAAAGCCATGTCATGTTTCTGAAAGTAAAGTTCATAAATTTGTATACCCTGAAAATGTTAATTCTCAAACTTTTAGCCATTCATCAACAATGGTTTGTTTTCTTACAACTGTATTTGTTCCCATAGGGGTTTCTTGTGGTTTACTAACCAAGTAAGTTATAATTCTCTGGATGTGTGTGTCCTTCTGTCCAATTTGGGATGGTGATTTGCCCTGTGAACTTATTTTTCTGATAGATGTTAGGAGAATTGCTGGCCTATGTTTCCCTTTTTACTTTCGCTGATGCGAATGTCACCTTCTACGTCCTTACTTGCCAGGCTGACCAAAAGGAACTATCTTCACTTTTTGATGGTTGTCTCTATTTTTAATCCTAAACCGTGTGTGTGTGTGTGTGTGTGTGTGTGTGTGTGTGTGTGTGTGTGTATAAAATAATACAGTAAGAGGAAACCTGGGTGGTCCCTTTTCTGGTACCAGCAGCAGATTGAAACCATTCAAACCCCTGTCCATGGGAATAAATTCTCACCCTAGCATGCCACCTACCCTCAATAAAAATCCAGGCCTGGCTCCTTTTCTTGCACATTCAAGCCATGTCAGATCACCTTGAAAGGCCTTCCTACTTACCTCACAAATGTAATTTATGTGAGTAGTAATTTCTTACCCTCTTAAAGCCACATCTTTGCAAGTGACTAACAATTGGTGCCATGAGCAGACTGTTCAGACATTGCCCACCAACCTGAGGATCTGTCTTCTCTTGCTAAGTTGCTCTGCTGCTTAATGTCTGGCATGTACTTTGACCTGCTGCTTCCGGAGGAGTTAGTGCTTTGAGCTGTGCCGCTCTGTTTATTGTTCTGCCAAATTTGTGAACTAAAAACTCAGACTTCCACATTACAGGGGGAAATGACACAAATCGTGGGGTTTGATTCAAACATAATAAATCTTTAAATTTTTATCATGCAATATAGTCACAAACGAATGAATAAAACATTTATCATAAGTTTTAGTGATAATAATGAAAACATTCTTAGAATCATCAAGATTTATTACATATATTTATAATATATATAATTAATATATAATATATAAATATATTTTATTATATATATTTATAATATATAATATATTATATAATATATTATATAATATAAATATATATAATAAAATATATATTATATATATTAATTATATTTATATATATAATTATATATATAAATATATATATTTATAATATTTTATATATATATATTTTTTGCCCCCGCCGCCGCATATTTTTGCCCCCGACGCCGAGGCTTTTTGCGGCTTTTTGCCCCCGCCGCCGCCCCTTTTTGCCGCCGCAGATTTTTGCTCCCGCCACCGCGGCTTCTTGCCCCCGCCGCCGCGGCTTTTTGCGGCTTTTTGCCCCTGCGGCATTTTGCTCCCGCCGCCGCCGGTTTTTGCCGCCGTGGCTTTTTGCCCCCGCCACCGAGGCTTTTTGTCCCCGCCGCCCCAGCTTTTTGCCCCCGCCGCCGCCGCTTTTTGCCACCGCTGCCGCGGCTCTGAGGGCGGGAGCAGCACACTCGGCTGCCGGCTCTACCGGCGTCCTTGTTCAGGCGGCGCCGGGGGGCGCTCCTGGTCCAGCTCTCCCGGCTCGGGGGTTCCTTGCCTAGGCGCCCGCGCCCCGGGCTCCCCGCCTTGGCCGCTGCGGCCTGCATAGAGCGGCGCTGCGCGTAGCGGCCAGGGGAGAGAAGAAGGAGGGCGGTGGCGGGGGTGATGTGGCGGCCTCTTTGGGAGGCGCAGGGGCCGCAGCCAGCCAGACGCTGCAGCAGTGTGGGCAGCTCCAGAAGCTTGTGGGCAGCTCCAGAAGCTTATCCGCATCTCCATTGGCAGCCTGCGCCGGTTGCGCAACAAGTGCGCTGTGTCCAAGGACCTCACCCAGCAGGAGATACGGACCCTGGAGGTAAGGGGGTCGTGGACCCAGGCTGGGCTCGAGGAGCGGCCCAGACACCTCCCTCCGTGCCCAAGTTCACTCCTGGCCGAGTTGCATCCTTGAGCCCCAGTCGCCCCGTTGGAGGCTTCCCCTCCCTCCTGCACTCGCTGATGCGGCAGCCGGAGGACCCGGGACCAGCCCTCACCTTGGGCAGGATCTGTGGGGCGGGTGCGTCGTGGGAACTGGCAGGGAGGCTTGAGGGGCCCATGGGCGAGGTGGGCTGCGAGCGGACATCCCCTTACCCCCTGAATTTCCATCTGGTCCAGCCCTCTCATCTTGTGGGTGAGGAAACCGAAGGCCTGAGGGAGAACTGACTTGCCTGGAACCCCTGTTAAGGAGAATTAACAAAGTGTGGTTATTAAAGGAGCACTGAGTTGGGAGTGAGACCTGGAGGCCCACACCCTTGGTTAAGACATAATACCACCTTGAGTCTGGCCTGTTGACTGAGGGTGAGCCACTCCATCCTCATCTGATTGTGGGGTCTTGACCTCAAGGGGTTGCCTGAAGGAAGAAGCACATGGGTTTGCTTTCCTAGCTCTGTCCAGTACCTTAGGGACCCTGAGGACTGGAGAGATTCTTGGAGAGCCATCTGGTGTATATCATGGGTGGGCCTTTTTTGAAGGTCAGTCTGCCCAGTGGGCTGGCTCAGCCCCAATGAACTGTCTTGAATCTTTGGAGTTGTCTGGGTACTTTTAAGGGCTTCTCATCCTTGCACCAAAAGATCCCCTGGAAATTAGGTGGGAAAACCTTAACTTTTGTGGGGCCTTGTGTTTGTCTTAAAAGTTCATGCACATGGCCAGATGTGGTGGCTCACACCTGTTATCCTGTCCTGGATCCCTTGAGTCAAGGAGTTTGAGACTAACCTGGACAATATAGTGAGACCCTGTCTCTACAAAAAATAAAATATTAGCCAGGGGTGGTTGTGCACATCTGTAGTCCCAGCTACTACTGTGGCTGAGGTGGGAGGAGCACTTGAGCCTGCACTGAGCTGTGATCTCACCAGTGTACTCCAGCCTGGGCCACAGAGCAAGACCCTGACTCAAAAAAAAAAAACCAACAAGAAAAATACTTGAAGATTTTTGCATTCTGTCCCACTACCCATTGGTTGTCATGTGAAGATAATGTCAGAAATTCTTTACAATTGCTTCCAGAAGGAGTAGCCTTTTGATCTAGTGCACAGGTGTCTTTTGGCTTCTCAGGGTCACATTGGAAGAAGAATGCTCCTGGGCCACATATAAAATACACTAATGCTAACGATAGCTGATGAGCTTAAAAAAAAAAAAAGGTTTGTGCATAATTTTCATGATACCCACCACCACAGATAGGTGGAAAAGTCCTTGTAGTCAAAGGGTTGGACGCGGCTGACCTAGTGTCTTGTCATCCGTTTTGGCTTCCTCCCTGATTCCAGAATGCAGGTATAGATGTAGAGACGTGCTCTCAGGACAGCTGTTGAGATAAAAAATTCTTTGTCATTTATTCCCAAGCACAGCTGTTTGTCATTTGCATTGAAAAAGTCTCCATTCAAACTGCTGTCACATATAAAATCTATTTATGTAAGTCTGTATTTTTCTGTAGTCTTGGCCTTTTGGGCAGTAGTGTGTTTTAACCGAGCAAACTGTCCTTCCAAATAATGAAGTCGAAGTCAGCCTACCTGCTTGCCATTTTTCTTCCCCTTCCATTTTTCTAACTTCAGGATAATTGTAAGAATGAATTAAACTTTATGTTGAAGGCCGGGCACAGTGTCTCAGGCCTGTAATCCCAGCACTTTGGGAGGCGGAGAGGGATGTATCACTTGAGCTCAGGAGTTGAAGACCAGCCTGGGCAACATACTGAGACTCCGTCTTGTATAATTAAATTAAAATGTTTAAAAAGAAGAGAAAAAGACCTGTGTTTAAATTTTAAAAAAGGGGAAATTGTAATGCAAAATGTGGACTATGCCAGCTATGATTGGGAAAAATAATTTTTCCTACAGCATTATCTGTAGACTTGTATTAGCAGCATACTGGTCATAAGCGTTTTGCTTTCCTCAAACATGATGAGGTAAGCTACTTTAAAGTGTGGTAGGGCTGTCTTCCACGTGGCTCCTGGTGGTGTTGAGTCCCAATTTAGCCAATTAATTTGGGTTTAGTTTTGATGTGGATAAGGGAGACCAGCTTCATTCATGGTGCACACACAGTTTTGCCAATAAGGGAAAAAAAAAGCAACCTGAATGTTCCTACTCATTAGATTCTATCTGGAGAGCTCCTACCCCACCCCCACCAAGGCCCAGACCCTTAAAAAGACTCAGTGCAGCCTTTCTGTATCTCATACTGTATTCTGCAAGATGCTCCTGTGAAAGAAAGTTGTGCTGCATCAGCCGTCTCCCTCCTGAAGATCCCTGCGGATGAGGATTTGTGTTTTAAAGGTTCTGAGAAGTCCTGCAATGACAGTCCTCAAACGTATTTGTCCAGGGGATCTTTTCTTCCACTGAACGTAGTTGGGGAGACACGGCCTTAAGCCTTGAGCAGAGAAAGAGACAAGAAGCTGTTGGCTCACTTACAACCAAGTGTTGTGTTTATGTGTTAGGTTTTCATGAAAGTGAGGTGCTGTTTGAGGTTCTAAATCAAATTGGGTGGTTGAGGAGAGCCTGGTATCCCTGTAGACTTAGCCAGCCATGAGAGGTTGCCTTTTGTTGAAGGAGGTATTTTACAAAGGGAAGTAGGATGTCTCCTGGGCATCACATTAGCACTTAAATATATGTATCACTGAAATGAAATGAAATGATGAAATGAAATGATGAAATGGTGAAATGAAATAATGAAATGAAAGGAAATGATGAAATGAAGAAATGAACTGATGAAATGAAATGATAAAATGATAAAATGAAATGAAATGATGAGATGAAGTGAAATGGTGAAATGATGAAATTAAATGATGAAATGATGAAATGATGAAATGATGAAATGGAATGATGAAATGATGAAATGGTGAAATGAGATGATGAAATGAAATGACGAAGTGAAATGATGAAATGAAATGAAATGATAAAATGATGAAATGAAATGAAAAGATGAAATGATGAAGAAATATGAAATGAAATGAAATGAGGAAATGAAGTGAAATGATGAAATGATGAAATAATAAAATGAAATGAAATGATGAATTGATGAAATGAAATGATGAAATGAAATGAAATGATGAGATGAAAAGATGAAATGAAATGATTAAATGAAATGATGAGATGGAAAGATGAAACGAAATGATGAGATGAAATGATGAGATGAAATGATGAAGTGAGGAGATGAAGTGAAATGATGAAATGAAATGATGAAATGATGAAGTGAAATGATGACATGAAATGATGAAATGAAATAATGAAAGGATGAAATGATGAGATGAAATGATGAAAGGAAATGAAATGATGAAATGAGGAAATGAAATGAAATGATGAAGTGAAATGATGAAATAATGAAACTAAATGAAAAGATGAAATGATGAAATGAAATGATGAAATGATATGAAATGATGAAATAAAGTGAAATGATGAAATGATGAAATGAAATTAAAAGAAATGATAAAATGAAATGATGAAATTATATGAAATAATGAAATGATGAAGTGAAGTGAAATGATGAAATGATGAAATGATGAAATAATGAAATGAAATGAAATGATAAATTGATGAATTGATAAAATGAAATGAAATGAAATGACGAGATGAAAAGATGAAATGAAATGATGAAATGAAATGACGAGATGAAAAGATGAAATGATGAGATGAAATGAAATGACTAGATGAAATCATGAGATGAAATGGTGTAATGATGAGATGAAGTGAAATGATGAGATGAAATGAAATCATGAGATGAAATGATGAAATGATGAAATGAATGAAATGAAATGAGATGAAATGATGAGATGAAATGATGAGATGAAATGATGAAATGAAAGGAAATGATGAAATGATGAAACAAAATGAAATGAAGAAATGAAATGATGAAATGAAATGATAAAATGATGAAATGAGATGAAAAGTAATGGTGAAATGAGGAAATGAAATGAAATGATGAGATGAAATGAAATGAAATGATGAAATGATGAAATGGAATGATAAAATGATGAAGTGATGAAATGGTGCAATGAAATGAGGAAATGAAATGAAATGAAGAAATGAAATGATGAAGTGAAATGATGAAATGAAATGAAATGATGAAATGATGAAATGAAATGAAAAGATGAAATGAAATGAAGAAATGATACGAAATGATGAAATGAAATGAAGTGAAATGAAATGATGAAATGATGAAATGATGAAATGAAATGATGAGATGAAAAGATAAAATGAAATAAAATGATTAAGTGAAATGACGAGATGAAAAGATGAAATGAAATGATATGAAATGAAATGATGAGATGAAATGAAATCATGAGATAAAATGATGAAATGATGAGATGAAGTGAAATGATGAAATGAAATGATGAGATGAAATGATGAGATGAAATAATGAAATGAAAGAATGAAATGAAAGGATGAAATGATGAGATGAAATGAAAGGATGAAATGAAATGATGAAATGAGGAAATGAAATGATGAAACGAAATGATGAAGTGGAATGATGAAATTATGAAATGAAATTAAAAGATGAAATGATGAAATGATATGAAATGAAATGAAATGATGAAATGAAGTGAAATGATGAAATTAAATGATGAAATGAAATGATGAAATAAATGAACTGAAATGATGATGAAATGAAATGATGAAATGAAATGACGAGATGAAAAGATGAACTGAAATGAAATGATGAAATGACGAGATGAAAACATGAAATGATGGGATGTAATGAAATGATGAGATGAAATCATGAGATGAAATGATGAGATGAAGTGAAATGATGAGATGAAATGAAATCATGAGATGAAATGATGAAATGATGAAATGCAATGATGAAATGAAAGAATGAAATGAAATGATGAAATGATGAAATGACATGAAAAGATGAAATGATGAAATGAAATGATATGAAATGATGAAATAAAGTGAAATGATGAAATGAAATTAAAAGAAATGATAAAATGAAATGATGAAATTATATGAAATGATGAAATGAAGTGAAATGACGAAATGATGAAATAATGAAATGAAATGATGAAATGATGAATTGATGAAATGATGAAATGAAGTGAAATGACGAGATGAAAAGATGAAACGGTGAAATGAAATGAAGAGATGAAAAGATGAAATGAAATGATGAGATGAAATGAAATGACTACATGAAATGAAATCATGAGATGAAATGGTGTAATGATGAGATGAAGTGAAATGATGAGATGAAATGAAATCATGAGATGAAATGATGAAATGAATGAAATGAAATGATGAGATGAAATGATGAGATGAAATGATGATGAGATGAAATGATGAAATGAAATGATGAGATGAAATGATGAGATGAAATGATGAAATGAAATGATGAAATGAAAGGAAATGATGAAATGATGAAACGAAATGATGAAATGAATAAATGAAATGATGAAATGAAATGATAAAATGAAATGATGAGATGAAATGTAATGGTGAAATGAGGAAATGAAATGATGAAATGAAATGATGAGATGAAATGAAATGATGAAATGATGAAATGGAATGATGAAATGAAATGATGAAATGATGAAGTGATGAAATGGTGCAATGAAATGAGGAAATGAAATGAAGAAATGATGAAGTGAAATGATGAAATGAAATGAAATGATGAAAAGATGAAATGATGAAACGAAATGATATAAAATGATGAAATGAAATGATGAGATGAAGTGAAATGATGAAATGATGAAATAATGAAATGAAATGATGAAATGATGAATCGATGAAATGAAATGATGAAATGATGAGATGAAAAGATAAAATGAAATAAAATGATTAAATGAAATGATGAGATGAAAAGATGAAATGATGAGATGAAATCATGAGATGAAATGAAATCATGAGATAAAATGATGAAATGATGAGATGAAGTGAAATGATGAAATGAAATGATGAGATGAAATGATGAAATGAAAGAATGAAATGAAAGGATGAAATGAGATGAAATGAAAGGATGAAATGAAATGAAATGATGAAATGAAATGAAATGAAATGATGAAGTGGAATGATGAAGTGGAATGATGAAGTGGAATGATGAAATTATGAAATGAAAAAAGATGAAATGATGAAATGAAATGATGAAATTATATGAAATGATGAAATGAAGTGAAATGATGAAATTAAATGATGAAACGAAATGATGAAATAAATGAACTGAAATGATGAATTGATGAAATGAAATGATGAAATGATGAGATGAAAAGATGAAATGATGAAATGACAAGATGAAAAGATGAAATGATGAGATGAAATGATGAGATGAAATGAAATCATGAGATGAAATGAAATGAAGTGAAATGATGAGATGAAATGAAATCATGAGATGAAATGATGAAATGATGAAATGAAAGAATGAAATGAAATGATGAAATGAGATGAAATGAAATGAAATAATGAGATGAAATGATGAAATGAAATGATGAAATGATGAAATTAAAGGATGAAATGAAATGACATGATGAAATGAAATGATGAAATGATGATGAAATGAAATGAAATGATGAAATAGATGAACCAAAAATACTTATTGATTTTTTTCTTGGCATCCTTCTAAGAGTATTTTAGTGAGTTTAATTTCTAAAAATAAATTGCTATTCAATGGCTATACAGATGGCCTTTGCACCACAAGGGTTTGAACTGTGCAGGTCCACTTAGCAAAACCAAGAATTCTACATCCTTCTCCACACCCTGCCCATGAAAAGGATGAGGATGAAGACCTGTTTGATCATCTACTTCCATTTAATAACGAGTAAGTATATTTTCCTTATGATTTTCTTTTTCTTTTCTCTGGCATGTTTGTTAAGAATACAGTATATAAGACATATAACATATTAAATATGTGTTAATTGGCTGCTTGTGTTATTTGCAAGGCTTAGTATAGGCTATTAGTAGTTATTTTGGGGGGAGTCAAAGTTATAGTGGATTTTCTACTGTGCAGGGGGCCAGCACCCCAACCTCCGTGTTGCTTAAGGGTCAGCTGTACATGTTATTTCCTTTCCTGTAAGAGAAAAATGATGAGAAGGTATTTTCTCCAATAAGTGTACTCAAAATGTAGCAGACTTGAAATGTGTTGGCGCCACCATTTTGCATCTCACTTTGAAAACTTATTATTAAAAATCGTACTAAACCCTACCTTACTTTTCCAACCTTAGAAAAAAATGTTACAAAGAAAAGGGGTGAAACCATACTAGTTTGCACTGAAATTTGAAATTATCTTTTAAAAATATATTTTTACTTTAATTACTTCCAAAATAGAGATCAGTTGCATATAAATGGCAGGTCACCTTCATCCACCCTATGACTGCACTTAGATTCATGAGGAATTGTGCCATGTACAAAGGGCAGAGAAGAGGAATAGAGTGCTCTGCGTCTTGAAATATAAACATGCACATAGCCACATGCTTTGATTCTGTTGTCACTGTGTACCTACTACTAGGAAGAGGGCATGTTTGTGTATTTTTATGCCAATTATTATCCAAGTTGTTAATGATTTAGGCTTTCAGAACCATATAAAAATTTTTTTCCTTTCAGATATAGGCTATCTTGCATTGTTCTTCTGATCATATGAGGGATAAATTTGCCTAAATATTCTTCAGACCATAGTATTATGTCCACATAAATGCCAGTAGCAAGAGTAGAATCAACCACAACTGCCTTTGTAATTATTTAAAGCATGTGTGCCTATAAGTAATTGGCATTTTATATAATCAAGAATCTTTGATATAATAATCTCTCAAGCATTTGAAACATGGCTCACATATATTAATTTTATATGCAAATATATATATAATAGCATTGTATATGAAACAAAATTTTGGACTTTACAACAGTTTCTTAGAATCTTGACTTAAATGTCTACAGTAATATTTCACTTAAAAAAATTTAGCACACTGTCACCATGATAAAAAAATTACTATAAAATTATTTTAAATTTTTTTCCACCCTAACATTTAGAATATTCTCACAATTGTGGTTAAAACCTATTGTGATTGCTCTTAGAATTTAGATAAAAAATGTTCCAGAAAGTTTGAAGAGAAGCACTTTAGTCAATTTTTAGTTGTTCAAGCATGAAGAAACGGCATTTCATTGACTTTTTAAAAACCATTCAGATTCTCTCTTTGAATTCAAGTGTTTCAAGGATATTTTATTTTAAAATACCAAAATAGGAATAGAATATGAAGGGCTGGTTATGAGAAATATAATACACTTTTATGAGAGGATGAGATTACAATAACAGATGGCAGCATCTGCTCATTGGAAGGCAAAGGGGAAACTGGCACTTCACATGGCTGGAGCATGAGGGGTGGGGGCAGATGCTACACACTTTAAAACATGATCTCATGATAACTTGCTATTGCCATGAAAACACCAAGGGGGATGGTGTTAAACCATGAGAAACTGTCCCCACGACCCAATCGCCTCCCACGAGGCCCCATCTTCAACATTGGGGATTACAATTGAACATGAGATCTGGGTAGAGACAGAGATCCAAACCATATGACTCTGTGAGCATTAAATATATGCAGAAAAAAGAATCTGACAGATTCAACATCTATTAGTGATGAAAACTCTCAACAAATTAGGTATATAAAGAATGTGCAACTACACAATAAAAGCCACATATGACAGAGTCACAGCTAGCATCATAATCAACAGAGAAAGAAGATCCAGAACAAGACAAGGATGCCCTCTCACCACTTCTATTCAGTATAGTACTGGAGGTCTTAGAACAGTTAGGCAACAGAAACAAAAGGCATCCAAATTGGAAAGAAAAACGTTGAGTTGTTCATTTGCAGATGACATGATTTTTTTTTCTTGAGACAGTCTCTGCCACCCAGACTGGAATGCAGTGGCATGATCACGGCTAACTGCAGCCCACACCTCCCTGCCTCAAGTGATCCTCCTGCCTCAGCCTCCTGAGTAGTTGGAACTACAGGCATATGCCATGACACATGGCTTTTATTTATTTATTTTTTTTTTGAGACGTGATGTATGTTGCCCAGGCTGGTCTCAGACTCCCAAGCTCAAGCTCCATGAGACTGATCTGGGCAATGATATTTTGGATTTTACCCTAAAAGCACACACAACAAAAGCAAAAATAGACAAATGATATTACAGCAAACTAAGAAGCTTCTGCACAGCAAAGGATACAATGAACAGAGTGGAGAAAACCTACAGAATGGGAGAAAATATCTGCAAACCACACATCTGATAAGAAGCTACTATCCAAAAAATATAAAGAATTCAAACAACTCAATAGCAAGAAACAAAGAAATTTGAGGCCAGGCGCGGTGGCTCAGACCTGTAATCTCAGCACTTTGGGAGGCCGAGGCAGGTGAATCATGAGGTCAACAGATCGAGACCATACTGGCCAACATAGTGAAATCCCTTCTCTACTAAAAACACAAAAATTAGCTGGGCATGGGGGCGCACACCTGTAGTCCCAGCTACTTTGGAGGCTGAAGCAGAAGAATCGCTTGAACCCTGGAGGCAGAGGTCACCGTGAGCCAAGATAGCACCACTGCACTCCAGCCTGGCAACAGAGACTCCGTCTCACCAAAAAAAAAAAAAAAAAAAAAAAAAAAGGAAAATGGGCAAAGGACTTGAATAGTCATTTCTCAAAAGAAGACATACAAATGACCAACTGGAGTCTGAAAAAATGCTCAAATCACTAATCAGGGAAATGCAAATCAAAACCACAAGATATTTCCTCACACATTTAAGAATGGCTATTACCAAAAGCAAGAGATAAGTGTTGGTGATGCTGTGGCGTAAAGGGCAGCTTGTACGTTTTTGGGATTCTGATTAGTATAGCCATTATGGAATCAGTATGGAGGTTCCTCAGAAAATTAAAAATAGAACTACCACATGATCCAGCAATTTAATTCTGGGTATATATCCAAAAGAAGTGAAATTGGCACTCCCAAGTTCATTTCACTATTATTCACGATAGCCAAGATATGGAGTCAACCTAAGTGCCCATCAACAGATGAATGGATTAAAAATGTGGTAAATATACAGAAAGGAGTACTATTCAGCCATAGAATGAGGGAAATCCTGTCATTCGTGACAACAGGGATGAACCTGCAGGCCGTTATGCTAAGTGAAATAAGCCAGACGCACAAATACCACATATTCTCACTTATATGTGGAAGCTAAAATGATAGAACTTAAACAGAGAGTAGAATCATGGTGACCAGAGGCTGGGGTGGTTGAGATCTGGGAAGGCTGCATATATGTTAATCAAAGGATATAAAATTTCAGTCAGAAGGAATAAATTCAGTAGATCTAACCTACTACATGGTGAATTACACTTAATAACTTATTGTACTGTTGAGAAATGCTAAGAGAGTAGGTGTTAAGTGTTTTAACCACAAAAATGATCAAAATATGTGACAATACATATGTTAATTAGCTGGATTTAGTCATTCCACAATGTATATATACTTCAAAACATCATGTTCTACATGGTAAATACATACAATTTTAATCTTCTTTTGCATTAGAAAGAAAGGAGTATTTCCTCATTTTTCTTCCCAGCCTACTGAAAGATGGGATGGGTAACAATCTGAGTTGTAAAAAAAAAGCTCCATTATATAGATAGGGCACCAAATGTTTGCTTTGCCTTTCCTCTCAGCCCTGGCCCATAGGAAGCCAGTTAGTAACAGTGTCTATCTGCAGTTCCTGATGTAGGGAGATTAAAATATTTCAGTCTTTCAAGTTTCATCGGAATTCATTTTCTAAATTTTAGCTGAGGTTGAAATTCTTCCACAAAGATTAAAGACCCTAAAGAAATCAAGCCCCATGATTTTATTTTACACAATGTAACATTTTGATGAAATTTCCTATATAATAAATGTCATAGTATATGGGTAGGTGATTGGATGGTTTCAATTATCACTATTAACTGTTGTTCATCAAGTCCTACTAATATTTCCCTTATGTTTAATGCATTTAAAGAAAAATAACTTTGTTCTGAGCAGAAGACAGCTTTGCTTCACTACTTAAAATTAAGCTGCATCATTGTTACCTATATAGATTTTGTTCACTGTGTTCAGGCATAGTATCATATAAAATTATATTTGAGCCATTATATAAAATAAGACATTATTGTTCATCTAATAGCAAATCTCAATTAGTCCAAGAAAATAACAGAAACATATTGTTGGATTATATATATCTTCTAGAAAATGCTTATACCACAATATTCTGAATGAGCTAAAATAATAGATACATAACTCTATACAATGCCCAGATAATCTTGTTTTGACTTCCTAATTTATTTGCTTTCATATTCCTTGAATTTATTGCTCTTTAAATATACCCTGGAATAACTACAGTACATTTCATTTTCATTTTTAAAGAGGAACTTATACTTTTTGTGCTATAAAATCCAGTAACATCCAATTTCCAAGCTATGGCATTTATATGAGTAATTTTTGATATTTAATCAGATTTGACATTTAAGAGTTTCTTAATTTTATGAGCATGGAAGTGACAGAAATCATTTGTATTAATTCTGATATTAAGTTCTTACAGATATTCCTTCAATGTTATTAAATCTAAAAAGTGCTTATTTAAAAATCTGAGACTATGTGCAAAAATAGCTAAAATCTCTTATACAGTTATTAATATTTTATTAGACAATGGTATGTTTGAAATAATACTGTAATACATTATTTCACTGTATACATTAAAATTTAAGTGTATTTATTTGTCTTTTTTCTGCTATAGAACTTAACTGCAAGAAAAAATATTTGCTTTCTTTTTTAAGTTCTGGAAATGCTTTAATTGGACCTTTAATGTTAAATATCCATTTCAGTGAACAGCTTCCATAGTACTGGACATAATATACATTTTTAAAAACTTACTTTTTAAAAATTTAACTTTTAAGTTCAGGGGTATATGATGTGCAGCTTTGTTATATAGGTAAATTGTGTCATGGGGGTTTGTTGTACAGATTATTTCATCACCCAGGTATTAAGCCTAGTGCCCATTAGTTATTTTTCCTGATCCTCTTCCTCCTCTCACCCTTCACCCTCTGATAAATTATTCCAGTTTTATAAAGGATAAAACTTATCTGGTTTAAAAATTTTGTGTTCAAGAGTTGTTTAGGACTTGTGTGCCTAACACAAGTAGTTATTTGTAGCGGGATTTTTAAGGAATCAGAGAGAACAGTGGGGTTCAGGAGGATATTTATTAATTATTTAGGTGCACTGGCCCAGTCAGATAAATATTCAAAGGACTGGGATTACAGATTTGAGCCACTGCGCCTGGCCCCAAACTTTTTGATTATGTAAGTTTTATGCTCTGTACAGTTCCTCCTGTCTCCACTTAATTTTACCTACTTAGCCAAATGCCCAGTAGTCATTTTATCCTTTGAAAGTTTCAGATAATTGCTCACCTTCTTCCAATTATTTTTTGTTCATTAATTTTTTTCACAGGGTCTTTAAGTATGTATGTGGCTCTGTACTTAATACTTCAGCTCCTCAATCAACAAACTGTTCTCCAGTTCTTTTCCCTGTGACAAAATGCATGAGACTGAAAGGTGCCCAATTCTCCCATAGACCGGATGTATACAGCTTCCTTGAATAAACAGAGAAATTGATTCTGCTAGTCTTAAAGAAAGTTACATTTGTTTCATTTGATTTCCTTGAAACTTACCAGCCCAGGGCCTGACAATGAGAAGCCAGCCCCTCAGCCCCTATGATTGCCTAAGGCAACACCTGCTGCCTGGTGACCAACTCCTCTTCCTCACCCCTTCCCAATTCCTGTTTTTCCACACATGGTTACATTTCTTCCTGGCTAGCCCTGCAGGACCCCCAGCCTATCCACTAACCTGGATGTTGAGAAAGGCTCTCTTGGCCCCCTTCCCTGCCCAGCTCTTTCTGTCCTCCTGCCTCTGCCCTGCCCCCACCCCTTCCACAGAGGCCCAGCTCCACAGGGCCTGGGCCTGTGAAAAATCGCGGGGGCGGGGGGTGGTGCGCTCTGCCAGGGGAACCTGGGGAGGTGGGGCGGTTCTCCAAGTCCCCTTGGTCGCACCCCCGGCCGTTCCCGACCTTGCATTCCCACGCAGTTTCCCTGCCTTCTCTGTGCAGCCAAAAGGGACAAATGCACAAACTGCAAGCTGGCACACCAGGTGAAAGGAGCGGCTGCGCCTGCAGAGGTTCTGGGACCCAGGCTACTGGTGGCCTTTCCTGCACCAGGTTCCGATCTTACCCGCGTCCTGTACCCTACTCCTGCTGGCACCCCGCTCCTACCAATGCCCTGCCCTGCCCTGCCATCACCCTTCACCTACCCACTGCCCAGTCCTAACCGCACCCCACCCCGCCAGCACCCTGCTCCTACCCACACCTGGCCCTGCCAGCACCGCATCCTACCCGCGCCCCGCCCTGCAATCACCCTGCCCTTACCGCACCCCGTCCTACCCTCCCATGCCCCTCCAGCACCCCGATCCTACCCGCACGCTGCGCCTACCCACGCTTCCCCCCGCCAGGACCCTGCCCTGCCCCGTCAGCATCCTGGCTCAACCTGCACCCCGCTTCTACCTGCGCCCTGCGCCACCAGCACCCTGCTCCTACCCGCACTCTGCCCCTTCCTGGACCTGGCCCAGCTGTCACCCTGCTCCTACCACACCCTGTTCCTACCTGCATCCAGCCCCGCAGCACCTAGCTCCTACCTGGACATTTCTCCTACTGTGTCCAGAATTGGTGGGTTCTTGGTCTGGCCGACTTCAAGAATGAAACCACGGATGCTCATGGTGAGTGTTACAGTTCTTAAAGGTGGAGCAGACCCAAAGAGTGAGCAGCAGCAAAATTTATTAGAGTAACATGTAATTTTTAAAAGTAGTTTTAGACAAATCAAGACAATTTCATTTATGGCACATAAAATTCCATAATCTTGTGCATAACACTTTACAATGAGAACTTTTGTTAACCAGGACACATTATTTTCTATGTTCATTCTTTTGACACGTAGATTTATGTTTCCCTCCTAGACTTTCTTGTAAAAATGCCTGTTTTTGATTCCTCAGAGTACAGATAAAAAGGAAGGCTTGATCAGGATATGGTGGATCTGAAGATTCAAAGAAGTGCCATGGCTCAAAAGTAGACATTTTGGTAAATGTGAAGAAGTGAGATTCAATGAAGATGATAAGAAATGAAAGGTGTTACCAAAAGTGGGTATGTGTAGCTATGCTTGTCACACAAAATAGGCTTTAAGTCAAAAAAGCACAAAAATAGAAAATAAAGGTCATTATAAAATGATAAAGGGATCAATTCAGTAAGAAGGTAGAACAGTTGTCAATGTAAACACACCTGACACAGGAGCCCCAGTTATTAAAGTAAGAGTTATTCGAGCAACAGAGTCAGACAATAATAGCTGGGGACTTCAACACCCACTTTCAGCAACAGACACACCTTCCAGGCAGAAAAGCAACAAAGATCAGACTTACACTCCAGTATAAATCAAAGAAACCTGATAGGTAATTACAGAATATTTCACCCACCAACTGCAGAACTTGCTCACAAAATCAGCTCACAAAATATTCTCCAGGATAGACCACATTTTAGGACACAAAACAAACAAATCTCAAAAGAGCATTTAAAAAATGAAAATCATAGCAAGTATCTTCTCAGACCAAAATGGCATAAAATTAAAAGTCAATAACGAGAAATGTTGGAAACTCTCCAAGTACATGGTATATAAATAATGGTAATGGTCAGTGAAGAAATCAAAAAGGAAAGTAACAAAAACATTTCTTGGAAAAAAAAAGGAAACAAAAGAGAAAAAAATACATATAGTAGGTGTTTTTGAAGTAAAAAATGCAGAACAATAAAAAAGTTAAAAGATACAATAAAATAAACTTTTTCTGAACTAAAAATTGATTTGAATAGTTTCATTGGTAACAAAATGACTGGCAGGGAAAGGTGATGTCCCTGAATAGATAGGATTTTTTTTTTTTTTTGAAGGAGTCTTACTCTGTCGCCCAAGCAATTCTCCTACCTCAGCCTCCCGAGTAGCTGGGATTACAGCCATGCGCCACCATGCCCAGCTAATTTTTTTTTTATCTTTAGTAGAGATGGGGTTTCACCATGTTGGCCAGGCTGGTCTCAAACTCCTGACCTCAGGTCATCCACCCACCTCGGCCTCCCAAAGTGCTGGGATTATAGGCCTGAGCCACCATGCCCAGACAATTAGATAGGCTTTTAAAGTCACAGCAGAAGAAGCAGGAATGTTTGTAACCAGTGGCCAAACAGTATTAAACTCCTGGGTTGTTTTGGGAGGACTCACTACAACTACAGCCCAACTACATTTATTATGCCAGATAACACAGTGCTGAGGGGACATACTGGAGTTGACAAGATCCCGTGGGGGCACAAGTGGCAATGGCTGTGCACCAGTGGCTGGATATTCCTGAAAAATGAAACAAAATTAAACTAGTGGTCATCCAAGAAGATGTAGAATTAACGTACTGAAAAGCATTGATGAACATGGTCCAGGTCAACAGGAAAGCTGCAGGAATCATGTACCTGTTCAGTGCCCATGCAGCCACTGACATCACTGGCTTCAGGGTTTGGGAACAGGTACAGAATGTGACCAGGCAGCAGAGGTACTCTGTTTTTAAGAGTGCTTTCACGGGCAGGCACGGTGGCTCACACCTGTAATCCCAGCACTATGGGAGGCCGAGGCAGGCAGATCACCAGAGGTTGGGAGTTCGAGACCAGTCTGACCAACATGGAGAAACTCCGCCTCTACTAAAAATACAGAAAATTAGCTGGGCACGCTGGCGCATGCCTGTAATCCCAGCTACTTGGGAGGCTGAGGTAGGAGAAGAATCACTTGAACCCAGGAGGCGGTGGTTGCAGTGAGCCGAGATCGTGCCATTGCACTCCAGCCTGGGCAACAAGAGTGAAACTCTGTTTCAAAATAAATAATAAAATAAAATAAAAAGTGTTTTCACATATGACAGACATTACCAATAGCAGTTGGTGTCTTTTCATTTTATGTATGTTTATCGTATAAGTCTGATCTTTTTTTAGTATCTTGAATGGTTTTCTGGAAAGACAGCATTGGTAAGTGGCACACGATGGTAACCCAGTTGTAAGAGGGTTGCAAGATTCTCTTTGATTTGAAAAGCCTAGTCTTGGACCGGGCGCGGTGGCTCACGCCTATAATCCCAGCACTTTGGAAGGTTGAAGTGGGTGGATCACGAGGTCAAGAGATCGAGACCATCCTGACCAACACGGTGAAACCTACTAAAAATACAAAAAAATTAGCTGGGCATGGTGGCGCCTGCAGTCCCAGCATCTCGGGAGGCTGGGGCAGGAGAATCACTTGAACCTGGGAGGCAGAGGTTGCAGTGAGCTGAGATTGCACCACTGCACTCCAGCCTGGCAACAGTGAGACTCTGTCTAAAAAAGAAAAAAAAAAAAAAAAAAAAATAGAAAAGCCTAATTTGTCACTCAAGAGCATTGCACACCCAGGACACTTTCCAGTACTGCATTCTGTTCAACACAGTAAGTGCTTCACTGCATAAAAAACACTTTGAAGACAAAAAGAAATCTTTTTTTGTAGCCTTCCTGATATTTACAGTAATACTATTAACTGTTTATTGACAGCAAAAATGAGATTTTTTTGCAATGCGATGTAATTAGGTATTTTTGTTTGTTTGTTTGTTTGTTTTTTAAGACTGAGTTTTACTCTTGTTGCCCAGGTCAGAGTGCAGTGGCACAATCTCAGCTCAATGCAACCTCTGCCTCCCCGGTTCAAGCGATTCTCCTGCCTCAGTCTCCCTAAGGAGCTGGGACTACAGGCGCCCACCACCACACCCAGCTAATTTTTTTGTATTTTTAGTAGGGATGGGTTTTTGCCATATTTGGCAGGCTGGTCTCCAACTCCTGACCTCAGGTGACCTGCCCATCTTGGCCTCCCAAAGTGCTGGAATTACAGGCATGAGCCACTGCGCCCGGCCAAAATTAGATGTTTCTTAGTGTAACAAGGAATTGCCCTCCAAAAGGAAGTTCATGTATTATGCTCATTTGCAATATATAATTAACTATGCAAATAATTTTTAAGTTTAGTCAATAACAAAGATTGTTCTGTATATGCTACTGTTTAATATCTTTTTTTTTTTTTTTTTTTTTTCCTGAGACAGAATCTCACCTGTCGCCCAGGCCAGAGTGCAATAGCATGATCTGGGCTCACTGCAACCTCTGCCTCCTGGGTTTGAGCCAATTCCTCTGCCTCAGCCTGCTGGGTAGCTGGGACTACAGGCGCACATCACCACACCCAGCTAATTTTTTATTTTTAGTAGAGATGGACTTTCACCATGTTGGCCAGGCTGGTCTTGACCTCCTGACCTCAAGTGATCCTCCTATCTTGGCCCCCCAAAGTGTGGAATTACAGGCGTGAGCCACTGTGCCTGGCAAATACATTTTGTAAAATTTTGTATATTGATTTCAGGCCTTTTATTTTCTTAAAAGCAGCAGCTATTTAGCCTAATTCTTAGCAGTGTTTTGTTCTCTGGGCCAGTAGTATTTTATACATGCTTTTTGTGATCCATGTTCAAAGTCTGAATTGCCAATGTTGCAGCTCAAATGTAAGCTTGTTATTCAAATAAATATTTAATTTTTGAACTTGCTCCTGTATGGCTGGGTGCAGTGGCTCATGCCTGTAATCCCAGCACTTTGGGAGGCTGAGGTGGGTGGATCACCTGAGGTCAGGAGTTCAAGACCAGCCTGGCCAACATGGTGAAACCTCGTCTCTACTAAAAATACAAATATTAGCTGGGCATGGTGGTGGGCACCTGTAATCCCAACTACTTGGGAGTCTGAGGCACAAGAATCACTTGAACCTGGGTGGCAGAGTTTGCAGTGAGCTGAGATCGAGCCACTGCACTCCAGCCTGGGCGACAGAGTGAGACTCCACCTCAAAAAAAAAAAAAAAAAAATTGCTCCTGTATTACTAGATGCCCCTTTTAGTATTATTTTAGAAGCATTGGGAGGGTTTTGACTAAAGTGCAATTTACCGGAAAAGACTAGATTTTAGCTTTTTAGCTTTATGAAACTCTTAAATCTTTCATGGGACCTATATTTTCTTGAATTAAATTTTACAGTTCTAGGTTGGGCACAGTGACTCATGCCCATAATCCCAGCACTTTGGGAGGCTGAGGTAGTTGGATTGTGTGAGGCCAGGAGTTCAAGGCCAGCCTGGCCAACATGGTGAAACCCCTGTCTCTACTAAAAATACAAAAATTAGCCGGGCAGTAGTGGTGTGCACCTGTAATCCCAGCTACTTGGAAGGCTTAGGAAGGAGAATCACTTGAGCCTGGGAGGCGGAAGTTGCAGTGAGCCAAGATCTTGCCACTGAACTCCAGTATGGATGACAGAGTGAGACTCTGTTTCAAAACAAAACAACAACAACAAAAACTGTAGTTCTAGAATAAATAGGTGATCTAAAAAGGTGTTATCTGTGTTACTTAAAAACAGAGGCTTCCATATATATATATATATATATATATATATATATATATATATACTTTTTATTATGAGATGGAGTTTCATTCTGTCACCCAGGCTGGAGTGCAGTGGCATGATCTCGGCTCACTGCAACTTCTGCCTTCTGGGTTCCAGCGATTCTCCCCCTCAGCCTCCTGAGTAGCTGGGACTACAGGCGTGTGCCACCACACCCCTAATTTTTGTATTTTTTGTTAGAGACAGGGTTTTACCATATTGGCCAGGCTGGTCTCAAACTCCTGACCTCAGGTGATCCATCCACCTCGGCGTCCCAAAATGTTGGGATTACTGGTGCTAGCCACCGCACCCTGCCGGCTTCCTTGTATTTTAACCCACTAAACAATGAGGAGGAATCCTTCTCATTAAGCGCAAGGGCACTAGATCCTTGGGTCCCTGACTTCCTAAGAGAAGCAGCATATCCTGAAAGTTTCTGACACTTCCTGCTCACAGGCACCAAAGCCTCATGTGTAAACGTATCCACTTCTTGCCAAAGGAACCCCCCCCGCCGGGAAGATGAAGCTCCCTGGAAGAGGCTTCTTGGACATGACCATCTCCAGGAACCAGCGGGCAACCTTCATGTGTGTGTGACCAGACCTCCAGCTATAAGCATGGCATGCAGTACAGAAGAGCCTGCTATGAAACTGAAATTGATTGGACATTTTATAGGAATTGATAGAGATGATGGTCTTCAAAAGCTTTAAATCTGTGATCTGCAAAATAAAATGTGTTGGAAACCTCTGGCCAAAATTTTTTTTTCTTCTACTATATTTGGAATATTTTTCTTCCATTGTTAAGTACACATATGTATTGTACAAAATGTCCAGGAAAATGCCATACAATAATGAACAATGAGCTATACACATTTATTTATTTGAGATGAAATTACACGTTTATTTATTTGAGACAAAGTTTCACTCTTGTTGCCCAGGCCAGAGTGCGGTGGCATGATCTCAGTTCACTGCAACCTCTGCCTCCCAGGTTCAAACGATTCTCCTGTCTCAGCCTCCCACGTAGGTGGGATTATAGGTGCCAGCCATCACACCTGGCTAACTTTTTGTATTTTTAATAAAGACGGGGTTTCACCATGTTGGCCAGGCAAACTCCTGACCTCAGGTGATCCACCTGCCTCGGCCTCCCAAAGTGCTGAAATTACAGGCATGAGCCACTGCTCTGGGCCGGGATATACCTATTTAAAGTTGTTACCAAGCTTCAAGGATCAAAAAAAAGATTCCTAAGGAGGGGACATCTGAGAAAAGAAGAAGTTGGGTTCAAATATATATTTTTCTCAGAATTTTCCATAGCAATGTTTAATGCTAGAAGAAATGGAATAATTTGACACATGTATATGCACACTGTATATATAACTAAATACATATAAAATGGTCTGGAATTATAATGCGCAAGCCAATAGCATTAGTTACTTCTGAAAAATGTACTGGAATTGAAAAGAAGACATTGGTCTTTAAAATTTTAATTTTTAAAACAGAATATGAAATACATTAATAATTACCACCCCAACAATAATAACAATGCTGAAGAAACCTCTACCAAGTAATCAGGACAAGACCATGTGATCCAAACAGGTATGTTCAAGTTGTTTTTTAAGTAGAAGGAAGCAAACATCATTTTCAAATATACAAGGACAGACCCATCTCATGAAATAATTTTGATGAGCAAGAAATGCCTGGAGAAGCCATGACTTTTAAAAAATTGATAGTAAGCAACCAATCCATTATAACATTGTTAGACGATTGTAAAAATGGTTATAGAATTACATGGTTTACAGAATTACATGCTGTAATTCCTCAAGGAGGAATATGGTGGGTAAGTTCTTATATATGTAACATAGATAAATGTGAATGATGTGTTAGAATTTAAATTATGCCAAAAGAAGTGTGTTTTTGATGGTGTTATCAGATTAGATTCTTACAGAAAGGTTGAAGGATCTTTCAGAAAGATTCCAACATGAAACAAAACAGAGAATAAGGTAATAGAAAGCCATTGTAGGTTCCTGGATGGTATGGCAGATTATATCCCTCTTAAGAAGCATTTCTTTTTCCCCTCCCCCACCTGCACGTACTACCCCATTTCATTAATGTTGGACTTGACCATGTGACTTTCTTTGCTCAACGTAGCATTAGCAGAATTGGTTCTGCCATTACTGTGACAAGAATAACAGAAAGCTGACTACTGTTCCTCTTCTTTAGTTCCAAAAGTAAAAATAAAATGGGTGTTAAGAGACAGAATACAGCCAGGCGCAGTGGCTCACGCCTGTAACCCCAGCACTTTGGGAGGCTGAGGTGGGCGGATCATGAGGTCAGGATATCTAGACCATCCTGTCTAGCAGAGCGAAACCCCGTCTCTACTGAAAATACAAAAAATTAGCCGGGCACGGTGGCGGGCGCCTGTGGTCCCAGCTACTCTGGAGGCTGAGGCAGGAGAATGGCATGAACCCGGGATGTGGGGCATGCAAAAAAAAAAAAAAAGAGAGAGAGAGAGACAGACAGAATATAAGCCACAGACTAGGAGAAAATATTTGCAAAACACATATCTGATAAAGGGCTTAGATCTAAACTAAATAGAAAATTCTTAACAATTAAAAAACAATTTAAAAGTGAGAAAAATATCTGAATAGACATCTGAACAAAGAGAATACACAAGGGACAAATCAGCAAATGAAAATATTCTCAGCCAGGCAGGGTGGCTAGTGCCTTTAATCCCGGAATTTTGGGAGGCCAAGGCAGGCAGATCACCTGAGGTCAGGAGTTTGAGACCAGCCTGGCCAACATGGTGAAACCCTGTCTCTACTAAAAATATAAAAATTATCTGGGAGTGGTGGCATGCACCTGTAATTGCAGCTATTTGAGAGGCTGAGGCAGGAGAACTGCTTGAGCCCAGGAGGTGGAGGTTACAGTGAGCAGTGATCACACCATTGCACTCCAGCCCAGGCAACAGAGACTCCATCTCAAAAGAAAAAAAAAAAACACAATTTTACAGTAAATACTAAATCTCGTTTATGACGGCCACCCCCCACCCCCAGTTAGGTGACCCATTTGGTATGGTTGGGAGATGTGACACTCAAGGCTGGTACATCAAAACCACTTCTGTGGTTTTTGCTAAAACCACGTGGTTGCCGATTGAGAAATGTACATCACTGAGAAGAATGGATGGACCGCATTTTCTCTGTGCAGCTATCAGTACACCTCTCTCTAAGCTGGCTTTTGAAAAATATGGAGTGGCTGTGAGTTTGAGGTGATAATACTACCCCCTCTCCAGCAGCTCCTGTGTTGTGGTGCACATATCAGATGGTCTTTCTAGCCAGTGAAGATAGAATCCAGATTGGAATATATGTTAAACAAAGGCTGAATCAGGACATGTGCCAAGCTGAAAGACTTTTCCAGTTCTGTACAGCTGAGCCTCAACAGTGTCTGTTACGACAAAATTGTTCTCCAAACATTAATTTGTGGTCTGCTCCCATACACTACAAATAATGGACTATGTGTCCATCTTTGACACTTACTGTGTTCCACCAAGAGGGACACCTCCCAAAGCCAGAAAATATTTATTTCACACTGAAGTCCAAGTGGCCTCACAAATATTTTCCGGATCCTAACAAAGAAAATAATCTGAGTTGAAGATCCTGTATTCAATTATTTTGGCAAATATTTCTTTCATGTTTCCTTTGTCTAAACGACTGAGCTAGGTGCTGAGATGATGTTATTCCCATCCTTAGAGCTTGTGCTCCAGAGAAGAATATAGATAAGGAGAGGGACGTCACATTACCGTCTGCACAAGGAGTGTGGGAAACCATGGAGTTAAAGGACTGCTATTTATGAGTAATCTGCAGAATGGAGGAAAGCTTCCCAGAAGAAGCCAGCCCGGGGGAGCTGTGGGCAAGCATTCCAAGCAAAAGCATTCACACTGATGTGGGCCAGACACTTCTTCTGTAAGGTCCTAAGAGCAGACTGAGCACACAGTTTGTATGTAACCAGGCAGTGGACAAGCCATGTGCAACTCAGAGGACCGTTTTTTTTTTTTTTTTTTTTTTTTTTTTTTTTTGTAAAGGAGTTTCGCTCTTGTTGCCCAGGATGGAGTGCAAGGGATCTTGGCTCACCACAACCTCCGCCTCCTGGGTTCAAGTGATTCTTCTGCCTCAGCCTCCCAAGTAGCTGGGATTATAAGCACCCACCACCACGCCCAGCTAATTTTGTATTTTTTAGAAGAGATGGAGTTTCTCCAGTTGGCCAGGATGGTCTGTATATCCTGACCTCATGATCTGCCCGCCGTGGCCTCCCAAAATACTGAGATTACAGGCGTGAGCCACCACACCTGGCCAAGATTGAAATCTTAATGAGAGAAAAGCAGTTTGGAAACTTACCTGTTTTTTATTCAAAGCCCATCCTCTCCTTCCTGTTCATGAATGGCAGGCATCCTGTGGTGACTAAAGAAGGTCCTACCAGCTAAGGGATTTCATCGGCCCAAGGAGCAGCTTCCACAGGAGCTCCAGCAGGTTCCTTGGAAAAGGTGACAGTGCTGGGCCATGGTGCCCTGTTCAGAAATACAAGACTCAGATTTAGTAAAGCCAGTAGTGTAATGTGAAATTTGTTTAAAAAATCCTTAACCAAAACATTTCATTTCATAAGACCGATGTATTCCATCAACAGTTTTTTACTGTATGTTCATACTTATGGCATTAAGAATCAGCGTGATTGGCCAGTGACGAGCATCTGGTTTGTCAGTTTTAGTGGCAAAGCTTTCCAGCATCTACAACTCTAGTCACCAAAATCAAGAATGTCTTTCTTTTCTCTTTTTACCTAATTACAAAAAAGGGACGGATTTATGAAAAGCAATATGTTAATAAATAGCACAACTTATGTTCATATCATTACCACTTCTAGCCACAAATTAAGAGTCAGGATTAAGGAAAACTTACCTAAATTTTCCCAGGCTATTTTAAAATTGTTTTTTTCCTACAAAAATAAATGTTAAATTATTCTTTTGAGGTAGTCTGAATTAAGTTGTTGCTAATTGGAAAGGACTATTAGATCTTAAGGTGAACTGACAATTTTATAAAATAAATAGACTTCCTTTCTACTATTAGAAAGTTCTAATAATGAGTTCTATTATTATAATAATACTTCTCAATTCTCTTTTAAAATATTATTAATGTCTTGGCATTTTCAGACTTAATCTGAAAATGTTTTAAATATCGAAATAGACATATCCAAAGTTTACAACAAGGGTGTGCAATCATGATGGACACACTTCCTCAAACATGAGGGATCAACCCAACTCATACCCATCACACCCTCAGCATGTGGGAATGTTAAACTATACAGGAACCATGGCTGGAAACAAAAATCTGTAGGTGTCCCTGACATAAATTCCCATAGTACTTGCCTGCATCCTGGACACACCCTCCAATATCCTTCAAATTATCTCTAGATTACTCACAATACCTAATACAATGGAAATGCTACTTAAATGGTTGTTACACTTTATTGCATAAAGAATAATGACAAGAAAAAAAGCTTGTACGTGTTCACTACAGATGCAAACATCCTTTTTTTTCTGGAATATTTTTGATCTGAGGTTGGTAGAAAGTGAGGATGCAGGACCCACAGATAAAGGGGACTGACTGTATTTAACACACACACACATATTTTCTTTTGCCTGAGTAAAAAACAAAATTGTACTCGTAACACAGCTGAAGGATGTCAAGAAAACTGTTCTTCCCATTCAACCTCAAATTGATAGAGATGACCTTCAAAATCCACATAGAACCTTTTATTTCCTTAATGCTCATTACATTTTAATCATTAGAACTAATAGTCAAATAAGTTGCCCTTACTGATAAATCCAAATTAAAACAACACAGAAATGACACTTTATTTCTTCAATAATTATTAGTGAACACCTACTTTGCATTACATACTGTTTAACCATCAGTGACATATTAATAAGCAAAAGATAAAAACTCCTGCCTCCTAAAACTTACAGTATAGCAGCACTTTATTTTACTGAATAAAACAAATCCTTGAAAATCTGTACGACTTGCTCCTATGACTTGCATGAAAGTTTCCAGAAGGTTCATGTTCAAGCAGCTTTGCTAAAGCAGAGGAAACTTCCACTTGTCTTTCTTACAAACTGTCGCAAAACACACCTAAAATTTCAACTCAGGAAATACAGTCAGCTTTTGATTAGTCTGCACTTAAGAATGTCTTCCCTTGATCCAGTAATGTGAATGCAAATAAAACATTGTAACTTATACAAAAATAAAAATTCTGAATAGATCATTTTTCCATGATTCAGTGTCTTGTTCATCTGTTTAATAAATAAGTCAGTTACTCTTCAACTTCTGTCATACTCTCAAAAGTCATGAGCAATCCAGAAGATCCATCTCTCGTATTTATTTTTATTTTCTTAAAAATTCACTACACTGAGACCAGGTGCGGTGGCTCATGCCTGTAATCCCAGCACTTTGGGAGGCTGAGGTGGGCAGGTCATGAGGTCAGGAGATCGAGACCAGCTTGGGCAACATGGTGAAACCCCGTCTCTACTAAAAATACAACAATTAGCTAAACGTGACGCACTGTAGTCCCAGCTACTTGGGAGGCTGAGGCAGGAGAATTGCTTGAACCTGGGGGGCAGAAGTTGCAGTGAGCTGAGATCACACCACTGCACTCCAGCCTGGGTGACAGAGCAAGACTCCAGCTCAAAAAAAAAAAAAAAAAAGAAAAGAAAAATTTACTAGAAGGGATTAAAAACAGATTTGACCAAGCAGAGGAAAGAATTAGCAAATCTGAAGACAAAGCAATTGAAATAATCCTGTGTCAGAAACAGAAATAAAATGGTTGCAGGAATATCAACTGACCCTAAGGGACCTGTGGGACACCATCAAGTGGACCAACAACAGTTTGTAAGAATCACAGAACAGACAGAGGGACTAAAAGAATACTTGAAGAAATAATGAAAATCTAAGAAACTTCCCAAATTTGATTTAAAACATTAAAACATTATAAATATACAAGGCTTGGCATGGTGGCTCCCACCTCTAAACTCAATGCTTTGGGAGGCCAAGGTGGAAGGGTTGTTTCAGGCCAGGAATTCAAGATCAGCCTGGGAAACATAGGGAGACCCTGTTTCTGTGAAAAAATCATAATTAAAGTTAAAAGCTGGTATGGTGGTGTGCACATACAATCTCAGCTACTCAGGAGGCTCATGTGAAAGGATTGCTTGAGCTCTTTCAGCCTGGGTGACTGAGTGAGACCCTGTCTTTTTTTTCTCTTGTTTTGAGACGGAGTTTCACTCTTGTTGCAATGGTGAAATCTCAGCTCACTGCACCCTCTGCCTCCTGGGTTCAGGTGATTCTCTTGCCTCAGCCTCCCGCGTAGCTGGGATCACAGGCACGTGCCACCATGCCGAGCTAATTTTGTATTTTTAGCAGAGACTGGGTTTCTCCATGTTGGTCAGGCTGGTCTCAACCTCCGAACCTCAGGTGATCTGCTGGTCTCAGCTGGCCTCCCAAAGTGCTGGGATTATAGGCATGAGCCACTGTGCCTGGCCATGAGACCCTGTCTCTACAAAAACTTGCTGTCAAAAAAACCACAAAGCTCAACAAACTCAAAATAGGATAAATTCAAAGTATCTCACTCAAGATAGTTTATAATCAAGGTATCAAAAGACAAAGAATCTTGAATGAAACAAGGGAGAAGTACTCCTCACATACAAAGGATTCTCAGTCAGATTATCAGTAGATTTCTTACCAGAAACCTTGGAGGCCAGAAGGCAGTAGGGTTGATTAATTCAAAGTACTGAGTAGGGAAATCCTTTCAACTAAGAATCTTAGATCTGACTGTTAGGGTTGAAAGGTGTCCACCGAAGTTCATGTCAAAACAAACAAATAAAAAATCATTATGAGATTTATGCATAGAGCTTTTTTCTTTCTTTCTTTCTTTCTTTTTTTTTTAAGCACATGGGCTATCATTAGTGTTAGCGCATTTTATGTGTGGTCCAGGACAATTCTTCCAATGTGGTCCAAAGAAGCCAAAACATCGAACAACCCTGATAAATGTACTTAACATTACTGAACTGTACACTTAAAATGATTAGATGGTAAAGTTTATGTTACATATATTTTACAATTTAAAATTAAAAATATATTTAATATGTACAAAACAGAGATGTACAGAATAAAGCAAAAAAGTAAGAATTCTTTTAGTAAATACTGGAAAACTTGGTCTAAGTGAGAAAAAAGTAACCCACATGCAAAACTCACATCATAGTTTATAAAACTATAACAGTATTAGGAGAAAATGCTGGATGGTGGGGAAACCACAGATGGTCCTGACCACTGAAGAAATGGATCAGAGGACAATGACTGATTCTAATAGGTGAATAATATTTATGTAATAATAGGTAATAAGACACATGTAAAAGAAAAAAAGAACAAAATGGGAGAATTCTGAAGCAGGCAAAACTCTTAAAATCCAACTCTACAAATAACTTACACAAATATAAAGCTGATACCTAAAATTCCCTTGATAATTTTATTTTTGGGACTTTTCCTTTTTAGGTAAGGAGCACTTTCAACACCTGATAGCACCATGCACCTGACACTCCCTGCAGTTGACATCAGTTGGTGGGGTGGGGGGGGGGACCCTCTCTTTTTTCTTTCCTTTCTTTCTTTCTTTTTTTTTTTTTTTGAGACAGAGTCTTGTTCTGTCACCCAGGCTAGAGTCCAGTGATGAGATCTTGGGTGACTGCAGCCTCTGCCTCCTGGGTTTAAGCAATTCTCCTGTCTCAGCTCCCAAGTAGCTGGGATTACAGGTGCATGCCACCAGGTCCAGCTAATTTTAGTATTTTTAATAGAGACAGGGTTTCACCATATTGGCCAGGCTGGTCTTGAACTACTGACCTTGTGATCCACCTGCCTTAGCCTCCCAAAGTGCTGAGATTACAGGTGTGAGCCACCACACCTGGCCATCTCTATTTCTTATACACAGTAATATTATAATAAGAAAGATATCAATTTGCTTAATATGTAGCCTGTTTCTGAGTTCTGTAGATGTCATTCAATAAGATAAGAAAGCTACTGATCTCATCAAATCAAGAACACAATACAGTTCCCTCAGGTATCAAAAATTGCATGGCCTCAAAATATGGGAAAGATAATATTTTATGAAATGGTGTATTTTAAGGCTGACCTACAGATAGGAATGTTTCAAGCAATAAAGCTTTGATGCAGATGTTCATTCCATATCCTGTCCTGATCCTCACCTGCCATAGGCCAGCCTGCACTTGCCTTCACACTATGCCTTCCTTCATGGCTTCAGGCTAAGATTGCCAGGAGGCTTCTGTACATGTGGTCATCTTATGGATTAAACACTTTTTTTGTTAGTTTTGTTTGTGTTTTAGAGACAGGGTCTCACTGTCGTCCATCCTGGAGTGCAGTGGCATGATCATAGCTTTCGGCAACCTCCAACTCCTAAGCTCAAGTGATCCTCCCAACTCAGCCTCCTGTGTAGCTGGGACTACAGGCACACGGCACCATGCCCAGCTCATTTTTGTGTTTTTAGTAGAGACGGGGTTTCACCTTGTTGGCAAGAATGGTCTCAATCTCTTGACCTCGTGATCCACCCACCTCAGCCTCCCAAAGTGCTGGGATTACAGTCATGAGCCACCACACATGGCCCAGATTAAATATTTCTTTAGAAGATGGACTAGAAATGGGTCATCCAAAATTTTTACTTACCTATGAAGAATTCCAATCTTCAAAATCTTTTAGAACTCAATCAGAACTTGAGAACTTTCAGTAGGTGCTGTGATTCAATAACCAGAATTCTGCTTTAGTTTATAGTTCTACAACTATTTCTGTCATTTTCCTACTAAATTACATGAAGGGAGTTGTCTGCATATGAGCTGCACCACCGAGCAGCATGGCTATCAGTGAGAAGGTGCCTTCTCAGTTAAAATGTCCTGACCAAGTTTCCCCAGAAATTTGTGAGTACTCAACTGTATTAAAACTAAATATATTGTTTTTAATGACAAATAGTCACTAATTAGTAAAATGATTACTGTGCTATAACAGAACAAGTCCTTAGCCCAAAATTAAATGGCCACAGATTCATACAAAGCTTATCAACTATCACATATCACATTTTGACAAAAATCAAGAAGACAAATGGATGATCTCTTCTTCTTTTTCTTCTGTGAGACAGGGTCTTGCTCTGTCACCCAGGCTGGAGTGCAGTGGCACAATCACATTTCACTGCAGCCTCCACCTCCTGGGACCAAATGATCCTCCAACCTCAGCCTCCCAGGTAGCTGGGACCACAGTCGCATGCCACCATTCCCAGTTAGTGTGTGTGTGTGTGTGTGTGTGTGTGTGTGTGTGCGTGCTTGTGTGCTTGTGTAGAGTCTCCCTATGATGCCTAGGCTGGTCTCAAACTCCTGGCTCAAGCAATTCTCCATCTTTGGCCTCCCAAAATGCTGGGATTACAGGCATGAGCTAAATCACACTAAATAAATTATATTTTAAAAGTAAAGTCAAAGGTAGAATTTAAAAACAAAGGAATTCTATTTCTATACTTACTAGTCCCAGGTAGACAAACAACATGGCCTTCCTGAGCCTCTTCCTGAATCTTTTCAGAAGAGTGTGAGCCATGAGAAATCAGAGCTGTTATTTTCTGGTTGAAACTGACACTTTAGGCTACTGTTTTCATTTGCCTGTTGAAAGGGTAACTCAGCTGTATTAATCATTTAAATTAAAATTAAACATTTTGAAGGGGAAAACATAGGGAGCAGACAACATCTACCTTACTCAAGGAGGCAGGTAATCAGTGTAAAAGGAATGAGAAATCACCATTGGAACCACGGGTTTAATCAATGTTTCCAGGAGGCTTCAGCAATGACGCTGAAACCAGCTGGTGAAGGTTGCCAGGGAATAAGATGTTCACAGTGCTTTGATATCTCATCCCACAGATGACTAACAACAAAAGGGAAAAGCTACTTCACAAGGAGATGTCCAGTTGATACTACCTCAACCAAAATTATTAAACATAGCATCAACAATCGTGGGACAAACAGACTCAAACATCTGGTGTGAGGCGTTAAGTACACAACACTGCCTAATCTGAATTAGGCATTATTCCCTGTTTAATCTGGATCCACTCATGAGAACACTGTTTAATCTATTCTTGCCAAAATGATCAAACTATTCTAGTCAGGAGAAGAAAAAAGCAATCAGATATATCTAGATTATGGGTCATTCTACAAAACAAAGAGCCTAGATTTTTCAAAATATTTCATGTATTGAAAGAAGTACTCCAAAGTAAAAGAACAGAGAGACATGATAACCAAAGGCGAGGTTAATCTTTGATTAATCTGTGGATTTAAAACAAAAATAAAGAACATTTTGGAGACAATTAGGTAAATCTGAATATGGGCTGTACATCAAATTACTGTATTACAGTTAGATGGTAGAACTGTGATTATGTAGAAATATGTCATTATTCACAAGAGATAAACGCTGAAGTGTTGGGGTAAAACATCTTGCTCTCTGCAACTTACTTTCAAATGATTCAGAGAAGAAAGTACTTATGGAAAGAGAAAGAAAATGCAAAGGTGGCAAATGCTAGCCACTGGTTGATCTGAATGAAGAATATGTAGATGTCCATTGTCTTTGCTTTTAATTTTCTGTAGGCAAGGGAAAGATAGGAAGGAGGTAAGGTGCAGGCATTTCTTATCAATTCATACCTGTAAAAAAACAAAGTTAAAAGAAAAGCAAAGGCTTAAAATTCATGTAAACACCCAGTGAGATTAATAGTAATTTTCTGTCAAATTTCTGAAAAGCCATTAAGACTGTAACATACCTGACTAGGATCACTTGCAGGTAACTTAAAGTATTTTTTCTGGAGGTTCCAGTCCTTCTACTTCATATGTTTTATTCCATCATTCCTGGAATTGCCAGTTGTTCAAAATAAACCTCTAAATGATCATTGTAGGACATTTCATCATCAATATCATCCTTTAATAAAATGAAGAAAAAATGAAACAGGCTCTAAAGTAGTGACTAAACAATAAATAATTTGTCATAAAAAGGGCTAAGACATAAATGAGTCAATAAAATTAAGAAAAATAAAACGGCTGTAAGGTAGTGACTAAACAATAAGTAACTTGTAATAAAAAAGACTAAGACATGAATGAGTCAATAAAATTAAGAAAAAAAATTAAGCAGGCTTTAAAGTACTGACTAAATAATTTGTAATCAAAATACCCATCAGACATAAATGAGTCAAAGTGTACAATTTATTTTTTTTGGAGATAGAGTCTTGTTCTGTTGCTCAGACTGAATGCAGTGGTGCGATCTCAGCTCACTGCCATCTTCACCTCTCAGGCTCAAGCCATCCTCCCATCTCAGCCTCCTGAGTAACTGGGACTACATGCATGCACCACTGCACCTGGGTAATGTTTTTTTTTTTTTTGGTAGAGATTGGGTTTCCCCATGTTGTCCATGCTGGTCTCAAACTCCTGGACTCAAGCATTCCAGCTGCTTTGGCCTTTCAAAGTGCTGGGATTACAGGCGTGAGGCACCGCACCTGGCCTCTTTCTATATTTGACATGAGAAAACTATTATAACTTCAGTCAATTATAAGTCATTATAAAAAAAAAATTAACCTCTTTGAGAGGACAGGACAGAAAGATCCTGACATGTTACCAAAGCTTATGGTAGGATAAATGTGCCATCACAAATGAATGGGAAGAGAGCAGGCCCTTCAGAAAATGGTGTGGCAAATGGTTACCTCTATCAAAAAAGTACAGATGAGCCTATCCTAAGAGAAGTAAAAGGAATAAAGGGAGGAAGGGAGGAGGGGGTGGGGGGAGAGAGAGAGAGAGAGACTGCAGAAGGTTTCAATGTTATAACACCCAGCTCAGCAAGGACAAGATAAAACAAGAGCTCTCAGTCATGGTCTAAGCTGGCAGTGCCTTTTTAAGAGGTTAATTTTGCAATTAGCATTAACAGTCTCAAAAACACTCATCACCTTTGACTTAGCCATTTCACCTACAATAATCTAGCATACTAAAACACTCAAAGATTGGATACATTTAGGTCAATAATTCTTCATCCATTAATTACACAATCACAAAAAATTTAAAAACTCTATTGGCAGCAAAAGCTGTCCTCAATAAATGTGATACTATTTACAGTTTCTACTTATACCACTCAGCTGGCCTTTAAAGCCATGCATACTTTTAATGTAAGTAGCCCCAGCCTACTTCTCTGGGCTTATTTACCAATGCGGCCTCCCACAGATGCTGTAAACCTGACACAGAAAGTCCCTGGCTCTTCTCCAAACACTGCCCACATGCCTCACAGCAGCACCTTTGATGATACTGTTTCTGCTTCCTGACACGTCCTCCTTCTCCTACATCTAAGGCCTGGCACAGGCCCCATCTCTTTTCATAAAGCTTCAGCCATACCTGCCTCAGAGGTAAATTTCTGACCCCCATGATTCCCAGGCTCATTTTGGTGCTGCTGGGTGTACATAACACAATCTGAAATGTGGTTCTGCATCTCTTCTTTGCACCTGGCTGAAGTTTCAGAGAGCAGAGTCTAAATAATTCATGGCTCCCTCAATTTCTAAACACAGTGCTGTATATTGAGTGGCACCTCTAGGTGACTACTTTGTACTCTAAATGTTAAATTGAGGGATGAGTGAAACCATATTAGGATTAATATACAGAAACAAATTTTTGAATTCCATCACTTAATAGAAGTGGCCATTTGAATGTTGGCATGTAGGAAGAAAAGAGGAGGACAAAGAATCCCCAAAAGTTGGCATCATAACTACTGCCACAAAAAAGGGGAATAAAGCAGAGTGGCAAGATAAAGACCAGGGAAACACAGGTTACTGCAGGACAGAAGAATCTTCCAAGCTTGTCAGTAATGTAAATTTCTCATTTTCCAATAAACTAGTGCGGCATAGGTCACTGTTTAGAGTCTTGTCTTCAAAATGTTTTCCAGCATCAAGGACAACAATCTACAAGAAACAAAATGGTGAGAAAAAGCAGCACACTCATGACTCTGAAGAGCACAGCATAAGGCTACAAAAAGGACCAAGCACCTTCTCAACCTGCAATGTGCTCAGTGTCTGAAATCATAAGTTAGGTGATGAACGGCTGGTAGTTTCACGTGAATTAATAACTTTCCTTCTTGCCCCCATGTTATCTCCCTCATCTGACCCACCCAATAAAACATCCTTAAAAGGCTCCTCTCAAATTCCTTGCAAACATTAGGCTCCTCTCAAATTGCTTGCACATGCTTGGAGAAGCTTGCAGTACAGTTAGTGCACTAATACACAACTGAACTTGAGCAACACAAGGCTTACAAGACAGCAAAGACAACAGCCAAGCTGGGCCCAGCAGCCATCACCTGAAGAACTCTTCACTCATTACGTTGGAGCAAATGATTTCTCTGGAACCAGGAACCACAGAACCCTGAAGGACAAACAGCTGGTGGCTAAGGACTCAAGGCCTGGAGTGAAAATGTAACATTTCCCTCCAAGTGCTTATTTCTGCTATAAACTGGTTTAGTTCTGCAATGAACAACTAGATTTCTAACTGATATTAATATTAATAAACTTTTTTTCTAAAAGACAGAGTCTCGCCCTGTCACCCAGGCTGGAGTGCAGTGGTGCAGTCATGGCTTACTGCAGCCTCAACCTCCCAGACTCAAGCAATCCCCCTGCCTCAGCCTCCCTAGTAGCTGGGGCTACAGATGGATTCCACCATGCCCAGTTAATTAAAAAAAATTTTTTTTTTGTAGGGATGAGTTCCCACTATGTAGCCCAGGCTAGTCTTAAACTTCTGGGATCGAGCAATCCTCCTGCCTTGGTCTTCCAAACTGCTGAGATTACAGGCAGTAGCCACTGCACCAGGCCATTAACACTTATATATGTAAAATACATACAGAATATAAACCACTACAAAACATAAATACAGTCCATCTTGATGTAACTTACCGTACTATGGATTTGTTTTAAAAATGAGGTAAAAGTCATTAAGAAAATGAAAGCATGAAAGAAGTCTATTAAAATTACAAAAACTCAAAACTGAGTAAACAAAACTTCAGAAGGAATGAAAACAATTGGAAAATAACTTCAGGAAAAATGTAAAATAGAAACAACACAAGAACAATTTGTGCCCTCTAAAAAACAGAGGTTAAAGTCAGGAAAAAAAATATTTTTTTAAGAGGAAACTTCGCTCTGTCGTCAGGCTGGAATGTAGTGGCATGATCTTGGCTCACTGCAACCTCTGCCTCCTGGGTTCAAGCGATTCTCCTGCCTCAGCCTCCCGAGTACCTGAAACTACAAGCATGCGCCACCACGCCTAGCTAATTTTTGTAGTTTTAGTAGAGACGGGGTTTCACCTTGTTGGCCAGGCTGGTCTCAAACTCCTGAACTCAGGTGATCCACCCGCCTCGGACTTCCAAAGTGCTGGGATTACAGACATGAGCCACCATGCCCGGCCAGGAAAATATTTAAAAACAAATTAAGCAAAGATTATAAAAGTTTTTGGAGTAACACAGTTCCCAAAATGATCACGATCCACATCAATCTGAGCCATGTTGACATCCCCACATCAAGCCCTTCCTGGTGTTCGAGGAATTTGCAACATAGACAGAGGTGCAAGGGTCACTGGGGAGGCACAGAGGTGGAGGGAGGAGGGGCTCCCTAGGGTGGTGCAGGTCTCAGAGAGGTCCTTGGGCACTGGAAGGTGACCTTGGGCCCCTGAGCTCCTGACAGTCAGGTCTACTCAGATGTCAAGGCACTGAGCCCTGTGTGCTGCTCTCTGCTGAGGTGTTATCTGTCCACAGAGAGTGTCTGTAAGTGTCATGGAGGAAGAACTGGACCTGGGCGCTCACATGGGCACCTTCAGGGGGCTGGTTCCCTGGAGAGCAAAACAGACAGAGAGAAATGGGGGAATTTCGAGGATTCCAGGATCAACAAGCAGAGTCCCATGCCCCTGGGCCCTAAGAGGAGCAGGAGCGCTCATAACACAGGGTGGGGGTGGTGACTCTGCCTTGCCACCCAGATCCTCTGTGCCATCCAGACAGAAGAGCTGCACGTTGAATATGCATAGCTTCCTGGAGCACGTCATTTTTATTGCCTAATAAGACCTCGTCTTCCTAGCATTGCCACCGGACCTGTCTTTGCATTGTAATTTTTAAAATTATGCTTTGGTAAGACATAAATTTCTCATGTTCATATATTCTAGCATAAAAGGGTTACAGAAGACATACATTTGAAAGAGTGAAAAGCAGTGTATATGTACACACACAAACATTCATATGTGTACCTTACTTCAAGATTGAAAAATACATTTAAAAAACAGAGGCTCCCTAAATCATGCCCTCAACCCCTCCCAGGTGAGCATCATCCTGAAATGTCTTCAGGGGTTTGTTTGGTTGGCATTTGGCACAGATACAGAACAACTGATGCCCAAGTCAGTGCTCTCTATGTACAGAAGCCTCCAACCTCATCTTGAAAAATGGGACCATGAGGCCATCCCAGACCCCCACAGAGGCTGAAGGACCCCTGGGATTGGAGGCCCCCAGTCCCCCACAGAAGCTGAAGGACCCCTGGGGCTGGGCACATTTCAGTGCTTCTTAGATCCTGCCATGTCCTCTGCTTGATGCCAGGACCGACTGAGTGCCCACTGGCCTGCAATACTGGGCCGAGTGGGCTGCTTGCTTGTGTGACAAGGAACTGGGGATGCCCCCATCCCTCTCACACCTTTCCCAGGAGGCCTGAACTGGGGGGGATTCATGTCAACCCTAGTGTCTCCTCAGGATGAACTAGTGATGCTCCCTGTTGGCCTCAAGAGGCTGGGAGGACAGAGCTAGGTTCCCCGAAATGAGATGGTGGTGAGATGAAGTGTCACTGCAGACGAATAACAGAGTGCACAGCCCTTGGAATTCAGCACATGGTGGTCTGACCAGCACCTCAGTGTCTCCCTCACTACGCAGCCTGTGGAGGGCTCAGCCCAGCAGGCTCAGGGGCTGCTATGGAGTGGGTGTCTGTTTCCTGGAGGATGTTCTCAGGGCATCCTTCACTTACCTTCAGAGGTCTCTAAAATAAACTAAAAATGTCCCAACAGTTCAGGACATTCTTCCTGGGCTTCCTGGTTTTCCTGATGGGACAACAAGAATGTGAGTGTAGCCATGAAGAACATGGGCACGTCTGTGCTTCCCTCATCATTCTGCCTGCTTCCACTTCCCCTCACACTTCCGCTTCCACTTTTGTCTTTTCTGTTGCTTCTTCTGCAGGTGCAGAGGAAGGACTTGCTGACATCTGTGAGAAAGAGAACAATTGTGCATGTCCAGAGACGCCAGTGCAAGAAAAGTTCTATCTGTTAAGGGGGTGCCCAGAGCAGACCAGATGTTACTGGGGGTCCCTCCAGCAGGGTGGGGTCCAGCTCTTCTGACCCCAGCCCAGTCCCCTCCCTGGACCCTGAAGTGTTGTTCAGCAAGATTGAAAGCTGCAACCTGGGGGCCAGTGAACAGGGCAATGCCAAGGCAGTGGGCAGGAGGGCTGGAGAGGATTTTATTGACACTGAAGACCCAAGAACCTCAACTGTGGGATGAGACCAGGTTCTTCAGGAGAACAATCAGAAGAGAGGGAAAGAGGAAAAGGACCAGAGCTAAAAAAGGAGCTCATGAGTCAGAAAGAGGATAAAAGAGAGAGAGCATATAAGAGGAGATCAATTACCTGCTGGTGGCCACCTGTAATGGTGGAGTCTTCCAATTCTGTGAAGCAAGCATCAGAGTGTCTGGAGGAGCAGTGGTGATGGGGTGGCCATAAGAAGGAAAGGGGAGAGTTAGAGTCGAGACAACCACTCAGACCCTGCTGTTCCAGGGCTGTGGAGCCAACCCCAGAGCCTCTGATGTGCTCATTTCTGGAGCCTTCTCCACAGCCTGTATCATTTCTTCTGTGCTATAAGGGAGGGATCTCTGACTTCCCACATACTTGCCCAGCCCTCACATACCATCACTGAGCCAAGGGAGGGTAAGCCGCATCATTCTGTTCCTCCAAGAGGCAGCCACCCTCTTCACAACCTTGTGCATGACATGGAATTCCCTCCCTCCTCGTCCTGTAGGGCCTGCTTCTGTTCCCTCATGAATCCCATTTCCTTTCTCCATGTGGACCTCCACCAGTCCTACTGTTCTCCAAAAGAAGAATATCAGAAAGAAGGTCAAGGCTTCACTTCCAGGGCCTACAATCAACCGACGGATCTCACCCTGGGTCGGCAGCACCTCCCACAGGCTTGGGGTTGTGTTGGGGCCTGTGGGAGGCAATGATGGCTGATGTCACAGATACAGTGACTGTTCTATGCCTGGAATGACCTTAGAGACTTGGAAAATATTCAGCCCTCAAAACAATCCCATCAGCTTCTGAATATTTGGAAACAATGGAACAGAATTCAGAGTAAAGCCCCTTGTCCCAGTTGCCTTAATCTGCAGGTGAGGCCAGCAGTTTTCAGCACAGAAATGAGGGGGCCCTCCCAGGGTTTGCCTGAGCTGTGGGAAGACTAAGAGGGAGGGCACCTGGCAGACCTGACACAGAGAACAAGCTGGGCCTGACAGGAGTATGGGGAGCAGGACAAGGCTGCTGGGCCAGAGAGGAGGGTGTGACAAGATAAATGACCCCGTGCCAGCTGCCCAGAGGCTCTGCCCTGGGCCCAGTGGATTCCAGGGACCAGGCTACACAGACGGTGAGAGCCACTGCCTACAGCAACACAGCAGCCCCTCCACATATATCCCCTAGGATTCCTGCCAGCCACAGAGGGCCTTGAGCTACAGCTGGACTCGGGCCTCTCCAACGAAAACCAATTTAGGTTTCATTCAAAGCCCAAGGATTTGGGATTGGATGGGACTGGGTGAGGAGTGGAGGCCAAAAATGTGCTCAATCATGTGTTCGGCCCTCAGGACTCCAGGATGCTGGGGCACACGTATGAATTCCAGAGGAATGATTCCCTATGTCATCCAACCCAGGGAGCACCCTTAGAGCAGGAGCAGATGGTGAGGACAGGACAGGAAGGTGCTGTTGCAGGTCCTGAGAGTGTAGAGAAAGACAGTGGGCTCCTTTCATCTCCTGGCACATGTATGAAGGACTTTACCTTCAGGATTACGCAGCACCTGGAAGGGGCTCTGTCCCACCCCACACTCAACTTTACACCTGCATACTCATCTTGTGATCTCTATTCACAAAAAAATGCTACCTCATCAAAACCCAGGGCTCTGGTGCTTGCTGTGGCAAAGGCAGAAATGATCTGGTCCTCTGCAAAATGTAATCTTTAAACACCAGAGCAAGAAATGATGGTGACAAACACAACTCACACAAAGCCCATAAGAACACAACTCTTACAACTTTGTCATTAAGATACAAAAAAAAAAAAAAAAAAAAAAAAACCCAAGTCAGACTTCTATACCTGTTTCCTTTCATATTTAGTCACTTCATTGATCCCATCCTAGGCTCCAAAACAAGTGTAACCCAATCTCCAAGAACGCTCTCTCACTGATCAACCCTGGGGTGTTGGTCCCTACCTGACCAGTCTATTTCCTCCTGGATGGATCCAGAGGTAGTGCCCATGAGCCCATGTACAGAGACACAAACATCAACATGACTGCTTTGTCCACTATGATTCTCCCTGGGCTCTGTGAACTCAGGGGACTTTATGAAGGCACTGCTCACAGCTGTGCACCTTCAGGTGAGACAGAGGACCTGAAATAATCCCTTTCAACTGTTCACCGACACTGGCTCATAGCATCTCTTACCTCCAATCTGAGAACCTGAGATTAAGCCTTGATGCACATGCACTGAGTTAGGTGGGTGCACTGAACAGAACCTGGGCCAGACTCCCAGCAGCTGCTTCCCAGGTGATTCTGGGAGAATGGAGATGGTCTCTTAAGAGTAGACATTTGGCAACTGGGAACTTCTAGCATGGCTCTTGTGAGGAGGTTTTGAATTTTTTCATTTATTTAAATATGAATGGGCACATATGCCACTCAGGACCACACTGGAATGCACAGGTCTAAACCCAAAGATGAGGAAGATGTGACTCTCCCCCCTGGTGATTCCTGGCAGAGTGGTTTGCTGCTCTGATCTGATCATTTATGGATAGGTGCTTCAGGGGCACAGGAACAAGCTCCAGGCCCCCTGTGAAGTGCAGGGATGCCACAACAAAAATAAAAAAGCCTGGTCCAGCAAAGGAGGGCTTGTAAACAGAAAAAGAGCATCTTCTGCAAGGAGAAAAGGTGAACCAATGTAGCCAGAGTAGAGATGAGGGGGACTCTTCATTGACTTCAGGACCCCACCCTATTCTCCTGTGACCTTGGATCAGAATCCATTCAGGTTTCTAGATTACCATGAGAAAAAACAGATTGAAGGAGATGAGCAGGAAGCCTTTTCACACTGGCGCTGGATCTCAGCAAAGGGGTTGGAAGCATTGGAACATTACTGGGGCCCAAGATGGGCTGCCAAGGGCTGAGCTCTGGGATGACAAGGAATGAGGAGGACATAGTCCTTGCCCTCCCATTGACGAGCCATGGCCAGGATTCATCAACACATAAGTAAAACAAAACAGAATTTGAGACTAATAATTCCAAGACTATCTCAGAGAAACAGGAAAAGTCTTGTCTTATAGGTCACATGGGAGAGTTGCAAGGACCACCTGGACTCTGGAGCAGCCCCTCTCCCTTGGCTGAGTTCACCTTGCACTGAAGCAGGATCTCTTCTCACCTCTCTTGCATCTAGTGTGGGGCAGCTTTCCTGCCTGAAAGCTGACACTCCTTCCAGTCACACAGGGTTCTGGGCCAAATCACACTTGGCCAACAGCAACTACACAAGGACCAGCTGTCAGGTGACTCCCAGAAGCAGGTGAAAAATAAGAGCTGATCTCTGTCCCAGCCAGAGACCAGGCCTGGGAAATACTTTGTATCTGGCTTGACCCTGAAATCCATCCCTGCTGATCATGTCCTCTCTGGGCAAAATTGGATGTTTCAAGAACTCACTTGTGTTCTCTGCCTCTCATTAATTTCTGGTGGTGCCATTGCCATCAACATACAGGAAATAGAGAAGACAAGAAACAAGAAAGTAGCTTCTCTCTTCAGGCTCTTAGGAAGACAGGCCAACAGTGCTAAAACCAGCTATGAAGTTGGAGCTTGACCCATTCTCCGTCAGTTGTAATATGAACATCCCGGCCATGCCCAGGTGATGATGCAGAACTGTCTCTGCTGATGTTGCACCTTGGCTTCCCCCTGTGGCTTTGTTGCCCTCATGCCTTCCTTCTGCTCTTCCAAATCGTGTTCCTTTTCAGGCCCAGGCCAAGGCTGTAGCCTACTGTCTCTCTCATAGAACCCACTGGACAGCACTCTGTGAATTCTTAGAGCCTCAATGCTGGTAACGCTGATTTGTGCCTTTAATCACACACAGCAGAGGGCCCCAAATACCACAAAAAAAAAACTATATTTTAGAGATTAAAGATGACTGGAGGAAATGGGCTATGAGGAGATAGTTTATGAGGTTAACGAGGGGCATTTTAAAATCACACCAGCCTCATTGTTTTAAAATATAGGATAAGTATTGACACCTACAGAGCAATCAAATTCAATTCATATACAATATATTTCCACCAAACGCAAGCTCCCAAAAGAAACTCAATCCAGAATTTGGCTAATTTTATTTTCATATAACCTTCAGCCAACCACCTTGACTTGTTTTTTGCAAAGGCCTTCAGAAGCAAACAAAAACTTCTGTCAACAGTGGGCTCAATGGGAACATCATGGAGCCTCTGCTGCAAAACAGCCTCATTTGTCTTTCCCCACCTCATAATGCATGAGTCACCCTCTATCCTCCTAGGAAGGCAAGTGCTTGCCCTGCCAGTAACACCCTAGGGCAAGCCTTTTGGTTATCTTTTCATGTTGCTGTGTTTCCTGAGCATAGAAGACGGAAACCAGAACTAGGCTGCATGATAGAGGCTGAGCCTGTACATGACCTTGACATTACGTATTTTGGACACTCACCACATTAATTCAAAAAGACACGCAGCAACTCAATGCGCACAACCTCACCTAACTTCAGAGACCACAGTTGTTCCCAGGGACTGCAGAATGTGACCATCATGCTTTATCTGGAACAACAATTTCTCCCATCACAGCCTATGCCCTCATTCATGAGGGGAAGCTCCACTCAGGCTGCCTGTCTACAGGAAGGCCAGAGAGACAGTGGCACATTGCTCATCATCTGGATTACTCATCAGTATGAGAGGGGTTCCCCAATACATACCCTTTTGTATAACTCCTGAGGATTTCTGTAATGACAGAAAATAAATTGCTATGAGCATCAGACCATGCTGTGTCCTGTGTGCACAAAACTTTGTTCACTTAGTGACATTAGAAAACAAGACGGAAACCAGTGTTGAAAGGAACCCAAAAGAAGAACAGAGCAAATCGACTCATATTAAAGACACAAATTTTTCTCGGAGGATGTTTCCTCTCAAGTCCGTGTTGGTTGGCAAGTAAGTGATTTTGCTCCAAAGAGAAAACAAAATTGGTAAGGCTCACTGCCGCACAATGTGTGACTGATTCTTTCATTTTCTCCCACTGTCTTAAATCAAGCCTCAGGGGGGACAGACTCTCACTTACAATTCTCCCCAAGGACATTGCGTAACTAATCTAAGATATATATTGCCAGATTCTCATATCTTAATTTAATCCAAATAAGATAAAGCTAAGAAAGCAACAGTTTTTCTCAGACAAATCCAGGTGGCCTGATCTTCACATCCTCTGGGTCCTCCTCCTCTCCGTTGTAACTGGACAGCTCCTGTAGTAGATCCTTCATCAGAACTAGGAGGATACAGAGTGACCATCAGCACCTTGCTGGTGGTGCTCATGAACAATTCAGTAACATTGCTTGAGGTGGGTGTGGGAGGAGGATAGCAGGCACAGGAGAGATGCAGGGAAGAAAGGGAATCAGGGCCCTTGGCTTTCTAGCTCCAGACCAACTCGTAAACATGAAATAGCCAATCTCAAACAGGGCCCTTCCTGCAGTGCCGGCTGTGTGTCCCTGGCAGCCTCTTAGGGCTCCTCCATCCTAATCTGACCTGAGCTAACTTGCCCTCTTATTGATCCCTACCAAACTCATTTCCTCCTCACAATCAATCCACAGGTACTGCTGCTCTGTATGTCATCACTCTAGAAGATTTTGCACTGAATAAGAAGCAACTTTTCTTAAAATAGGAGATTTAGTTATTGCCAAAAGATTTCATTAAAAAATTTTTTGTTATAAGGCAATTAAACCAAGATTTGAAAATACTCAATTATCCTACCATTTAAAGATGACTCCAACTTAGCACATGACATTTGTTCTTCCACTCTTCCTTTTCAACACAATGTGTGTGCACCATGGAGTTCACTGCTCCTCATGCTTACAGTGACTCCAGCACAGAGACAGTCTGTCATAGGGAGCAGCGAGGGGGACGGGGTGCAGACACTGACCGTCTCCAGCCGAGCTGTGTGGGAGATTCCAGCAGGGAAAATGGGTCCCAGGCTAACACCCAAGTTGATCCTGGAGATTTTATTGGATGCTATGTCTTTGGATAGGGTTCCACTGAATTTCTAAGACTTGTGGTGATTATCTCACTAAATACAACAGAATATGCCATTGATTATTGTCTGCTTTTGAACAAGAGCTGAGGAATGACTTCACCACTGTAGACCAAAAGCCTGAGGACTTTGTGTGTTTTACATTAGTGATCACACTAAATCCCACTGGGCAATGTACCAACTCAAACAAACCCTGGGTTAGCTGACCGTTGAGATCATCCAATAATGATAGTGTTTGGGATCTGAATAGATTTTCATTCTTCCACATGCACACAGAAGTGCTGGAATAACTTGGCCTAGCAAGAAATTATACTAGGGCTTTGTGACAAATTCAGTGTAGTAGTCCATGACATTAACCTTCCACTCATTCCCGAGGTCACACGTACCTCTTCCATTTAAAGGACCAAGAGCTTGGGAAATTCGACTCTGCACCATGTCCATCTGAGGACTGGGGATATTAAACTTATCTTCAGGTACAGCTGTGGTGGAGGATGAATGGGTTGATCCATGCAAACTGTGCCGTTGTGATGGAATTTTTCTTGCACATTGATCCTCGTGTTGTGCTTTGAACATGGGAGTATGTTTTCTGGGGAAATGCACACACACTCCCAAAGACATCCACAATCATTCCATATAGACTCTCTCCTCTGTCCCTCCCAACCCTGATGTACCACCCCACCTTACGTGACACTGTTGCTTCCAGGGATGACAGTACCGTGGTTAGAGTTGTTTACTGGACTCTCAGTATTTTTTTAAACCAAACTTCACAAATCTCATTTCTGGCAGAAAGCTCAAGCCAGAGTGGCTCTTGAGCAAAAGCAGGCAAAGCAGTGCCATCTTTGCAACACTAACATTTTGAACCTAAAAAAAGAGATGATCCCAGAATACTTACTCTTTGCCAGTGTGGCTGGGTCCCCGCTCATCTACAGAAAAATAACAAAACACTATGAGGGTCAGACCAGGCTGTGTCCTTTGTGCACAAGTCTTTTCTTCACTTGTTGGTGTTAAAAAAATATGGTAAATAGTGATTGAGACAATGGCCCTGATATCTAGAAGACATTCCTGGAAAGGCATAAGAGTTTTGTACTGAATTTTCAATTGTTTTTGTTAGACAATTCCAAATGCTTCTCATAAGAAGGCATTTATCTTGAGGAAAATGCCTGCTGACATACGGTCTGTAAATGTGGATGCCACCTGAAACAATTTTTTAGTTGATAATTAAGTCTGACATTTGCCCACCAAGAAATTCTATCAGTCACCTATAGTGTACATGGTAAGATGTGTACATCTTAATTCAATTGTAACAGAGAGAAACCGAGAGAAATAAAATTTCCATTTCAGAGGAAAAAACACGACTTTGCCATGTGAACATTTGTGGCTTCCTCAGAGGATGTTTGCCCTGGCATATCCTCCTCCCAGTCTTCCAGGTCACCTGGGAAACAGAGTCACTATAAGCACATGAGCTCCACGGAGTGAATCCCTCAGGTGATCTTGGAGCTGTGGACACGGGGCTGGCGTGTGTGGATAGATGTGTGGAAAGGTGTGTCCACAGCACAGACTCAGCTGCTGCCAGTCCATCCTCCATGGTGCTGAGGGAAGGCAAATGGTGAAGGAAGGCATCAGGAAGGCCACAGAAGACAGAGCCTTGGTCCTGTAGCTAAGGCAACCTCTTTGACATTACATAACCCATCTCAAACAGGGCACACCACACAGGGTTTCCCTGTAGCATCTCATGGCTCCTCCTTCCTAATCTGACCTGAGATAACTTGCTCTTCCTTCTTGATCCCCTTGAGGTCATTTCCTCCCCAGGATCCACGTGTCCTGCTGCTATGTTTTTCGTTTCTCCTAGAATATTTTTTTTTTGAGATGGAGTTTTACTCTTCTTGCCCAGGCTGGAGTGTAATGGCGTGATCTTGGCTCACCGCAACCTCCACTTCCCGGATTCAAGCAATTCCCCTGCCTCAGCCTCCTGAGTAACTGGGATTACAGGCATGTGCCCCCACACCTAGCTAATTTTGTATTTTTAATAGAGACTGGGTTTCTCCATGTTGGTCAGGCTGGTCTTGAACTCCTGACCTCAGGTGATCTGCCCTCCTTGGCCTCCCAAAGTGCTGGGATTACAGGCGTGAGCCACCGTGCCTGGCCACAATTTGTACAAGATAAAAAGCTACCTTTCTTCAACAGGAGATTTAGTTCTAGCCAAAATATTCTGTGTATTCATTAACCTTCTGTTTTAAAGAAGACTAAACCAAGATTTGAAAATACTCAATTATCCTACCATTTAAAGATGACCCCTACTTGGCCTGTGATATTTGTCCTTCTGCTCTTTCTGTTAACACAGTGTGTGTGTGTGTCATGGGGCCCGCTGTTGCTCATACTCACACTGGCTCCAGGACTGGGACAGCCCTTCATGGGTGGCAATAGGTGGGGATGCTGACCTTCTGTTAGCCAGCTGTGCAGAAGATTCCAGCAGAGGAGATGGGAACCAGGCTAACAGCCAATTGGCTCCTTGAGATCTTGTTGTGTGCCGTGTCTTGGGTATGTGTGCTACTGAATTGGAGCATTTCTAACGTTTGTGGTGATGATCTCATTAAATACAATAGAATATATCTGTGAATGTTCTCTGCCCTTGAGCAGGGGCTGAGGAATACCCCATCACTTAAGACCAAAGGCCTGGCAACTTCTTCTGTATGTTTCATATTAATGACCACACCAAAGTCCACTGTACAATGAACCTACTCAAACTCTGGGTCAGCTGACCATTGAGACCATTCTATTGTGGTATACAGTGCTGGAGATCTTTATAGGCCAACATACTTCACATATATACATAGATGCTAAGGACTCTGTGACATGGTGACAAGTTACACCAGGGCCATGTGATAACTTCAGACTAGCAGCCCACAGCATCACCCTTCCACCCATTCCCGAGTTCATCTATGCCATTTCCACTTAGGAGAACAAAAGCCTGAAAAATTCATCTCTACATCATCTCCACGTGAGGACTGGGCATATCAAACTTAACCTCCAGCTACAGCTGTCATGAGGAATGAATGGGTTGATTTTTGGAAAACGCAGTGGTGATGAAATGTTGTTTTTAGAATATCAATCTTTGTGTTGTGCTTTGCACTTGGGAACATCTTTTCTGGCGAAAAGCACACAAACTCACAGAGACATTCACAATCACTCCACATTGACTCATTCCTCCATACCTCCCAATCCTAATGCACAGCACCTTCTTCTATACAAATGGCACAGTTCCTTCCAGGCACTAGAGTCAACGGTCACATTTCTTGACCGGGTTCTTCACTTTTGAAGACAAAAGTGCATGAACCACATTTCTGGCAGGAAGTTCAAACCAGAGTGGCTCTCCAGAAAAAATGAGGCAAGAAAGTGTCACCTTTGTCAACACTAGAAATTTTCCTCAGCATAGGGGTGATCCCAGAATATGTACTGTTTGTCTCTGTGGCTTTGTCCACCTGCATTTAGAGAAAAACAAAACACTATAAGGGTCAGACCATGCTGTGTCCTGTGTGCACAGGTTTTTATTTCTCTCTCTCTCTCTCTTTCTTTGCTGGAATCTCGCTCTGTCCCTCAGGCTGGAGTACAGAGTCATGATCTTGGCTCACTGCAACATCCGCCTCCTAGGCTCAAGCGATCCTGCTCCCTCTCCCTCCCCAGTAGCTGAGATCACAGTTGCTGGTCAGCATGCCTGCCTAATTTTTATATTTTTAGTAGAGATGGTGTTTCACCATACAGACCTTTTCTTTACTTGGTGACATTACAAAAACAGATGGGAGACAGTGGTTGAGGCGATGGTCCCAAAATAAAGCCTAGAAGACATTTCTGGAAAGGCACTAGGTTTTTATGCAAGACTTCCAAGATTCTTCTGGTTGTATAGTCAAAATGTTATAAGAAGAAAGCTTTTCCCCTAAAAAAATTCTTTCTGCCATACAGTTCATAACTGAAGGTGCCATCTAAGAATACCATCTGAGATCATTTCTTACCTGGTAATGAACCCTCACATTTTCCCACCAAAAAATTCTGTAAGTCATCTATAATGTACATGGTAAGATTTTCATATCTCAATTCAAATAAAATAAAAAACCAAGAGCAACAAAATTTCCATCTTAGAAACATAAAGAAGAACTTACCATGTGAACGCCTGGGACATCCTCAGAAGAAGTTTCCTGTGCCACGTGCTCATCGTGATCTAGGAAACACAGAGTAACTGTCAGCATATTGGTTCCACTGAAGGAATCCCTTAGGCAAACTTGGGTGCTGGGGGCAGGGGGCTGGTGTGTGTAAAGGAGGTGGGTTAAGGGCAGAAACTTGGCTGCCACTGGGACACCATCCTGGGTGATGAGGGAAGGCAAATGAGACCATCAGGAAAGGCACAGAAGTTAGGGCCTGGTTCTCTGGCTAAGCAACCCTCACCGCTACAAAATAGGCAGAGTTCACACAGGGCAGCATACAAATGCACAGCTGATTTCATGACAGTGTCCCATCACCCCCTTGTGCATTTTGAGGCCTGGTAAATTTCCTTTTTTTGTTGTTGAAATGTTATAATGTCATTTATCTTTTCTGGATCTACATATGCTCCTCCTGCACTTATCATCCATTTTATTGGCTTTAAAATCAATATTGTGGCCAAAATACATCATATTTATTATTTTAATAATCAAGTGCACACTTCAGGGGCATCAGTGCCCTTCCCAATTCTGTGCAGTAAACTAAACATAATCCAAATCCAGTTGTCTTACTTTCCACCTTAGGAAACTAGACAAAAAAAGTGTAGTGAATTGTAAACCAGGCAATCCCCCTCCCCAAAAATATAAGAATATTTGCAGAAATCAATGTAATACAAATAATAAACAAAGAAACTTAACAAAACCAAAAGCTGCTTCTTAGAAAAGATCAATAGAATTGGTAAACCTCCAGCCAGGCTAATCACAAAGAAACAACACAATGTACAAATAATATGAATAGAAGAGGAATTATCCCTGCTGATCCCATGAACACTAAGAAAATAATAACAGAATACTTTCAACAAATTTATGCCTGCAATTTTTTAAGTGCAGGAGTGAAAGGTTATTGAAAAGTTTTAGAGTAGGAATGACAGGAAGCACAGTAGCCTTTGACAAGAACCAAGCAGGAAACTTGTGAGATTCAAGTGTCTATGTCCACAAATTTCCTAGCTTAGATGAAATGGACAAATGCATTCAAAGGGAGAAATTATCATAACCACCCAAAGGAGAGATAGATAATCTGGGTAGGCCTCTATTATTATAGAATTTAATCAGTAAGTAATAACTTTAAAAAAACATGCCCACATAATTATACTGGTGAATTCTGCCTAACACAACAGAAAACATAGTCTTACCAGCAAGTGATCAAAATTCTATATATTTACCCAGCTATATTTAAAAATTATGTTCATGTTAAAATCTGCACAAGAATGTGGGCAACTTTATTCATAATTACCCAAATTGGAAGCAGCTGAGATGGTCTTCAGGAGGTGAGTGAGCCAACTAATACTGTTTGATGAAACCAATGGGCTATTGTTCACTGATAAGAGTTATTAAGCTGTTAAGCTTCAAAACAATACAAAAGATCTCACATGTATATTGCTAAGTAAAATAAGTTAGTCATAAGTAGCTACATACTTTATGATTCCAACTCCATAAAATTCTGGAAAAGGAAACCTATAGAGGCAGTAAAATCATCCACAGTTGTCAGGAATCATCAGAAAAGGAGAGGAATTAGTAGGTGCAGCTCAGGTCATGTTTAGGATGTGAAATTATTCCATCAGGGTGACAAAGGACATTGTCAGTTTGTCAAAACCCAAAGACTGGACAACACAGAGTGAACCTTGATGCTAACCCTAGACTTCTGTTCAAAAGAATGTGTCACTATTGGCTCAGTCACTGATGCTAACCTTGGACTTCTGTTCATAAGAATGTATCACTATTGGCTCGGTCATTGTTACAAGCGTTATCACACTCATGTAAGATGGGTTCACAAAAAAACACTGAGGAAGGTGGGTATATGGAAATTTTCAGTACCACTTCCTCCATTTTTAGGTTACTTCCAAACATTTTGAAGTGATGTCCATTGCTTTACAAATCTGGCAACACTGTCTCAGAAAAAGATCCTTCTTAGTTAATGTTTTAACAATCAGCAAAATATCTACAATTTGCACTGAGATGTTATTTACTATTAAAAGTAAACCCAAACCTGGAATGGAAATACACCTTTACTCCTGTAGTTGTAGCACTAGTAATTGACTTAACACATTTACATATGTACACGATATAAAGAATATAGCATTGCAATTTTATAATTGTCTGAAATATGAGACACTGAAGAATCTAGAAATCATATCATGAATGAACTGAATGACTGAATTTCCAAGATAACTTCTGTTGATGCAACTCTAGAGTGTACACAGCTGTGAAGCCAGTGATGGAGGATTCACTTCTTACACTTGTGGTGGCAGACGGTGGATTCCCCTGGCACCCCAGGATCCACTCTTTGATCTTCAACAGAATATGCTGGGAAATGAACTAAAATAAAGACAACTGTTGATATCTTGCTGCAAAAGATCAGAGAAATGAGTAATTATTTATTCACAGCTTAAATGTTTGATCCCATTGTTCATCATCTGCAGAGCAAAGCCCCCTGAATCTGAGTTGGGCTTCAGAATGAACCTGCACTATGGGTTGCACTTATAACTGTGCAGGCAAATGCCTGTATTGAGATGAGACATTACAGACAGGTAGTAGATTGGAGTGACCAAGAGCATATGGTCTGGTGCATAGGATCTGAGCTCAAGGACTTTTGAGAAGCTGCTAGAACCTGAGGAAGTTCTACAGACTCCACTGTGCCTCTAATCCCTAGTCTGAATGTGGAAATGTTGATAATGGCCTACGTTATGTTAAAAGGGTAAAAATAGTTAAATGGACCTAAAGCCTTAAGATCGGTGCTTCCTAAGTACCATAAAGTGTTCAGTTATTTCACATCTGGAAGAATAAGCCAGGCCCTTGGTAGTGATTAATAGAGAAGCCACTGGGAGACTCCAGGGCAGTGGAGGGTAAAATTAGCTTCATTCTTGACATGGATCTCATGCTTTAGAACTCGTGAAAAAGTTCCATTCAAATTTCCTGTGATGCCCACATCACCCCAGAAAGATAGGCAGAGCAGGGGCTGCCACTCAAGAGTTGATGGTTCAGGGAAGTGAAATGAAGAGAATTGAAGCGACCTGCCTAGAGTCACAACACTGATGAATGATAGATCTGGGACAAGAATTTGGTTGGTTTTCTGGGGACAGAGATCCCTGAACATCTGAGGCCTCTAAATCATGGCCTGGACCCTGAACCTGGAGCTCTTTCCTCTCCCTTTCTCAATCCTCCTGCACCAAGGGCCTTTCGGGAAGGTTGGTGTATTAAAGAGGTGGTGACTCCAGAAAAAACCTCAAATCATTTAACAAAACAAAACTCCTGTCTCTACATTTTAACTCCAGTGCTAAAATGTGGCACTTTCCTGCAAATGAAGCCTCTCTGAGGAACAAATTCAAATGTCTGGTCATCCTACCCAGCACCCTGTATTGTCTGCTGTCTGGCAGTGAGCACTCCTCCATGATCAACTGACCACACCAAGGGACCAAGTTCTGCTTGGCCCCCAAGTTAATTTGGAATGTAGGACATTCCAAACTAACTACCACTTGATGGCTGTGCCAAGAATCAACTTCCCTTCAACTGAAACATTCTGAACAAGCAATTAATGGGAATTAACTGAAAATGTGGCACCCCAGTTTGTTTTTCAGTGGTTTCTTCTGTATCTAGTCTATGAAAGAATGTGGGGGAAAAATGCCAGGTGTGGTGGCTCACCCCTGTATCTCAGCACTTTGGGAGGCCAAGGCTGGCAGATCACAAGGTCAGGAGTTTGAGACCAGCCTGGTCAATATGATGATATGGTGAAACCCTGTCTCTACTAAAAATACAAAAATTAGACAGGCATGGTGGCAGGCACCCATAGTCCCAGTTACTTGGGTGGCTGAGGCAAGAGAACTGCTTGAACCTAGGATGCAGAGGTTGCAGAGAGCTGAGATCATGCCACTGCATTCCAGCCTGGGTGACAGAACGAGACTCTGCCAAAAAAATAAAATGTCCAAGTACTGTGGCTCATGCCTGTAATCCCATCATTTTGGGAGTCCAAGGCAGGTGGATCAGGAGGTAAGGAGTTCAAGACCTCCTTCGCCAACATGGTGAACCCCTGTATCTACTAAACATACAAAAATTAGCCAGGCATGGTGGTGGATGCCTGTAATCCCAGCTACTCAGTAGGCTGAGGCAGCAGAATTGCTTAAACCTGGGAGGTGGAGGTTGCTGTGAACCGACATCACACCACTGCACTCTAGCCTAGGCAACAGAGCAAGACTGTCCAAAAAAAAAATTGGCATTGGAAACAGTGCGTTTTTCTAGAAAAAAATCATTTGAGGCAAAAATCTTGATAGAAGAATTAAAAAATACAAATTGAGTAATAAAACTCTAAAACATATTTAGAAATCTGTGGACAAATAGGAGCTGGGAAAATAAAAAATAATCAGAATGACATTTAACATACAGAAAAACTGGCACATCTGAAGAAATTGTGGTCAGAAGATGGAAATGAACATACATACCTCTGAGGCAGCAACTACAAACATTTCCCATTGTGAATCCTCTGAGACAACTAAGCTGTGTTTACTGCCAAAGTTCAGTTGCCAGAGTGGCAGTTAAAATGAAAGGCAAGACCTACATCATCAGATCATGTCAGTGACATGTCACAGTAGAATTTTCACAAGCATACATGTCACAATATGGGGCCCAACTGCTGTGATCCTGACCAACCCATTGTCACATCAACAAGGGGTCACTCAGACTCCATGTTTCATTTCAAAAACTGAATCCCAGACACAGAGTATTATTCTGTGTGTATGAAACAAATATTACAGGAGGAAAAGGATCTGCCTCTCAAATATATTTGATAGTGAAAATTTAAGGGTAAAGATAAGAAAAGCCAATACATTGAGAATAAAGGGAGATTCCAGGCTGGATGTGAAATGCCATCCCCACTCATTTCTACAATTTCTGAGTCAACAGAGAGTCCTAGCTTCAACGATTCTAAACTAGTTCCAAATTAAATTTAAAATGTATTAATATAAGTTCAATTTTAAAGCCTATCTCTTAGAATATAATTCACAGTAATCAAAACAGATATGAAATGATTCAGTATAACTTTCCATCACTGTTGATTCATTACAAGTTTTAAGAACGATTAAATCAAATGGGTCATTACTGAGGCATAAAAACTGCATTAATATAGATGCTGCAATTTTTTTCAGGGATTATCTAATTGAAGGGGTGGTTAACAGGATTTGGGAAGAAACACATATTACCTGTGTCAATGGAGAATTTTAATTGTCAACAACAGAATAGAAAATTGGGCAGGTGTGCACATATAAATATACACATATATGAGAGAGAGAAAACTCAATTAAAAAATACTAGACAACAGATATATATCTCTTAATGCCAAATTCGGAAAGACTTTTTTTTTTTTTTTTTTGAGATGGAGTCTCACTCTGTTGACCAGGCTGGAGTGCAGTAGTGCAATCTCAACTCACTGCAACCTCCACCTCCCAGGATTCATGCCATTCTCCTACCTCAGCCTCCCAAGTAGCTGGGACTACAGGTGTCTACCACCACGTGCAGCTAATTTTTTTTTTATTTTTAGTAGAGACAGGGTTTCACCGTGTTATCCAGGATGGTCTCCATCTCCTGACCTCGTGATCCACCGCCTCGGTCTCCCAAAGTGTTGGGATTACAGGCATGAGCCACTGTGCCTGGCCCCTGGAAAAGACATTTTTAAAAACAGAATATGTTAGGAAGAATAAAAGGGAATGAGCATAAGGCTTTCCTTCCTGGTGCCACCTAAGTGATCACAGTGAAGGAAAATAATTGAGTCTTTTACACTGGTAGCCAAAGCCCTTTTATAAGGCTTTGCCATGCTGTCAGTGCTATATGATTGTTCAATTAATAAATCTGGAAAGATGTGCAGAAACTTAACAGTTGTTACTTCCAGAGGCAGAAGCTGGCAGGCTGCAGAAGAGGAAAAGACAAGTCCAGATTTCAGTGTCCACTCTTCTGTACCTTGTGAATATCCTACAAGTGTGTTATTCCTGATATCTTTACTGTGATTATTTTTAAATAAAAAAAACTAATACCCCCAAATGCTAGTAGAAGACAAACATTTCAATTTGCTTTACAGGGACAAGAATTCAGGAAAGACACAGAAAAGTTAGCTTATTGGTCCTTGTTGATGTCTGGAGACTGCAGAGAAGTCTTATGGAATGGGATTGAATCCACAGCAGGGGGTTGGAATCATCTGGATATGCCATCATGCACAGGTCTGCAGAGGAACTTGGCCTTGGCTGGAGAACTTACACGACCACCACCCACACTTCCACACCTGCTCAGCCCAGCTGCAGCAGCTTGGCCAAGATAATGGGTGCTCCTGCTCAAATGAGATTTCCCAGCTTTTGCGGAGTTCATCACCAGCCTTGCTAGCAGCTACTTCCTACTTCTATGCAAAGGAAACTGCCAACGAGGTTACAATTTCTTTTTTCCTAGAGTGAGGCCTGGCTGGAAGAGGACAGGCCAACCTAGTGGCCTGTGAATGACCTTGTGAAGGTCGCCAGGACCCCTTGGCTGCAGGGCTCCAGAGCCCACCGCTGGCCGAATACATCATGCACTGGCCCTAGCCTGGGATGATGAGGCCAAGGCATTACCAGCTTTGACCCTGGTGCCTCTTGCCTGGGCAACTGACCCCTGTGCACTCAGCAAGGCACATGCTAATTTAATCCAATCTGTCAGCCCAGGTACCTGGAGCTGAAATGGCCTGCCCACTTTTGCCCCACCCCAGCTCCTTCTCAACATTAACCTGGAGAGTCTGTTGTGCGTTCTTCGAGAGTGGGCCTGCTCCAGGTGCTTCACCCACATCATGTACTTCATCAAAACCACTGTCAGAGGTAGGGCCTATTAGGATCCCTGTCTCACAGAGGAGGAAACTGAGGCAGAGACAGGTAGGTACCCCAACTGAGGATACAGAGAAAAAGCTAGGATGGAACCTGGTGGCAGGCCCGGCCTTCTCCACCCAGTGACAGACATGCAGAGAAGCCAGGGCACCTTGAGCTGCCATCCCTGTGCCACTTACCCATCTTCTTGCAGCCTAGGCCAAAAACATCCCCATAAATAACCATCCACAGCTGCCCTCAGCCTCCTCTAGAAGGCTGGTGCCCCAGAAGCTTCCTCACAAGCTCTTCTATATTTCAGTGACATGCGGGTGGCTGAGGAGCCCTGAAACCAGGTGAAGGTCTAGGAAGGTGAGATGGGGGATTTAGCTCAGGCAGTGCCCTCTGGCCGTGGCAGGCACTGCAATGGGCACCTGCTTGAGAGGAACATCTGATATGGTTTCCCCAATGCCCGACGCTCCGGGCCTCACACTCATCCTTGCTGGACATAGAGAACTAACTGAGCTTCGAGGGGTCCTTCCCTTAGCCCTGCCAGGTCCTGGTGCCACCAAACACTTAAGAATGTGGATGTGACAAAGTTAATTAAAGAGCTGAGTGCCTGTGCACACCAGTGACATGGAACTTACAGCTGGGGATGGGTCAGTGCAGCCCTGGTGGAGCAGCTGGCCCATGGGGCACCCCCTGCAGTGACAGTATCAGATGTGTCTCCACCTTCCCAGGGTAGACCATGAGAAGGCTCTCAGAGGAGCCTTCTCAGGGCTCCTCTGAGACCCATTGCAGCTCTGGGGCAGAAAGGGGTCTGGATATATCATCATCACAGGCTGAGGGGAGCAATGGGGATGAAGTGGCAGTCAAGGTCCCAGGTGGGGCTGACTTGGACTCTGGAGCAGAGTCCAAGGGGAGCTTGGGAAGTGAGCACAGAAAAGGCCTGAGGGTCTGTTGGGGTGGAGGGTGAAAAGAAGAGATCTGGAAACCTTAGAGCAGGTTCCAGCCCAGCACAGACTGAAGGGCACACAAGCCCAGGGCACAGCCAGGCAGCCCAGTGCTTGTGCACGAGTCACCTGCATCTGGACACTGCTATCCAACCTCAGGAACCTCAATTTCAACAAACCTCAACTTCAAGAGCAAAAACTTGGCATAGCTGGTCTGGGCCCAGTGAGATCAAATGTGAACATCTGGCCTAGGGCCAAGGAAGATAGCTGTGAACACCTGTGCAGTGACCAAGGAGGATGGCTGTGGACACCTGGGCTAGGCCCAAAAGTACAGCTTGGAATAACTGGGATGGACCCAGAATATAGGGCTATGAACAACTGGGCTGACCCCAACGTGGACAGCTAGAAACCGCTGGTGTGTGCTCAGGAGTTTTGTTCATTTTGGCTGAGCCGAAGAAGGACAGCTGTGAACGTCTGCACCAGGCCTAATTAAGACAACGGTGAACAGACGGGCTGTCCCCATTGAGGACGTCTGTGAAGCCCTTGCCTGGGACCACGGAAACTGCTGGAAACAACTGGCAGAAGTCCTGTGACAAAAGCCATGAACACCAAGGTTAAGCTCAAAGGGGACAGGTGTGGACCCCTGGGCTGGGCCCAGTGTGGATGGTTGTCAATACCTGGGATGGCCTCTATGAGGGTGGCTGGCCCCAATTAGCACACATGTCATCAAACCGGCTGGCCTTGATGAGGATGGCTAGGGACATAGGGCTGGCTGTCACATGGATGACAGAGACCTCCTTGGCTGGCTTAGATGAGGACCACTGTGAACACTGGTGCAGGCCTGGATGAAGACAGCTGGGAAGTTCTGGGCTGGAAACAATGAAGACAGCTATGAACAGGTGGCCTGGGGCCAGGGCAAATGGTCTTAATCTTGGACTTAATGTTACTGAAGGGAACCGTGAACTCCTGGGCTTGCCTTGATATTGACAGCCATCAAAAACTGTTGCTATAATAAACTGAGTTCATACAAACGAGAAAGGCTGTGAACCCCTGGGCTGACATTGATGGTGTGGCTGTGAACACCTGGCCTGGGCCCAGTGAGGACAGCTATGAAGAGCTAGGCAGGACCCAGCAAGGTCAGCATTGAACTCCTGGGCTGGCCCAATGAGGATGTCTGTGAACACTGGTCTGGGCCCACTGAGGACAAGGACTAACACCTAGGCTAGCTACCAATGAGGACAGCTGTGAACACCTTGGCTGGGCCCTCTAAGGACAGCTTGGAGTGTTTGGGCTCAGCCCAAAGTAAACAGCTGTGAAGCCCTGAGCTGAGCCCAGTGAGGGTGGCTGCAGAAACCTGGGCTGGGCCAGTAAGGACAGCTGTGAACACCTGGCCTGGCTCCAACGAGAACAGCTGAGAACACTTGGGCTAAGCCAATAAGGACAGCTGTGGCACCAGGGACGACTGTCCTGAAGACAGCTGTCAAGATCGTGGCTGGTCACCTTGAGCACAGCTATGAATGTCTAGGCTGGACCCAATGAACACAGACAAAAACACCTGCCCTGGTTTCAGTGAGAGCCACTGTGAGCACTTGGGCCTGCCCCCATGAGGATTCCTATGAACAGCTGGCTGGGCCCAAGATGAATGGCTCTCGACACTTAAACTCAGCCCAAGAAAGACACTGTGAACAACTGGGTTAATCCCACTGATGACGACTATTAACACCTGGGCTGGGCCCAAGTGAGGGCGACTTCGGCTGGACCCAGAAAAAATGGCTGTGAACACCTTGGCTTTGCCTGATGAAGATGGCTATGAGCACATGGCCTGGGCCTAATGAGGAAAGCTGTGAACACTTGTGCTAGCCAAAGTGAGGAAAGCTGGGAAAACCCGGGCTGGGCCCAGTAAAAACAGCAGTGAACAACCAGGCTGGACTCAGGAGGACAGCTTTGAAACTGATCATGATGAAGATGGCTGTGAATGCCTGGGCTGGCCCAGATGAGGAGCACTATTAACTCCTGGGCTCGCCCCCAATTAGAACAGCCATGAACACCTGGTCTTGCTCATGTAATGATTGCAAGGAACAACTGGGCTTAGCCAATAAGGACAGCTGTGAACCCCTGCACTGAGACAAATGAGACTGGCTGGGAACACCTCAGCTGGCCCCAGTGAGGACGGCTATGGATACCTGAGCTGTGCTCCATGGGGATGGCAATGTACACCAATGTTTGGCCAAGTGACAGTTCTGAGAAACCTGGCTGACACCAGTGAAGACCACTGTGAAAGCATGGGCTGCTCCCAGTTAAGACAGCTTTTGCAGACCTGGTCTGGGACCAGTCAGATCGAGTGTCAACATCTGGCCTGGGGCCAAGGAGGATAGCTCTGAACACCTGTGCTGGACCAATGAGGATGGCTGTAGACACCTGGGCTGGGCCCAAGGAAACCGCTTGGAATAACTGCGATTCACCCAGAATGTATGGCTACCAACACCTGGGCTGACCCCAATGCAGAAAGCTGTAAATACCTGGCGTGGGCTCAGGAGAACAGCCTTGTTCATTTTGGCTGAGCCCTGTGAGGCAGCTATGGGCATCTGCACTTGGCTTAATTAAGACAACGGTGAACATCTGGGCTGTCCCCATTGAGGACACCTGTCAACACTTGGCCTGGGACCATGGGAATTGCTCAGAACACCTGTATTAAGTCCAATGAGGAAAACTATGAACACCCAGGCTATGCCCACTGAGGACAGCTGTGGACACATGGGCTGGCTTTAGTGAGGATGGCTGTAAATACCTGGGATGGCCTCTATGAAGGTGGATGGCCCCAATAAGCATGAGTGTGAATTAACTGGCTGGCCTCGTTGAGGACGGCTATGGACATCTGGGCTGGCTCTCATGTGGATGAGAAGAGAACAACTTGGCTGGCTTAGATGAGGACCACTGTGAACACCTTTGCAGGCCTGGATGAAGACAGCTTTGAAGCTCTGAGCTGGGCACAATGAAGACACATATGAACAGGTCATCTAGGGCCAATGAAAATGGCTCTCAAATCCTGGGCTTGATGACATTAAGGAAAATTGCAAATACCTGCACTAGCTTTGCTTTTGATTGCTATGAAAAACTTAGCTCATGCAAATGAGGACATACAGTTGTGAGCCACTGTGCCCCGCCCTGCTTTGTATTATTAAAACACATGCCAAATGGGGCATCATGGCTATGCCTGTGATCCCAGCACTTTGGGTGGTGGAGATGAGTGGATCGAGGTCTGGAGTTCAAGGCCAGCATGCCCAAGATGCTGAAACCCCATCTCTACTTAAAGTGCAAATGTTACCTGGATGTTGTGGCAAGTGCATGTAATCCAAGCTACTCAGGAGGCTGAGGCAGGAGAATTGCTTGAACTCGGGTGGCAGAGGTTGCATTGAGCCAAGATTGTGCCACTGCACTCCAGCCTTGGCAGCAGAGCGAGGCTCGTCTCAAAAAAACAAAATGAAACAAAAAACAAACAGAAAAACATGCCAATAGGCTAAAAAAAAAGAAAGACAAGTACTGAGCTTTAAAATGAGTTGAAATCTCCTTTCTGCCACTTCCTATATATATAAAAAAACTATCCTAATCTCTTTGAGTCTCATGTTCTCTATCTAGAGAAACACTTGACCAGAAGGTTTAACACAGGTTGAAGTACTAGAGGTTATTTTAATTGTTCCTGTGATTCCTTAAAATTCTATAATTCTATGTGCTTTTGATTCTGTCTACAAGAAAATTGGGAATACACAGTTGGCAGATTTTGAAGAAATAATATGACAAAAGAAACACGAAGAAAAGCAGAGAAGGAAGTTTTAAAACATCAAGACAGGATTATAGAAATGTCATGGAAAAAGAAAAAAGTCCAAAAAAAAGTATTATGGAAGTAAGCAGAAATACTAGCCTAAAGGGAAAACCAAACTGGGAAGTCAAATAATTTCTAAGACTTGTCTAATCTTGCTTTTGTAAAATTATAATCATATGGCCAAACCTTTACTTTGCCCTAAAGCCTTTGATGGTAAAATAAGATATTGGCTACCACTGAAATTGTCAAATTTATTAGGAGAAACTCTTGGACTAATAACATTTCTAACAATAACCTTAAATGAGAGTTAACATATAACTAGATTTGACTGTCTAAATTAATCTGATCCAGACATATACCTTGATCCAAGTGCTGCACACATCTCTATCAATCTATGTTGAGGAGCAAGATAAGGGATCTGGAAGCCAGACAGGCTGATGGTTTAACTGTGGGTCAGCTACTTTGTTAACTACGGGATCATGAGCCAATTAATCAACCTCTAAACCACAGTTGTCTATGTAATAAACAGTAGGTTATAAGAACACAGATGTTGCAATGGCTTTATGGGATGACAAATGCATAGCACATAATAGGGGTTTAGCCCAGAATACAACACAACAGATATTAACCTCTTCCATCTATATTTCCTTAGTTAAGATAGTTTTTAAATCTGTAAAATCCTACCTGACTGCAGGTTCATTAGAACTCCCAGAATCTATTAAAGAAAAAGGTAAAATGCATTTTAAATCAATAATAATTGTATAGAGTATTAAATGCATAAGAAGGCACAGTGATGCATGCCTGTATTCCCAACTACTTGGAAGGCTGAGGCAGGAGGATCACTTGAGGATTCCAGAAGTTTGAGGCCAGCTTGGGAAACATCAAGACTCTACCTTCAAAAAAAGTGATGTACACTTGTGTGCAGACTTCAGATCATGTTTTTTTTCTTTTCTTTTCTTTTTTTAAAACATAGGACTGATGCTTGTTATAAAGCATTACTTTGGGAGCATAACTGGGATCTTATTAGAATTAATATTAATTATACCTATTAGTAGATAACCCTCAATGGGCTCCCAAATGTAAATTTGCAGATTCACCAAATAGATTGTTTCCAGCCTGCTGAATCTGAAGACAGGTTTAACTCTGTGAGATTAACTCACTTATTACAAAGCAGTTTCTCAGATATCTTCTTTCTAGTTTTTATCTGTGGATATTCGATTTTTCTTCAAAGAAGAAAATGTGCTCCCTTATGTCTTTTCGCAGACTCTACAACAAGAGCATTTCCAACCTGCTGAATCAAATGAAATGTTTCACTCTGTGAGATGAATCCACACATCACAAAGCTGTTTCACAGATAGCTTCTTCTCAGTTTTATGTGTGCATATTAGGTTTTGCCACATAGGCCTCAATGTGCTCCAAAACATTCCTATGCAGATTCTCCAAAAAGTGTGTTTCCAACCTGCTGAATCAAAAGAAAGTTTTATCTCTGTGAGATGAATCCACACATCTGAAAGCAGTTTCACAAATAGGTTCTTTCTAAGTTTTACCTGCAGATATTGAGATTTTTCCCATAGGCCTCAGTGGGTTCTGAAATGTCCCTTCTCAGATTCTGCAAAAAGAGTGTTTTCAACCTGCTGGATCAAAAGAAAGGTTTAACTCCGTGAGATGCATCCACACATCTGAAAGCAGTTTCACAAATAGGTTCTTTCTAAGTTTTACCTGTGGATATTGAGTTTTTCCCCATAGGCCTAAGTGGGTTCCCAAATGTCCCTTCTCAGATTCTGCAAACAGAGTGTTTTCACCCTGCTGGGTCAAAAGAAAGGTTTAATTCAGTGAGATGCATCCACACATCACAAAGCAGTTTCACAGCTTCTTTCTAGTTTTTTTCCTGGTGATATCTGGTTTTCCCAATAGGGCTCAATGGGCTACAAAATGTACCTTTGCAGATTCTCCAAAATACGGTTTCCAAACTGCTAAATCAAAAGAAACATTTAACTCTGGAAGATTAATTGACACATCACAAAGCAGTTTCACAGATGGATTCCTGCTAGTTTTTAACTGGGATATTCGGTTTTTCCCCATTGGCCTCAATGGGCTGCCAAATGTCCGTTCACAGATTTTACAAAAAGAGTGCTTCCAACTTGCTGAAACTAAAGAAAGGTTAAACTCTGAGATGAATCCACACATAATCGAGTAGTTTCACAGATTTTTTTTGTAGTTTTTATCTGCGGATATTCAGTTTTTCTTCATTGGCCTCAATGGGCTCTTAAATGTTTCTTCGCAGACTGTCCACAAAGACTGTTGTCAATCTGTAGAATCCAAAGAAAGGTTTACCTCTGAGACGTGAATCCACACAGACAAAGCACTTTCACAGATAGCTTCTTTCTAGTTTATATCTGTGGATATTTGGTTTTTCCCTATTGGTCTCAATGGGCTCCCAAATATCCCTTCACAGATCCCACAAAAACAGTGTTTCCAAACAGCTGAATCAAAAGAAAGGTTTAACTCTGAGAAATGAGTCCACACATCAGAAAGCAGTTTCACAGATAGCTTCTTTCTAGTTTTTGTCTGGGGATATTTGCTTTTTCACTATAGGCCTCATTGCACTCCTAGATATCTTTTTGCAGATTCTAAAAAAAGTTTTTCCAAACAGCTGTATCAAAAGAAAGATTTAACTCTGTGAGATGAATCCACACATCACAAAACAGTTTCACAAATAGCTTCTTTCTACTTCTTATCTGGGGATATTCAGTTTGTCACCATAGGCCTCCATGAGTTATTTAAGGTCCCCTTGCAGATTCTACAAAAGGACTCTTTGTAACTGCTGAATCAAAAGAAAGTTTAAACTCTGTGATAAGAATCAACACATCACAAAGCAGTTTCACAAACAACATTTTTCTAGTTTTTATCTGGGGATATTTTCTTTTCCACCATAGGCCTCAATGAGCTCCAAAATGTCCCTTCACAGATTATACAAAAACAGTGTTTCCAAACTGCTGAATAAAAGGAAAGGTTTAAGTCTGTGAAATAAATCCACACATCACAAAGTGGTTTCACAGATAGATTCTTTCTAGTTATTATCCGGGGATATTCACCTTTTAACTGTAGGCCTCCCTGGGCTCCCAAATGTCCCTTTGCAGATTCTACAAAAATAGTGTTTCCTAACTGCTGAACCAAAAGAAAGGTTTAACTCTGTGAGATGAATCCACACATCACAAAGCAGTTTCACAGATAGTTTCTTTCTATTTTTTATCTGTGGATATTCTCTTTTTCACCATAGTCTTCAAGGCACTGCTGAATGTCCCCTTGCAGATTATACAAAAATAGTGTTTCCAAACTGCTGAATCAAAAGAAAGGATTAACTCTGTGAGATGAATCTGCAGATCACAAAGCAGTTTCACAGATAACTTCTTTCTAGTTTTTACCTGGAACTATTTGCTTGTTAAACATAGGCCTTAATGAGCTCCCAAATATCCCTTCACAGATTCTACACAAATAGTGTTTCCAAACTGCTGAATCAAAAGAAACTTTTAAGTCTGTGAGATGAGTCCAAACATCATAAACTAGTTTCACAGATACCTTCTGTCTAGTTTTTGTTTGGAGATATTCAGTTTGTCACAATAGGATTCAATGCAGTCCCAAATGTCCCTTCACAGATTCCATGAAAGGACTGTTTCCAATGTGCTGAATCAAAAGAAAGGTTTAACTCTGTCAGATGAATCCACACATCACAAAGCAGTTTCACAGAAAACTTTCTATTTTTAATCTGGGAATATTTGCTTTGTCAAAAAAGCCCTCAATGAGCAAAAATGTCCCTTTGCAGATAGATAGTACAAAACAGTGTTTCCAAACTGCTGAACCAAAAGTAAGATTTAACTCCATGACATGAATCCAAACATCACAAAGCAGTTTCATAGATAGCTTCTTTCTAGTTGTAATCTGGGGATATTCACTTTTTCCCATAGGCCTCAACAAACTCCCAAACATCCCTTCGCAGATTCTATGAGAGAATTGTTTACAACCAGCTGAATCAAAAGACAGGTTTAACTCTGTGAGATGAATCCACATATCACAAAGCAGCTTCACAGATAATTGCTTTGTAGTTTTTATCTGGGGATATTTGTTTTTTCACCATAGGCCTCAATGGGCTCCCAAATATACCTTCGCAGAATCTAACAAAACAGTGTTTACTAATTGTTGAATCAAAAGAAAGCTTTAACTGTGTGAGATGAATCCACTTGTCACAAAGCAGTTTCACAGATAACTTATTTCTAGTTTTTATCTGGGGATATTCAGTTTGTCACCATAGGCCTCAATGGACTCCACACATCCCTTCACAGATACTAAAAAAGGACTGTTTCCAACCTGCTGAATGAAAAGAAAAGTTTAGTTCTGTAAGAAGAATCCACACATCACAAAGCGGTTTCAAAGACAACTTCTGTCTAGTTTTTATCTTGGGATATTTGCTTTCTCACCATAGGCCTCAAAGAGCTCCCAGATGTTTTCTCACGGACTCTGAAACAACAGTGTTTCAAAACTACTTAATCAAAAGAAAATTTTAACTCTCTGAGATGAATCCACATGTCACAAATCAGGTTAGCTGGTGGCTTCTTTCTAGTTTTTATCTGGGGATATTTGCTTCCTCACTATAGGCCTCAATGTGCTCCCAAATGTCAATTCATAGATTTAAACAACAAAAAAAGTGTTTCCAATCTCCAGAATTAACAGAAAAGTTTAACTCTGTGTGATGAATCCACACATCACAAAGCAGTTTCACAGATAGCTTCTTTTCAGTTTTTATTTTGTGATATTTGCTTTTTCACCATAAGCCTCAATGAGCCCACAAATGTCCCTTTGCAGATTTTATTCAAATAGTCTTTAAAAACTGCTGAATCGGGGGAGGAGCCAAGATAGCCGAATAAGAACAGCTCCGGTCTACAGCTTCCAGCGTGAGCGATGCAGAAGACGGGTGATTTCTGCATTTCCATCTGAGGTACCAGGTTCATCTCACTAGGGAGTGCCAGACAGTGGGCACAGGTCAGTGGGTGAGCGCACCATGCACAAGCCGAAGCAGGGCGAGGCACTGCCTCACTTGGGAAGTGCAAGGGGTCAGGGAGCTCCCTTTCCAAGTCAAAGAAAGGGGTGACGGACGCACCTGGAAAACCGGGTCACTCCCACCCGAATATTGCGCTTTTCGGACTGGCTTAAAAAACAGCGCACCACGACATTATATCCCGCACCTGGCTCGGAGGGTCCTACTCCCACGGAGTCTCACTGATTGCTAGCACAGCAGTCTGAGATCAAACTGCAAGGCGGCAGCGAGGCTCGGGGAGGGGCGTCCGCCATTGCCCAGGCTTGCTTAGGTAAACAAAGCAGCTGGGAAGCTCCAACTGGGTGGAGCCCACCACAGCTCAAGGAGGCCTGCCTGCCTCTGTAGGCTCCACCTCTGGGGGCAGGGCACAGACAAACAAAAAGACAGCAGTAACCTCTGCAGACTTAAATGTCCCTGTCTGACAGCTTTGAAGAGAGCAGTGGTTCTCCCAGTATGCAGCTGGAGATCTGAGAAGGTGCACACTGCCTCCTCAAGTGGGTGCCTGACCCCTGACCCCCGAGCAGCCTAACTGGGAGGCACCCCCCAGCAGGGGCACACTGACACCTCACACAGCAGGGTATTCCAACAGACCTGCAGCTGAGGGTCCTCTCTGTTAGAAGGAAAACTAACAAACAGAAAGGACATCCACACCAAAAACACATCTGTACATCACCATCATCAAAGACCAAAAGTAGATAAAACCACAAAGGTGGGGAAAAGTTTCATTCAGCAGTTTGGAATCCCTGTAATTGTGGAATCTCTGAAGGGATATTTGGGAACGAATTGAGGCATATGGTGAAAAAGAAAATACCATCAGATAAAAACTAGAAAGAAGCCCTCTGAGAAACTTCTTTATTTTGTGTGCATACATCTCACTGAGTTAAACCTTTCTTTTGATTCAGCAGTTTAGAAACACTGTTTCTGTCCATTCTGTGAATGGAGATTTTTAAGTGCATTGAGGTCTATGGTGAAAAAGAAAATAGCTTTTGATAAAAATTAGAAAGAAGGTTTCTGAGAAACTGATATTTGATGTGTGCATTCACTTCATATAGTTAAACCTTTCTTTGTATTCAGCAGTTGGAAAACACTGTTTTTGTAGAATCTATGAAGGGATATTTGGGAGCTCATTGAGGCCAATGGTGACAAAGAGAAAATCGCAAGGTAAAAACTAGAAAGAAGCTATCTGTGAACTGTGTTTTCAAACTGTTGAATGAAGAGAAAGGTATAACTCTGCGAGATGAATGCATACATCACAAAGCAGTTTCTCACATGCCTTTCTTTCAGTTTTTATCCTGGGATATTTGCTTTTCCTCAATTGGCCTCCAAGAGCTCCCAAATGTCGATTTGCAGAAATGAAAAAACAGTTTTTCCAAACTACTTAATCAAAAGAAAGGTTTAACAGTGCGAGATGATTGCACACATAACACAGTGGTTTATCAGATAGCTTCCTTCTGGTTTTTATCCTGGGATATTCACTTTTTCGCCATTGGCCTCAATGAGCTCTAAATTGTCCATCTGTAGAAAGGACAATAACAGTGTTTCCAAACTGCTGAATCAAAAGAAGGGATTAACTCTGTGAGATGAATGCAAGCATCATAAACCAGTTTCTCAGAAAGCTTTTTTCTAGTTTTTATCTGAAGATATTTTATTTTCCACCATAGGCCCCAAAGCGCTGCCAAATATCCTTTTGCAGATTCTACAAGAACAGTGTTTCCAAACTGCTGAATGAAAAGGAAGGTTTAACTCTGTGAGATGAATGCACACATCACAAAGAATTTTCTTAGATATCTTCCTTCTAGTTTTAATCCTGGGGTATTTGCTTTTTCACCTTTGGCCACAAGGAGCTCCCAAATGTCCTTTTGCAGAATGGACAAAAGCGGTGTTTCCAAACTGCTGAATCAAAAGAAAGGTTTAACTCTGTGAGATGATTGCACACATAACAAAGCGGTTTATCAGATAGCTTCCTTCTACTTTTTATCCTGGGCATTCACTTTTTAGCCATTGGCCTCAATGAGCTCCAAAATGTCCATTCAGAGTGTTTACAAACTGCTGAATCAAAAGAAAGGTTTAACTCTGTGAGATGAATTCACATATCACAAAGCAGTTTCTCGGAAAGCTTCTTTCCATGTTTTATCTGAAGATATTTTCTTTTTCACCATAGGTCTCAATGCCCCCCAATATCCCTTGGCAGATTCCAGGACAACAGTGTTTCCAAACTACTCAATGAAAAAGAAAGGTTTAACTCTGTGAGATGGATGCACACATCACAAAGCCGTTTCTCAGATAGCTTCCTTCTATTTTTTACACTGCAATATTCCCTTTTCACCATTTGCCTCAATCAGCTCCCAAATGTCCATTTGCAGAATGGAAAAAAACAACGTTTCCAAACTGCTGAATCAAATGAAAGGTTCAACTCTGTGAGATGAATGCACACATCACAAAGCAGTTTCACAGAAAGCTTCTTTCTAGTTTTTATCTGAAGTTATTTTCTTTTTCACCATGGACCTCAATACGCTCCCAAATATCCCTTTGCAGATTCTACAAAAACAGAGTTTCAAACTACCGAATGAAAACAAAGTTTTAACTCTGTGAGATGAATCCACACATCACAAAGCAATTTTTTCAGATTGATTCCTTCCAGTTTTTATCCTGGGATATTCCCTTTTTCACCACTGGCATCAATGAATTCCAAAAGGACTATTTGCAGAATAACAATAAAAAAAAACAGTGTTTCCAAACTCTTGAATCAAAAGAAAGTTTTAACTCTGTGAGATGAATGTACACATCACAAAGCACTTTCTCAGAAAGCTTCTTTCTACATTTTATCTAAAGTTATTTTGTTTGTTACCATAGGTCTCAATGCGCTCTCAAGTATCCCTTCACAAATTCAAAAAAAACAGTGTTTCCAAACTGCTGAATGAAAAGAAAGTTTTAACTCTGCAAGATGAATGCACATATCACAAAACAGTGTCTCAGATATCTTCCTTCTAGTTTTTATCCTGGGATATTTCCTTTTTTGCCTTTGGGCTCAAAGAGCTCCCAAATGTCATTTCGCAGAATGGACAAAAACAGTGTTTCCTATCTGCTGTATCAAAGGAAATGTTCAACTCTGTGAGATGAATGCACACATCACAAAGCAGTTTCTCAGAAAGCTTCTTTCTTGTTTTTATCTGAAGATATTTTCTTTTTCACCATAGGTCTGAATGCACTCTGAAAAGGCCATTAGCAGAATGGACAAAAGGTGTGTTTCCAAACTGTTGAATCAAAAGAAACGTTTAACTCTTTGAGATGAATGCCCACATCACAAAGCGGTTTACCAGATAGCTTCCTTCTAGTTTTTATCCTGGGATATTCCCTTTTCTGCCATTGGCCTCAATAAGCTCCCAAACGTCCATTTACAAAATGGACAAAAACAGTGTTTCTAAACTGTTGAAACAAAAGAATGGTTTAACTCTGTGAGATGAATGCACACATCACAAAGCAACTTCTCAAAGCTTCCTTCTAGATTTCATCTGAAGATATTTTCTTTTTCACTGTAAGCCTGAATGCACTCCCAAATATCATTTCTCAGATTCTGCAAAGGTGTGTTTGCAAACTGCTGAATAATAAGAAAGTTTTAACTATGTGAGTTGAATGAACACATCACAAAGCAGTTTCTCAGAAAGCTTCATTCTACTTTTTATCAGTAGATATTTGTTTTTCACAATATGCCTCAATGCACTCTGAAATGTCCAATCGCAGAATGTACAATAACAGTGTTTCCAAACTCTTCAATCAAAAGAAAGTTTTAACTGGGTGAAATGAATGCCCATATCACAAAGTGGTTTCTCAGATAGCTTCCTTCTACTTTATATTTTGGGATATTGGCTTTTTTGCCATTTTCCTCAGTGAGCTCTGAAATATGCATTTGGAGATTGTACAAAAACTGTGTTTCCAAACTGCTGAATGAAAAAAAAAAAAAGGTTTAACAACATGAGATGAATGTGCACATCACAAAGCAGCTTCTCAGATAGTCTCCTTCTAGTTTTTATCCTGGGATATTCACTTTTTCACCTTTGATCTTAATGAGCTCCCAAATGTCCATTTGCAGACTGGACAAAAACAGTGTTTCCAGACTGCTGAAACAAAAAAAAAAAGTTTAAATCTGTGAGATGAATGCATACATCAAAAAGCAGTTTCTCAGAAAGCTTATTTCTATTTTTTATCAGAAGATATTTTCTTTTACACCATAGGCCTCAATGCACTACAAAATGTCCATACACAGATCGTGCAAAAAACAATGTTTCCAAACTGCTGAATCAAGAGAAAGGCTTAATTCTGTGAGATGAATGCAAAAATCACAAAGCGGTTTCTCAGATAGTTTCCTTTTAGTTTTTCTCTTGGGATAGTCACTTTTCCACCAATGGCCTCAAAGAGCTCCCAAAAATCCATTCGCACAATGGACAAAAGCATTGTTTCCATTATGCTGATTCAAACAAAAGTTTAACACTGTGAGATGAATGCACACATCACAAAGCAGTTTCTCAGATAGCTTTCTTCTAGCTTTTATGCTGGGATATATGCTTTTTCACCTTTGGTCTCAATGAACTCTGAAATGTCCAGTTGCAGAATGAACAAAAACAGTGTTTCCAAACTGCAGAAACAAAAGAAAGTTTTAAGTCTGTGAGATGAATGCACACATCACAAAGCAGGTTATCAGAAACCTTCTTTCTATTTTTTATCTGAAGATATTTTCATTTTCACCATAGGCCTCAATGCACTCCCAAATATCCCTTCGTAGATTCTACAAAAACAGTGTTTTCAAACTGCTGAATACAAAGAAAGGTTTAACTATATGAAGTGAATGCACACATCAAATATCAGTTTTTCAGAAACCTTCTTTCTAATTTTTATCAAAAGCTATTTTCTTTTTCACCATAGACCTCAATGCACTTAAAAATCTCCATTCACAGAATGGACAGAAACAGTGTTTCTAAACTGCTGAATCAAAAGAAAGGTTTAACTCAGTGAGATGTATGCACACAAAATAAAGAAGTTTCTCAGAGAGCTTCTTTCTAGTTATTGGATGGTATTTTCTTTTTCATCATATGCCTCAATTCACTCCCAAATATCCCTTCAGAGATTCCACAATTACAGGGATTCCAAACTGCTGAATGAAAAGAAAGGTTTAACTCTGCCAGATAAATGCACACATCACAAAACTGTTTCTCAGATAGCTTCCATCCAGTTTTATTTCTGGGATATTCACTTTTTTGCCTTTGGCCTCAATGAGCTCCCAAATGTCCATTCTCAGACTGGAGAAAAACAGTGCTTCCAAACTGCTGAATCAAAAGAAAGGTTTAACTCTGTGAGATGGAGGCATACAGCACACAGCAGTTTCTCAGAAACTTCTTTCTAGTTTTTATCTGAAGATATTTTCTTTATCACCACAGGCCTCAAAGCACTCCCAAATATCCTTTTGCAGATTCTATAAAAACAGTGTTTCCACACTGCTGAATAAAATTGAAGGTTTAATTACGTGAGGTGAATGCACACATCTCAAAGCAGTGACTCAGAGAGCTTGTTTCTAGTTTTTATCAGAAGATATTTTCTTTTTCACAATAGGCCTCAAAGCACTCCATAATGTCTATTTGCTAAATGTACAAAAAAAAGTTTCCAAACTTCTGAATCAAAGGAAAGGCTTAACTCTGTGAAGTGAACGTACACATCACAAAGCAGTTTCTCAGATAGCTTCCTTCTAGTTTTTATCATGGGACATTCCCTTTTCAACATTGGTCTCAATGAGCTCCCAAATGTCCATTTGCAGAATGTACAAAAACAGTGTTTCCAAACTGCTGAATCAAAAGAAATGTTTAACTCTTCGAGATGAATGCACAGATCACAAATTGGTTTCTCATCAAGTTTCTTCCTAGTTTTTAGCTAACCATATTTCATTTTTCACCGCAGGCCTCAATACACTCCGAAATGTCCATTTGCAGAATGTACAAAAACAGTGTTTCCAAATTGCTGAACCACAAGAAGGGTTTAACTCAGTGAGATGAATGTGCACATCACAAAGTAGTTTCTCAGATAGCTTCCTTTTACTTTTACTCTAGGGATATTCCCTTTTTCACCAATGGCCACAATGAGCTCCCAAATATTCATTCACAGAATGGACAGAAACAGTGTTTCCAAATTGCTGAATCAAAAGAAAAGTTTAATTCTGCAAAATGAAGGCACACTTCACAAAGCAGTTTCTCAGACAGCATCCTTCTAGTTTGTGTCTCGGGATTTTCTCTTTTTCGCTTTTGGCCACAATGAGCTCCCACATTATCCCATCACAGATTCTACAAAAACAGTGTTTCCAAACTGCTGAATGAAAAGGTTTAACTCGGTGAGATGAATGCACACATGACAAAGCAGTTTCTCACATAGCTTACTTCTAGTTTTTATACTGGGACATTTGCTTTTTCATCATTGGCCTCAATGAGCTCCCAAATGTCCATTCGTAGAATGGGCAAAAACAGTGTTTCCAAATTGCTGAATCAAATGAAAGCTTTAACTCTATGAGATGAATGTACACATCACAAAGAAGTTTCTCAGAAAACTTCATTCTAGTTTTTATCTGAAGATATGTTCTTTTTCAGCACACGCCTCAATGCACTCCAAAATGTCCCTCCACAGATTCTACAAAAGGAAGGTTTCCAAACTACAGAATAAAGAAAGGTTTACCTATGTGATTTGAATGCACACATAACATGCAATTTCTCAGAAAGAATCTTTCTAGTTTTAATCGGAAGGTATTTTCTTTATCACCATAGGCCTCAATGCACTCCCAAATGTCCATTTACAGAATGGACAAAAACAGTGTTTCCAAACTCCAGAATCAAAAGAAGGGTTTAACTCTGGGAGATGAATGCACATATGACAAAGTGGTTTCTCTGATAGCTTCCTTGCATTTTTTAATCCTGGGATATTCACTTTTACACCATTGGTCTCAATAAGCTCCCAAATGTCCTTTCACAGAATGGACAAAAACGTTGCTTCAAAACTGCTGAATCAAAAGAAAAGTTTAACTCAGTCAGATGAATGCACACAGAACAAAGCAAGTTTTCAGAAAGCTTCTTTCTAGTTTTTATCAGAAGATATTTTCATTTTCATCAAAGGCCTCACTGCACTCCCAAATATCCCTTTACAGATTCTACAAAAACAGTGTTTCTAAAATGATGAATGAGAAGAAATATTTACCTATGTGAGATAAATGCACACATTAGAAAGCAATTTCTTTCAAAGTTCTCTCTAGTTTTAATCAAAAGATATTTTCTTTTTCACCATAGGCCTCATAAGTTCCCAAATGTCCATTTGCACATACTACAAAATCAGTTCTTCCAAAATGCTGAATCTAAAGAAAGGTTTAACTCGATGAGACAAATGCACACATCACAAAAAGGTTTCTCAGATAGCTTCATTTTAGTTTTAATTCTGAGATACTTGCTTTTTTGCCATTGGTCTCAATGAGCTCCTGAATGTCAATTCACAGAATGGACAAAAACATTGTTTCCAAACTGCTGAATTAAAAGAAAGGTTTAACACTGTGAGATGAATGAGCACATCACAAAGGAGTTTCTCAGAAAGCTTCTTAGTAATTTTTATCAGAAGATATTTTCTTTTTCACCATAGGCCTCAAAGCACTGCCAAATATCAATGAGCAGAATGGACAAAAACATTGTTTCCAAACTGCTAAGCCAGAAGAAGGGTTTACCTCTGAGAGATGAATGCACTTATCATAAAGCAGTTTCTCAGATAGCTTCCTTCAAGTTTTTATCCTTGGACATTTGTTTTTTTTCATTGGCCTCAATGAGCTCCCAAATGCCCATTCACAGATGGAAAAAAAAACAGTGTTTCCAAACTTTTGAATCAAAAGAACGGTTTAACTATGTAACATGAATGCACATATCACTAAGCGGTTTCTTGGAAAGCTTATTTGTAGTTTTTATCTGAACATATTTTTGCACCATAGGCCTTATTTGGCTTCCAAATACCCCCTTTACAACTTCTCCAAAAAGAGTGTTTCCAACCTGTTGAATCAAAAGAAATGTTTTTCTCCATGAGATGAATCCACACATCAGACAGCAGTTTCACAGAAAACTTCTTTCTAGTTTTTATATGGGCATATTCTGTTATTCCCCTTAGGCCATGATGGGCTTTCAATTGTCCCTTTGCACATTCTCCAAAGAGGAGTGTTTCCAAATTGTTGAAACAAAAGAAAGGTTTAAGTCTGTGAGATGAATCCACAGATTACAAAGCTGTTTTAGAAATAGCTCTTTTCTATTTTTATCTGAAGATATTCGGTTTTGATTCATAGGCCTCAATGGACTTTCAGTTGTCCCTTCACAGATTCTACAGAAAGAGTGTTTCCAGCACACTCAATCAACAGAAAGGTACAATTCTATGAGATTCATCCACACATCACACAGCATATCCACAGGCAGCTTCTTTCTAGTTCTTATCTTGGGGTATTGGGTTTTTCCCCATAGGCCTCAGTGGGCTCCCAAATGTCCCTTTGTAGATCCTCCAAAAGAGTATTTTCCACCTGCTGAATCAACAGAAATGTTTAACTCTGTGAGATAAATCCACACATTACAACACAGTTTCACCGATTGATCCTTTCTTGTTTTTCTCTGGGGATTTTCAGTTTTTCCCCATAGGCCTCAATGGGCTCTAAAATGTCAATTCACAGATTCTCCAAAAAAAGTGTTTAGAACTTTCTGAATCAAAAGAAAGGTTTAATTCTGTGAGATGAATCCACTCACCACAAAGCAGTTTTAAAGATGGCTTCTTTCTTGTTTTTATCTAACAATATTCATTTCTTTCCCCATAGGCCTCAATAGACTTACTAATATCCCTTTACTGATTATCAAAAAAAGTGTTTCCAACCTACTGAATCAAAAGAGTGGCTTAACTCTGTTAGACGAATCCACAAATCCCAAAACGGTTTCACAGATAGGTTTCTTTCTTGTTCTTATCTGGGGATATTCAATTTTTTCCCTAGGACTCAATAGGCTCCCTAATGACCCTTCATAGATTCTCCAAAAAGAGTGTTTCCAAACTGTTGTGTCAAAAGAAAGTTTCAAAAATTTTAGATGAATTCACACATCACAAAGCAGTGTCACAGACAGATTCCATTTTTCATCTGGGGATATTCCGTTTTTCCCATAGGACTCAATGGGCTCTGAAATGTCCCTTTGCAGATTTGTAAACCAGAGTGTTTTCAACCTGCTGAATCAAAACGAAAGTTTAACTCTGTGAGATGAATCCACACATCACAAAGGAGTTTCACCAATAGATTCTTTCTAGTTTTTTTCTGGGGATATCCGTTTTCATCCTTAGGCCACAGTTAGCTCCCAAATGTACCATCACAGATTCTCCAAAATTGTGTTTCCAATATGCAGTATGAAAAACAAAGCTTATCTCTAACATTTAAGTCTTTAATCCTTCTTAAATTTATTTTTCATAAGGTGTAAGGAAGGGATCCTGTTTCAGCTTTCTACATATGGCTAGCCAGTTTTCCCAGCACCATTTATTAAATAGGGAATCCCTTCCCCATTTCTTGTTTTTGTCAGGTTTGTCAAAGATCAGATGGTTGTACATATGCGGCATTATTTCTCAGGGCTCTGTTCTGCTCCATTGGTCTATATCTCTGTTTTGGTACCAGTACCATGCTGTTCTGGTTACTGTAGCCTTGTAGTATAGTTTGAAGTCAGGTTGCATGATGCCTCCAGCTTTGTTCTTTTGGCTATGGATTGACTTGGCAATGTGGGCTCTTTATTGGTTCCATGTGAACTTTAAAGTAGTTTTTTCCAATTCCGTGAAGAAAGTCATTGGTAGCTTGATGGGGTTGGCACTGAATCTATAAATTACCTTCAGCAGTATGGCCATTTTCAAAATATTGATTCTTCCCACCCATAAGCATGGAATGTTCTTCCATTTGTTTGTATCCTCTCTTATTTCATTGAGCAGTAGTTTGTAGTTCTCCTTGAAGAGTTCCTTCAAATCCCTTGTAAGTTAGATTCCTAGGTATTTTATTCTCTGTGAAGCAATTGTTAGACCTAAAACCATAAAAACCCTAGAAGAAAACCTAGGCAATACCATTCAGGATATAGGCATGGGCAAGGACTTCATGTCTAAAACAATAAAAGCAATGACAACAAAAGCCAAAACTGACAAATGGGATCTAATTAAACTAAAGAGCTTCTGCACAGCAAAATAAACTACCATTAGAGTGAACAGGCAACCTACAGAATGGGAGAAAATTTTTGCAATCTACTCATCTGACAAAGGGCTAATATCCAGAATCTACAATGAACTTAAACAAATTTACAAGAAAAAAACAAACCCCATTAACAAGTGGGTGAAGGATATGAACAGACACTTCTCAAAAGAAGACATGTATGCAGCCAAAAGACACATGAAAAATGCTCATCATCACTGGCCATCAGAGAAATGCAAATCAAAACCACAATGAGATACCATCTCACACCAGTTAGAATGGCAATCATTAAAAAGTCGGGAAACAACAGATGCTGGAGAGGTTGTGGAGAAATAGGAACACTTTTACACTGTTGGAGGGACTGCAAACGATTTCAACCATTGTGGAAGTCAGTGTGGCGATTCCTCAGGGATCTAGAACTAGAAATACCATTTGACCCAGCCATCCCATTACTGGGTATATACCCAAAGGATTATAAATCATGCTGCTATAAAGACACATGCACACGTATGTTTATTGCAACACTGTTCACAATAGCAAAGACTTGGAACCAAGCCCAATGTCCAATAATGATAGACTGGATTAAGAAAATGTGGCACATATACACCATGGAATACTATGCAGCCATAAAAAATGATAAGTTCATTCTCCTTTGCAGGGACATGGATGAAGCTGGAAACCACCATTCTCAGCAAACTATCACAAGGACAAAAAACCAACCACCACATGTTCTCACTCACAGGTGAGAATTGAACAACAAGAACACATGGACACAGGAAGGGGAATATCACACACAGGGGCCTATTGTGAGGTGGGGGTAGGGGGGAGGGATAGCATTAGGAGATATACCTAATGTTAAATGACGAATTAATGGGTGCAGCACACCAACATGGCACATGTGTACATATGTAACTAACCTGCACATTGTGCACATGTACCCTAAGACTTAAAGTATAAGAAAAAAAAAAAAAGAAAAGCTTATCTCTGTGAGATGAATCCACATATTGTAAAGCAGTTTCACAGATAGCTTCTTTCTAGTTTTTAATCTGGAAATACTCTGTTTTTCCCCATACTCCTCAAATGTCCCTTCACAGATTCTCCAAAAACAGTGTTTCCAACAGGGTGAGGGAAAAAAAAAAAAACGTTTAACTCTGTGCTGAATCCACATATCACAAAGCAGTTTCACAGATAGCTTCTTTCTAGTTTTCATTGGGGATTATCGCTTTTTCCCCAGAGGCCTCATTGGGCTCCCTTATGTCCCTTTGCAGAATCTCCAGAAAGTGTTTCCAACTTGCTGAATCAAAAGAAATATCTAACTTTGTGAGACAAATCTACACATCACAAAGCGGTTTCAGAGATAGCTCATTTCTGTTGTTTTCCTGGGGACATTCAATTTTTCCACATAGACTTAATCAGCTCCCAAATATCCCTTTGCAGATTCTCCAATAATGTGTTTCCAACCTGCTGAATCAAAAGAAAGGTTTAACTCTGTGACTTGAATGCACATATCACAAGCCAGTTTCACAGATAGCTTCCTTCTAGTTTTTATCTGGAGATTTTCTGTTTTTACCATAGGCCTCAAAGGGCTTTTAAACATCCCTTTGCAGATTCTCAGAAAGAGTGTTTTCAACCTACTGAATCCTAAGAAAGTTTAAGTCTGTGAGTTGCATCCACCCATCACGAGTAGGTTCACAGAAAGCTTCTTTCTTGTTTTGATCTGGGGATATTTGTTTTTTCCCCATAGTCCTCAATTGGATTCCAAATATCCCTTCACAGATGCTTCAAAAAGAGTGTTTCCAACCTGCTGAATCAAAAGAAAAGTTTAACTCTCTGAGATGAAGCCACACATCCAAAATCAGTTTCACAGATAGCTTCTTTCTAGTTTTTATCTGGCCATATTCAGTTTTTCATCATAGGCCTCAATGTGCTCCCAAATTTCCCTTCACAGATTTTCCAAAAAGAGTGTTTGCAACCTGCTGATTCAAAAGGAAGGTTTAACTCTGGGAGCTGAATCCACACATCATGAAGCAGTTTCAGAGATAGCTTCTTTCTAGTTTTTATCTGAGGATATTTGATTTTTCTCCATAGGCCTCAAAGGGCTCCCAAATGTCCCTTCATAGATTTCCAAAAACAGTGGTTCCAACTTGCTGACTCAAAACAAACTTTTAACTCTGTGAGATAAATCCACACATTACAAAGCAGCTTATCAGATAGCTTCTTTCTAGTTTTTATCTTTGGATATTCCGTTTTTCCCCATAGGCCTCTTTAGGCTTCCAAACCTCCCTTCCCAGGTTCTCCAAAAAGAGTGTTTACAACATGCTGAATCAAAATAAAGGTTTGACTCTGTGAGATGAATCCACACACCAGAAAGCTGTTTCAAAGAATTTGTCTTTGTTCTTTTTATCTGGAGATATTCTGTTTCACCCAAGAGGCCACAATGGGCTACAAAATATCCCTTCACAGATTCTCCACAAAGACTGTTGCCAACCTGTTGGACCAACAGAAATGTTTAGTTCTGTGTGATAAATCCATGCATCAAAAAGCAGTTTCACAAATAGCTTCTCTTCTTTTTTTGTTTGGGGATATTCAATTTTGACACATCAGCCTTATTGGGCTCCTAAATGGCCTATTGCAGGTTCTGCAGTAACAGTGTTTCCAACCTACTGAATCAAAATAAACGTTTAACACTGTAAGATAAAACCACATATTACAAGGCAGTTTCAAAGATAGCCTTTTTCTGTTTTTTTTTTTTTTTTTTTTCTGGGGATATTTGCTTATTTCACATAGACTTCAGTGGGCTCCCAAATGTCCCTTAAGATCTTACAAAAAGAGTGTTTCAAACCTGCTGAATCAAAACAAAGGTTTTATTTGGTGAGATGAGTCCTCACATGACAAAGCAGTTTCACAGATAGCTTCTTTCTAGTTTTAATCTGTGGATTTTTTTTTTTTTGCCTTTGGCCTAAAATGGCTCACAAATGTCCCTTCACAGATTCCCCAAAAAGAGTGTTTCCAACCTGCTGAATCAAAAGAAAGTTTTAACTCTGGGAGATGAATCCACATATCCCAAAGCAGTTTCAGAGATAGCTTCTTTCTAGTGTTTATGTGAAGAAATTTGATGTTTCCACATAGGCTTCAAAGGGCTCCCAAACGTTTCAGTGTTTCCAATCCGTTGAATCAAAAGAAATATTTAAATCACTTGGATGAATCTACCCATCAAAAAGCAGTTTCACATATACCTTCTATCTAGTTTTTATGTGGGGATATTCGATTTTTCCACAAGGCCTAAATGGGCCTCAAAACATCATGTTGCAGATTCTCCAAAAACAGTGTTTCCAACCTGCTGATTAAAAACAAAGGCTTAACTCCGTGAGTTGAATCCACACATCACAAGGAAGTGATATCTTCTTTCTTGATTTTATCTGATGATATTCAGTTGTTCCCCATTCACATCAATTGACTACCAAATGTCCCTTCGCAGATTCTCCAAAAATAGGGTTTTTAACCTACTGAATTAAAGGAAAGGTTTTACTCTGTGAGGCGAATCCACACATGACAAAGCAGTTTCACAGATAGCTTCTTTCTAGTTTTTATCTGCGGACATTCTGTTTTTCCCCATAGGCCTCAATGGGCTCTGAAATGTCCCTTCACAGATACTACAAAAAAAGTGTTTCTGATCTGCTGAATCAAAAGAAAGGTTTAACACTGTGAGATGAATTCATACCTCACAAAGGAGTTTCATAGATAGCTTCTTTCTAGTTTTTATCTGTCGATATTTGCTTTTTCCCCTTAGATGAAAATGGGCTTCAAATTTCACTTTGCAGACCCTACAAAAATAGTATTTCCAATCTTCTGAATCAAAACAAAGGTTTAACACTGTGAGATGAATCCACACATCACAAAGGAGTTTCAAAGATAGCTTCTTTCTAGTTTTTATCTGGATATTAGTTTTCTCCCCATAGACCTCAATGAGCTCCTAAATGTCTCTTTGCAGATTCTACAAAGAGTGTTTCCAACCTACTGTAGAAAAGAAAGATTTAACTTTGTAAGATGAATCCACACATGACAAAACTGTTTCACAGATAGCTTCTTTCTAGTTTATATCTGGGGATATTTGACTTTTCCACTAGATTTCAATGGGCTCCTAAATGTCCCTTTGTAGATTTTCCCAAAAGAGTATTTCAAACCTTTTGAATAAAATGAAAGGTTTAACTCTGTGAGATGAATGCACACCTCAAAAAGCAGTTTCAAAGATAGCTTTTTTTCTAGCTTTTATCTGGGGATATTCTGTTTTTCCCCATAGGCCTCCATTGGCTACCAAATGTCCCTTCATAGATTCTACAAAAAAAGTGTTTTCAACCTGCTGAATAAAAAGAACATTTTAACTCTGTGAGATAAATCCACACATCACAAAGCAGTTTCACAGATAGCTTCTTTCTAGTTTTTACCTGTGGGTATTTCATTTTTCTGCCTAGGCCTCAACTGGACTCCAAAATGTCCCTTCGCAAATACTACAAAAACAGTGTTTCCAAACTGGTGAATCAAAAGAGAGGTTTAACTCTGTGTGATGAACCCACACTCCAAAAGCAGTTTCACAGATAGCTTATTTCTAGATTTTATCTGGAGATATTCAATTTTTCCCCATAGGCCTTATTGGGCTCCAAAATGTCCATTGGCAGATTCCACAAAAAGTGTGTTTCCAACATGCTGAATCAAAAGAAAGCTTTACCTGTGTGAAATGAGTCCACACATCACAAAGAAGTTTCAAAGATACATTCTTTCTAGTTTTTATCTTTGGATATTCTGTTTTTCCTTATAGGGCTCCATGGGCTCCCAAATGTCTCTTTGCAGTTTCTCCAAAAAGAGTTTTTCCAACTTGCTCAATCGAAATAAAGCTGTAACTCTGCGAGATGAATCCACACATCACATAGCATTTTCACAAATTGCTTCTTTCTAGTTTATATCTGAGGATATTGGATTTTTCCCTGTAGGCCTCAATGGGCTCTAAATTGTTCCTTTGCAGATTCTCCAAAAGGAGCTTTTCCAACCTGCTGAATCAAGAGAAAGTTTTAACTCTGTGAGATGAATCCACACATCAAAAAGCAGTTTCACAGATAGACTTATTTTCGTTTTTTTCTTGGGATATTAGATTTTCACCCATAGGTTATAAAGGGCTCCCAAATATCTCTTTGCAGATTCTCCAAAAGGAGTGTTTCCAACCTGCTAAGACAAAAGAAAAATTGAACTCTGTGAGATAAATCCACACATCCCAAAGTAGATCACAGATAACTTCTTTCTAGTTTTTATATGGGCATATTCAGTTTTTCCCCATATGCCTCAATGTGCTCCCAGATGTGTTCCACACACCACAAAGCAGTTTCACAGATAGCTTCTTTGTTCTTTTTACCTAAGGATATTCAGTTTTGCTTCATAGGCCTCAAAGGGCTCCCAAATGTCCCTTTGCAGATCCTTCAAAAAAAGTGTTTCCAATATGCAGAATCAAATGCAGGTTTAGCTCTGTGAGATGAATCCACACATCTCAAAGCAGTTTTACACATTGTTTTTTTCTAGTTTTCATCTGAGGATATTCTTTTCTTCCTCTAGGCCTCTATATGCTCAAAAATGTTCCCTCACAGATTCTACAAAAAGTGTTTTTCCAACCTGCTGAATCAAAGGAAAGGCTTAACTCTATGAGATAAATCCATGCATTACAAAGCAGTTTCACAGAGATGTTCTTTCTAGTTTTTATTTTGGGATATTCAGTTTTCCCTTATAGGCCCCAAAAAGGTCCCAAATGTTTCATCAGAGATTCTAGAGTGTTTGAAACCTGCAGAATCAAGAGAAAAGTTTAACTCTGTAAGATGAATCCACGCGTCACAAAGCAGTTTCACAGATAGCTTATTTCTAGTTTTTATCTGGGGATATACATTTTTTAAGTCATCAATAATCTCTCAGTTGTCCCCTTGAAGATTCTCCAAAAGGAGGGTTTTCAACCTGCTGAATCAAGAAAACAGTTTATCTCTGTGAGATAAATTCACAAATCACAAAACAGTTTCACAGATAGCTTTTTTTTTTTTTAGTTTTTATCTGCAGATATTCGTTTTTTTCCCCATAGGCCTCAATGGGCTCCGAAATGTCCCTTTGCAGATTCACCAAAAAGAGTACTTCCAACCAGCTGAATCAAAAGCAAGGATTAACTCTGTGAGATGAATTTAGATGAAAAAAAATTTCACAGATAGCTCCTTTCTAGTTTTTATCTGGGGATATTCGGTTTTTCCCCCATAGGCCTTATGGGCTCCCAAATGTCCCATAACAGATTCTCCAAAAAGAGTGTTTCCAACTGGCTGAATCAACAGAAATGTTTAACTCTGTGGGATGAATCCACATATCACAAGACAACTTCACAGTTAACGTCTCTCTAGTTTATGTCTGGTATATTAATTTTTTTCCCATAGGCCTCAATGAGCTCCAAAATGTCTTTTTGCAGATCCTACAAAAAGAATTTTTCCAACATACTGCCTGAAAAGAAAGATTTAGCTCTGTGAGATGAATCTACACCTCATAAAGCATTTCACTGATAGCTTCTTTATAGTTTTTATCTGGATATATTAAGTTTTTCCTTATAAGCCTCAAAGGTGTCACAAATGTCCTTTCACATATCCTAAAAAAAGAGTGTTCTCAAACTTATGGATTAAAAGAAAGTTTCAACTCTGTGAGATGAATCCAAACCTCACAAACCAGTTTCACAGATAGAATCTTCCTAATTTTTATCTGGGATATTCAATTTTTCTTCATAGGCCACAATGGGCTACAAAATGTCCTCTTGCAGATTGTCCAAAAAGAGCGTTTCCAACCTGCTGAAAAAAAAACCTTTAACTCTGTGAGATGAATCCACGCATCACAAAGCAATTTCAAAAATAACTTCTCTCTAGTTTTTATCTGGGGTTATTCTCTTTTACACCTTAGACCTCAATGGGTTCCCAAATGTCTTTTCTTAGATTTTACAAAAAGAGTGTTTCCAACCTGCAGAATCAAGAGAAAGGTTTATCTTTGTGAGATAAATCCACACATAATAAAACAGTTTCACGGATACCTTCTTTCTGGTTTTTATCTATGGATATTTGGTTTTTCCCTTTCTGCCTCAATTGGCTTCAAAATGTTGCTTTGCAAATTCTCCAAAAAGATTTTCCAACATGCTGAATCAAAAGAATAATTTAACTCTGTGAGTAGAGTCCACACATCAAAAACCAGTTTCACAAAGATTCTTTCTACTTTTTTTCTGGGGATATTTGGATTTTTTCTGTAGGCCTCAACTGGCTCACAAATGTCCCTTTGCAGATTCTCCAAAACGAGTGTTTATAACCTGCTGAATAAAAAGGATGATTTAACTCTGTGAGATGAATCCACACATTACAAAGCAGTTTTGCAGCTAGCTTTTTTCTAATTTATTTTTTCTGGGGATACTCATTTTCTTCCCATGGGCTTCAATGGGCTCCCAAATGTGCATTCCCAGAGTCCCCAAAAAGAGTGTTTCCACCATGCTAAATAAAAAGAAAGGTTTAATTCTGTGAGAGGAATCAACACATCAAAAAGCAGTTTCACAGATAGTTTCTTTCCGCTTTGTATCTGGGGATATTTGATTTTTCCCCTCAGGCCCTTGTGGGCTCACAGATTTTCTGAAAAGAGTGTTTCCAATCTGCTGAATCAAAAAAAAGTTTAACTTTGTGAGATGAATCCACTCATTATGAAGCAGTTGCTCAAATAGCTTCTTCTAGTTTTATTCATGGACTATTCTGTTTTGCACCATAGGCCTCTAAGGGCTTCAAAATGTCCCTTCTCAGATACTGCAAAAAGAGTGTTTCAAACCTGCTGAATCAAAACAAAGATTTAACTCTGTGAGATGACTCCAGACATCCCAATGCAGTTTCACAGATTGCTTCTAGTTTTTATTGGGGGATATTCAATTTACCACCTAGGCCTCAATAAGCTCTCAAATGTCCCTTTGCTGATTCTCCAAAAGAAATGTTTCCATGCTGCTGAATCAAGACAAAAATTTAAATCTGTGCAAAGAATCCACACATCACAAAGCAGTTTCACAGATAGCTTCTTTGTAGTTTTTATCTGGGGACATTCTGTTTTTCCCCCAAGGCCTCAATGGGTTTTGAAATATCATTTTGCAGATACTTTGAAAAGAGTGTTTCCAACCTGCTGAATGAGAGGAAATGTTTATCTCTGTGAGATGAATCCACACATCACAAAGTAGTTTCACAGATAGCTTTTTTGTAGTTTTTATGTGGGGAAATTCAATTTTTTATAGGCCCCCAAAAGCTTCCAAATGTCTCTTTGCAGACACTCCAAAACTACTGTTTAAAACCTGCTGAATCAAAAGAAAGGTTTACCTCTGTGAGATGGATCTGCACATCACAAAGCAGTTTCATAGATAGATTCTTTCTAGTTTTTATATAGGAATATTTGTTTTTTCCTGTGATCCTCAAAGCGCTCCCAAATATCACCTCACATATCCTCCAAAAGAGTGTTTCCAACCTGCTTAATCAAAATACAGTTTTAACTTTGGAAGATGAATCCATACATCACAAAGTAATTTCACAGATAGCTTCTTTCTAATTTTATCTGGGGATATTTGGTTTTTCTCCATAGACCTCAATGGGCTCCCAAATGTCCTTTCACAGATTCCCCAAAAAGAGTGTTTTCAACCTTCTGAATGAAAAGAAAGTTTTAGCTGTTTATGATGAATCCACACATCACAAACTGTTTCTCAGAAAGCTTTTTTCTAACTTTTATTGGAGATATTCAGTTTTTCGCTGTAGATTTCAATGGGCTTCAAAGTGTCCCTTTGCAGATTCTCCAAAAAAGTGTTTCCAACCTGCTGAATGAAAAGAGAGGTTTTACTCTGTGCAATGAATCCACATATCACGAAGCAGTTTCACTAGATGGCTAGTTTCTATTTGTTTTCTGGGATATTTTGCTTATTTCCATAGGCCTCAGAATGTCCCTTCACAGATTCTCCAAAAAGAGTTTTTCCAAAACACTGAATCAAAAAAACAAGTTTATGTCTGTGAGATAAATCCACACATCACCAAGCAGTTTCAAAGAGCTTTTTGCTAGTTTTTATCTGGGGGTATTCAATTTTTCTCCATAGGCCTCGAAGGGCTCCCAAATGTCTCTTCGCAGATTCTCCAAAAAGAGTGCTTCCAATCTGCAGAATCAAAAGAAAAGTTCAAGTTTCTGATATGAATCCACACATCAAAAGCAGTTTCACAGATAATTTCTTTGTAGTTTTTAACTTGGAATACTCAGTTTTTCCCCTTAGGCCTTAATATGCTCCCAAATGTCTTTTTGCAGATTCTCTAAAAAGAGGTTTTCCAACCTGCTGAATCAAAAAAAAAAAAAAAAGGTTTAACTCTGTGAGATGTATCCACACATCTCAAAGCAATTTCAGAGACAGCTGCTTTCAAGTTTTTATCTGGAGATATTCAGTTTTACCTCAATGGGCTCAATGGGCTCCCAAATATCCCTTCACAGATTCTTAAAAAGGAAAATGTGTTTCCAAGCGGCTGAATCAATAGAAAGGCTTAACTCTGTAAGATGAATCCACACATAACAAAGCAGATTCACTGATAATTTCTTTCTATTTTTTTCTGGGGTATTCAGATTTTTCCCCCTAGGACTCAATGGGCTCCAAACAGTCCCTTCACATGATTTTTCAAAAAAAGTGTTTCCAGCCTTCTAAATCAAAAGAAAGTTTTAACTCTGTGAGATGAATCCACACATCAGAAAGCAGTTTCACAGATTGCTTCCTTCTAGTTTTTTCTTGGGATATTCGGTTTTGCCCCTTAGGCCTTAATGGTCTCCAAAAGGTCTTTTTGCACATTCTGCAAAAAAGGTTTCCCAGTCTGCTGAATCATAGAACAGTTTAACTCTGTGGAATGAATCCACACTTCACAAGCAGTTTAACCGATAAGTTCTTTCTAGTTTTTAACTGGGGATATTTGGTTTTGCCATATAAGCCCTAATGGGCCCCCAAATGTCCCTTCACATAGTCTCCAAAAAGCATGTTTCCAACCTGATTAATCAAAAGAAATGTTTAACTTTGTAAGGTGAATCCACTTATCACAAAGCATTTTGACAGTTAGCTTCTATCCAGTTTTTATGTAGGGACATTTTGTTTTTCCTCATAGCCCTCCAGGAGCTCTCAAATGTCCCTTTACAGATTGTGCAAAAAGAATGTTTCCAAACTCCTGAATCAAAAGAAATGCTTAAGTTCATGAGATGAATCCACACATCACAATGCAGTTTCAGAGATAGGTTCTTTCTAGTTCTTATCTGGGAATATTCTGTTTTTTTCCTTAGGCCTTCAGGGGTTCCCAAATGTTCCTAGGCAGATTCTTCAAAAAGTGTTTTCAACAAGCTGTGTCTGAAGAAAAGTTTAATTTTGTGAGATGAATCCACATATCACAAAGCAGTTTCAGAGCTAGGTTCTGTCTAGTTTTTATCTGGGTATATTCAGTTTTTCCCCATAGCCCACAATGGACTTCTAAATATCCCTTCACAGATTACCCAAAAAGAGTGTTTCCTACCAGCTAGATCAAAAGAAAAGTTTACACTGTTAAATGAATCCCTATCTCATAAAGCAGGGATAAATCTCTGCAAAATGGGTTCTTTCTAGTTTGTATCTGGAGATATTCGTTTTTCCCTGTAGACATCAATAGGCTCTGAAATATCCCTTCGCAGATTTTCCAAAGAGTGTTTCCATCCTGCTGAATCAAAAGAAAGGTTTAACACTGTGAGATGAATCCACAATTTAAAAAGCAGTTTCACAGACAGCTTCTTTCTAGTTTTTAGCTGGGAATATTCTGTTTTCCACTGTAGGCCTCAATGGGCTACAAAATGTCCCTGTGCAGATTATCCAATGAGAGTTTTTCCAACCTTCTGAATCAAAAGAAAGGTTTAACACTGTGAGATGAATCCACTCTTAACAAAGCAGTTTCACAGACACATTCTTTCTAGAATTTATCTAACGATATTTGTTTTTTTCCCATAGGCCTCAAGAGGTTCCCAAATGTCCCTTCACAGATTCCCCAATAAGTGTTTCTAACCTGCTGAATTGAAAGGTTTAACATTGTGATATGAATCTACACAACACAAAGCAGTTTCACAAGTAGCTTCTTTCTAGTTTTTATCTGGGGATATTTTGTTTTCCCCAAATGCTTCAAAAGGGCTCCAAAATATCTTTTTGCTGATTCTTTAAAAAGAGTGTCTCCAACCTGCTGAATCAAAAGAAAGGTTTAACTCTGTGAGATGAATCCACCCATAACAAAGCCATTTCACAGATAGCTTATTTCTAGTTTTTGTTTGGGGTTATTTTGTTTTTCCCCATAGGTCTCAATGGGTTCCCAAATGTCCCTTCACAGATTCTCCAATCAGAGGCTACCCAACCTGCTGTGTCAAAAGAAAGATTCAACTCAGTGAAATGAATTGACACCTTAAAAGCAGTTTCACAGATAACTTCTTTGAAGTTTTTATCAGGATATTCTATTTTTCCCATGGGCCTCAATGGACTTCCAAATGTCCTTTCCCAGATAATCCAAAAATGGTGCTTTCAGCGTGCTGAATCCAAAGAACTGTTTAACTCTGCGAGAAGAACCCACACATCGCAAAGCAGTGTCACAGGTAGCTCCTTTCTACTTATTATCTGGGGATGTTCACTTTTTCCACATAGGCGTCAATGTGTTCCCAAATGTCCCTTCACAGTTTCTACAAAAAAAGAGGTTCCAACCTCTTGAATCAAAATAAAGTTTTACCTATGTGAGATGAATCCACACATCACAAAGCAGTTTCACAGATAGCTTGTTTTTCAATTTAATCTGGGGATATTCAGTTTTTCCCTGTAGGTCACAGTCGGCTCCCAAATATCCTTTCCCACATTCTCCAAAGAGAATGTTTCCAACCAGCTGAATCAAAAATAGGTGTACCTCTGTGATTTGAATCCACACATAACAGAACAGTTTCACAGATAGATTGTTTTCAGTTTTTATCTGGGGATATTTTGTTTCTCCCCATAGACCTCAATGGGCTCCTAAACGTCCCTTCACAGATTCTCCTAAAATAGTGGCTCCAACCAGCTGAATCAAAGGAAATGTTTAACTCAGTAAGATGAATCCACACATCACAAAGTAGTTTCACAGAAAGCTTCTTTCTAGTTTTAATCTGGGAATATTCAGTTTTTCCCCATGGGCCACAATTGGCTCCCAAATATCCCTCTGCATATTCTCTAAAAGAGTTGTTTCAAAGAGCTGAATCAAAAGAAGGGTTCAACTCTGTGATATAAATCCACACATCACAAAGCAGTTTCACAGATAGCTTTTCTCTAATTTTTATCTGGGGATATTTTGTATTTCCTGATAGGCCTCAATGACTCCAAAATGCCCCCACACTGATTCTCCAAAAAGTGTGGTTCTAACCTGCTCAATCAAAATAAAGGTTTACCTCTGTGAGATGAATCCACACATTACAAAGCAGTTTCACAGATAGCTTCTTTCTAGATTTTATCCGGGGATATGAGGTTTTCCCCACAGTTCTCATTGGGCTCTCAAAAGGTCCTTCACAGGTTCTTTTAAAAAAGTTTCTGCAACCTGCTGAATCAAAACAATGATATAACTTGGTAAGATGAATCCACATATTACAATACAATTTCACTGATAGCTTCTTTCTAGTGTTTATCTGGAGATAGCCATTGTTTTTCCATAGGCCTCAATAAGCTCCCAAATGTTTCTTCACAAATTCCCCGAAAAGAGTTTCCAACCTGCTGAATCAAAAGAAAGTTTCAATCTGTGAGATGAATGCACACATCACAAAGCAGTCTCACAGACAGTTGCTTTCTAGTTTTTATCTGGGGATAGTCTGTTTTTTGTCCTCAGGTTCCAATGGGCTCTTTATTGTCCCTTTGCAGATTCTATGAAAAGAGTGTTTCAACCTTATGAATCAAAAAATTTTAAAGGTTTAAGTCTGTGAGATGAATCCACACATCACAAAGCAGTTTCACAGAGAGCTTCTTTCTAGTTTGTATCTGGGGATATTTTATTTTTCCCCATAGGCCTTAATGGGCTCTCAAATGTCCATTTGCAGATTCTTCAAAAAACTGTTTCTCACCTGTTGAATCTAAAGAAATGTTTAACTTTGTGAGATGTATCCAAACATTAGAAAGCAGTTTCAGAGAAAGCTTTTTTCTAGTTTTTATCTTGGGATATTTGATTTTTCCCATAGGCCTCTTTGACTGGCAAAGTGTCCTCTCATGATTTCTGCAAAATAGTGTTTCCAACCTGCTGAATCAAAGAACAAATTAAACTCTGTGTGATGAATCCACGCATTGCAAAGCATTTTCACAGATAGGTTCTTTCTGGTTTTTATCTTGGGATATTCAGTTTTTCCGCTAGGCGTGTCTGGGCTCCCAAATCTCCCTTCACAGTTTTTACAAAAAGAGGGTTTCCAATCTGCTGAATCCAGGGAAATATTTAGCTTTATGAGAGGAACCCCAACATCACAAAGGAGTTTCACAGATAGCTTATTTCTAGTTTTTATCTGAGTTTATTCACTTTTCCCTCAAAAGCCTTGATGGGCTCTCAAGTGCCCCTTTGATGATTCTACAAAGAGTATTTCTGGCCTACTGAATCAAAAGAAAGTTTTCACTCTATGAGATGAATCCACATATCACAGATCAGTTTCACTGATAATTTCATTCTCGTTTTTGTCTGGGGATATTCAGTTTTTCCCTTTGGGCCTCAATGGGCTCCCAATTGTCCCTTCTCAGATTCTCCAGAAAGAGTGTTTCCCAGCTGCTGGAGCAAAAGAAAGGTTAAACTGTGTGAGGTGCTCCACATATCACAAAACAGTATCAGAGATATCTTCTTTCTAGTTTTTATCTGGAGATATTTTGTTTTCCCCATAGGCCTCAATTGGCTCCCAAATGTCCCTTTGCAGATTCTACAAAAAGTGTGTTTCCAAGAAGCTGAATCAAAAGAAAGGTTTAACTCTGTGAGATTAATCCACACATCACAAAGCAGTTTCACAATTAACTTCCTTGTAGTTTTTATCTGGGGAAATTCGCTTTTTTTGCCATAGGTCTCAATGGTCTCCCAAATGTCCCTTCACAGATACTACAAAAAGAGTCATTACAACCTGCTGAATCAAAAGAAATGTTTAATTTTATGAGATGAATGCTCACATTATGAAGCAGTTTCACATACCATTTCTTTCTTTTTTTTCTTTGAAGATTACTTTTAATGAGCTAATAATTACATTGTTGCCCAGTGTCACATTTTCTATACACACACACACACACACAAATGCACACACACACAATCTTTGGAATGGAATTTTTTTAAGACAGAGATTACTGGTTCAAAGCAGAATGCACATGCTCTTGGATCTTCTAGAAAAATAGCATCTAAAAGTACAGTAAATCTCACCCTAGCACCTCTAATACAGTCAATCTTCTCAAAGGCTGCAGTTGGAAATATCACATTCAGGTGAATTCAAACTACCGACTGTTCTATTTCAATAATAATAATAACTAATTGTGTCTCACGCCTACACATTCCTAGACATAAGGAAATTGCTTTGGAAATGTGTTCACTGGGATTCTTTAGATTACAAGGGACAGAATCACAACTTAAGCTGACCAAGGCAAAGTAGACAATTCATTGGAAAAATAACAGAATCAAACAGAATTCTGGACAGGCAAACCACAGGGAAGAAGTAGATAAAATTAAGTGTCAACAAAATTCAGGGACCTTACTCCCAATAGCCCTCTATATCTCTTGTCTATGCTTTTTTTGGTATATTGTCTTTACTCTCTCTCATTGCAGAACAGCTACCTCAACATTGTAAAAAAATAAAATAAAATTGTAGGAGCTGACAGCTCTCTAGTATCCCATCTAATAATTCCCAGAACAAGAAAAGGGAAAATTCTCGTTTTGATACAATTTGAAAATAAATGCCCTAGAAAGGGCTCTGTTGTTTAGCAAAGTTTGGGTTGGATGACCATCCCTGTACCAATCAATGTAACCAGTGGTTAAAGGATGGAGTCAAACCTTCTAATAATAGGTCTTTGTGCAAACATACAGTTTGAATGGCAGAAGAAACAAATCCCTCAGGAGGCTGGCTATTTAGATAAACCAACAGGTATTCCAAGAAGGGTGAGGTGATTTGTTCCCAAGATACAGAGTAAAAATGGCAGGTAAGAAGCTAGAATCTAAGGCTTTTTCTTCCAAAGCAAATGAATTCTTTTCTACTTCATGCAATTATTACCATCCAAAGAATCACTTCACCATTTTACGAGGTTAATCTCACCAAATTATCCTTCACATAGTAACCTTATCTGCACCTCCATGCCATCATCGATTTGGTCTTCTATACCTCTAGGCTTTCCTCTACCTCCTACTTATTCTTCTTGGTCCATGGGTCTGTTTTTTTATTATACTTTAAGTTTTAGGGTACATGTGCACATTGTGCAGGTTAGTCACATATGTATACATGTGCCATGCTGGTGCGCTGCACCCACTAACTCGTCATCTAGCATTAGGTATATCTCCCAATTCTATCCCTCCCCCTCCCCCCACCCCACAACAGTCCCCAGAGTGTGATATTCCCCTTCCTGTGTCCATGTGATCTCATTGTTCAATTCTCACCTATGAGTGAGAATATGCGGTGTTTGGTTTTTTGTTCTTGCGATAGTTTACTGAGAATGATGATTTCTAATTTCATCCATGTCCCTACAAAGGTTGAATAATGCCGCAATAAACATAAGTGTGCATTTGTCTTTATAGCAGCATGATTTATAGTCCTTTGGGTATATACCCAGTAATAGGATGGCTGGGTCAAATGGTATTTCTAGTTCTAGATCCCTGAGGAATCGCCACACTGACTTCCACAATGGTTGAACTACTTTACCGTCCCACCAACAGTGTAAAAGTGTTCCTGTTTCTCCACATCCTCTCCAGCACCGGTTGTTTCCTGACTTTTTAATGATTGCCATTCTAACTGGTGTGAGATGGTATCTCATTGTGGTTTTGATTTGCATTTCTCTGATGGCCAGTGATGATGAGCATTTTTTCATGTGTTTTTTGGCTGCATAAATGTCTTCTTTTGAGAAGTGTCTGTTCATGTCCTTCGCCCACTTTTTGATGGGGTTGTTTGTTTTTTCTTGAAAATTTGCTTGAGTTCATTGTAGATTCTGGATATTAGCCCTTTGTCAGATGAGTAGGTTGTGAAAATTTTCTCCCATTTTGTAGGTTGCCTGTTCACTCTGATGGTAGTTTCTTTTGCTGTGCAGAAGCTCTTTAGTTTAATTAGATCCCATTTGTCAATTTTGTCTTTTGTTGCCATTGCTTTTGGTGTTTTAGACATGAAGTCGTTGCCCATGCCTATGTCCTGAATGGTAATGCCTAGGTTTTCTTCTAGGATTTTTATGGTTTTAGGTCAAACGTTTAAGTCTTTAATCCATGTTGAATTGAATTTTGTATAAGGTGTAAGGAAGGGATCCACTTTCAGCTTTCAGGAAATAAAAGAGGATACAAACAGATGGAAGAACATTCCATGCTCATGAGTAGGAAGAATCAATATCGTGAAAATGGCCATACTGCCCAAGGTAATTTACAGTTTCAATGCCATCCCCATCAAGCTACCAATGCCTTTCTTCACAGGATTGGAAAAACTAAAGTTCATATGGAACTAAAAAAGAGCCCGCATCGCCAAGTCAATCCTGAGCCAAAAGAACAAAGCTGGAGGCATCACACTACCTGACTTCAAACTATACTACAAGGCTACAGTTACCAAAACAGCATGGTACTGGTACTAAAACAGAGATATAGATCAATGGAACAGAACAGAGCCCTCAGAAATAACACTGCATATCTACAACTGTCTGATCTTTGACAAACCTGAGAAAAAGAAGCAATGGGGAAACGATTCCCTATTTAATAAATGGTGCTGGGAAAACTGGCTAGCCGTATGTAGAAAACAGACCGTTTCTTTCTAGCTTTTATCTGGGGATATTCTGTTTTCCCCATAGGCCTCAAGAGGTTCCTAAACATCCCTTCACAGATTCTACAAAAATAATGCTCCAAAACTGCTGAATCAAAGGGAAGATTTAGCTTTATGAGATGAATTTTCACATCTCAGGGAGTTTCAAAGATAGCTTCATTCTAGTTTTTACCTGGGAATATTCAGGTTTTCCCATTAGGCCTCAATTGACACCCAAATTAGCCTTCTCAGATTCCACAGAAAGAGTGTATCCAAACTGGTGAATCAAAAGAAAGGTTTCTCTCTGCGAGAGGAATCCACACATTGCAAAGAAGTTTCATAGATACCAACTTTCTAGTTTTTATTTGGGGATATTCGTTTTTTCCCCACAGGCCTCAATGGGCTCCCAAGTGTCCCTTTGCAGATTATCCAAAAAGACTGTTTCCAACCTGCTGAATCATAAGAAAGTTTTGTCTTTCATATGAATCCACATGTCACAAAGTACTTTCACAGATAGCACAGATAGCTTGTTTTTAGTTTTTGTCTGGGGATATTCATTTTTTTCTCATAGGCTACAAAAAGCTCCCAAATGTCCCTTTGCAGATTCTCCAAATAAAGTGTTTCCAACATGGTGAATCAAAAGAATTTTTTAAATCTGTGAAAGGAATCCACACATCACAAAGCAGCTTCACAGATAGCTTCTTTCTAGTTTTATCTGGGGATATTCTGTTTTTTTCCATAGGCATTAATGGGTTTTCAAATGTCTCTTCACAGATTCTCCAAAAACAGTGTTTCCAACCTGCTGAATCAAAAGAATACTTAAACTCTGTCAGATGAGTTCACACAACACAAAGCAGTTTCACAAATAGCTTCTTTCTAGCTTGTATCTGGAAATATTCGCTGTTGGGAACAAGCCACCCAAAATCTGGCCATAAACTGGCTCCCAAATTGGCCATAAACAGTCTCTGCAGCACTGTGACAGGTTCATGAGGGCCGTAATGCCCACGCTGGAAGGCTATGTGTTTACAGGAACGATGGAAAGGAACACCAGGCCTGCCCAGGGCAGAAAACCGCTTAAAGGTATTCTTAAGCCACAAACAATAGCATGAGTGATCTGTGCCTTAAGGACATGCTCCTGCTGCAATTAACTAGCCCAACCCATTCCTTTAATTCAGCCCATCCCTTCATTTCCCATAAAGGATACTTTTAGTTAATTTAATATCTATAGAAACAGTGCTAATATCTGGCTTGCTGTTAATAAACACTTGGGTAAATCTCTGTTCAGGGCTTTCAACTCTGAAGGCAGTGAGATCCCTGATTTCCCATTTCACACCTCTATATTTCTGTGTGCCTGTCTTTAATTACTTTAGTGCCTCTGGGTTAGGGTCTCCCCAACAGAGCTGGTCTCAGCAATTCACTTTCTCCCTATAGGCCTCAGAGGACTCTGAAATGTCCCTTCACAGATTCTCCAAAAAGTATTTTCAACATGCAGAAACATAAGAAAGATTTACCATTGTCATTTGAATCCACACATAACAAAGAAGTTTCACACATAGCTTCTTTGTAGTTTTTATTTGGGGATATTTTGTTTTTCCCTATAGGCCTCAAAGGGATCCAAATGTCCCTTTACAGATTCTACAAAAAAAGTGTTTCCAACCTGCTGGATAAGAAGAAAAATTTAACTCAGTGAGATGAATCCACACATCACACAAAAGTTTCAGTAGGCCTCAATGGGCTCCCAAATGTCCCTTTGCTGATTCTCCAAGAAGAGTGTTTTCAACCTGCTGAATCAAAAGAAAACTTAAATTCTGTCAGGTGAGTTCACAAACCACAAAGCCATTTCACAGATAGCTTCTTTCTAGTTTTTATTTGGAAATGTTTGGTTTCTCCCTATAGGCCTCAAAGGAATCCCAAATGTCCCTTTGCAGATTCTCCAAAAGGAGTATTTCCAACCTGTGGAATCATAAGAAAGATTTAATATTGCCAGTTGAATCCACACGTCAAAAAGAAGTTTCACACATAGCTTCTTTGTAGCTTTTATCTTGGATATTCGATTTTTCCCTATAGGCCTCAAAGGGATCCAAATATCCCCTTGCAGATTCTACAAAATAGGTTTTTCCAACCTGCTGAACAAGAAGAAAAAGTTATCTCTGTGAGATTAATCCACACATCTCAAAGCAGTTTCAGTAGGCTCCAATGGGCTCCCAATGTCCCTTTGCAGATTCTACAAAAAGACTGTTTCCAACCTGCTGAATCAAAAGAAAGTTTTAACACTATGAAATGAATCCACGCATCACAAAGCTGTTTCACAGATAGCTTCTTTCTAGTTTTTATCTGGGAATATTCCATTTTTTTGCATAGGCCTCAATGGGCTTTCAAATGTCCCTTCGCAGATTCTCCAAAAAGAGTGTTTGCAACTTGCTGAATGAAAAGAAAACTTAAACTCTGTCACATGAGTTCACACAACACAAAGCAGTTTTACAGATAGCTTCTTTCTAGTTTTTTTCTGGAAATATTCGGTTTCTCCCTATAGGCCTCAAACGACTCCCAAATGTCCCTTCGCAGATTCTCCAAAAAAAGTATTTCCAACCTGTGGAATCATAAGAAAGATTTAACATTGTCAGTTGAATCCACAAATCACAAAGAAGTTTCATACATACCTTCTTTGTAGTTTTTATCTGGTGATATTCAGTTTTTCCCCATACACCCCAAAGTGCTCCTGAATGTCCCATTTCATATTCTCCAAAAAGAATGTTTTCCACCCACTGAATCCAAAGAAAGAATTAACTCTGTAAGATGAATCCACACATCAAAATGCAGTTTCACAGATAGCTTCCTTCTAGTTTTTATCTGGGGATATTCCGTTTTTACCCCAGGCATAAATGGGCTCACAAATGTCCCTTCACAGATTCTACAAAAAGGATGTTTCCAACCTACTGAATAAAAAAAAAATTTACTGCTGTAAGTTAAATCCACACATTACAAGCAGTTTCACAGGTAGCTTCTCTCCAGTTTTATCTAAGGATATTCAATTTTTCCACATAGGCCTCATTGGACATTCAAGTGTCCCTTCGCAGATTCTGCAAAAAGAGTGTTTCCAACATGCTGAGTCAAAACAAAGGTTTAACTCTGTGAGATGAATCCATATATCACAAAGTAGTTTCACATATAGCTTCATTCTAGTTTTTATCTGGGGATATTCAGTTTTTCCAATTAGGCTTCAATTGGGTCCCAAATTTCTTTTCACAGATACTAAACAAAGGCTGTTTCCAAACTGTTGAAACAAAAGAAAGTTTTTTTCTCTGTGAGAAGAATCCACACATCACAAAGCAGTTTCATAGAGAGCTTCTATCTAATTTTCAATTGGGGATATTTGGTTTTTCCCCAGTGGCCTCAATGGGCTCCCAAATGCTCCCTCACAGATTCTCCAAAAAGAGTGTTTCCATCCTACTGAATCAAAAGAAATATTTAAAATTGTGAGATGAATCCACACATCACAAAAATTTCGCAGATAGCTTCTTTCTAGTTTTTATCTGGGGATATTTGATATTTCCCCATAGGACCCAATGGGTGCTGAAATGTCCCTTCACAGATTCTATGATAAAAGTCTTCCCAAGCTGCTGAATCAAAAGAAAAGTTTAAGTCTCTGAGATGAGTCCACACATCACAAAGCAGTTTCCCAGACACCTTTTTTCTAGTTTTTATTGGGGGATATTCAGTTTTTCTTTAGTAGCCTCAATGAACTCCCAAATGTCTTTTCCAGATACTTCAAAAAGACTGTTTCCACCTGCTGAATCAAAAGAAAGGCTGAACTTTGTGAGATGAAATCAAACATCAGAAAGAAGTTTCACAGAAAGCTTCTTTGTAGTTTTTATCTTGGGATATTCTGTTTTTCCCCATAGGCCCTAATGGGTTTCCAAATATCCCTTTGCAGGTTCTCCAAAAAGTGTGTTTCCAACGTGCCAAATCTAAGGAAAGGTTTAACTCTGTGAGATGAATCCACACATCACAAAGCAGTTTCACAGATAGTTTCTTTGGATTTTCTGTCTGCTGATATACTGTTTTTCCCCTTAGGCCCCAAGGGGTTCTTAAATGTCCCTTCACAGATTCTCCAAAAAGAGTGAGTCCAACGTGCTGAATCAAAAGAAAGGTTTAACTCTGTGAGATGATTTCAGACATCACAAAGTAGTTTCACAGGTAGATTATTTCTAGTTTTTATCGGGATATTCAGTTTTTCCCATTAGTCTTCAATTTGCTTCCAAATTTCAATTCACAGAATCTACAGAAAAAAGTGGTTCCAAACTGCTGAATTAAAAGAAAGGTTTTTTTTCTCTGTGAGAAGAATCCACACATCACAAAGTAGTTTCATAGATAGCTGCATTGTAGTTTCTATTTGGGGATATCCGGTTTTTCCCCATAGGTCTACATGGGCTCCCAATTGTCCCATCGAAGATTCTCCAAAAAGAGTGTTTCCACCATGCTGAACCAAAAGAAATGTTTAACTTTGTGAGATGAATCCCCACATCACAAAGCTGTTTTACAGATAACTCCTTTTATGTTTTTATCTGGTAATATTCTGTTTTTACCCATAGGCCTACAAAGGCCCCAAAATGTCCCTTCACAGATACTACAAAATGAGTGTTTCCAGACTGCTGAATAAGAAGAAACATTTAACTCTCTAAGATGAATCCACACATCACAAAGCATTTTTGCAAATAGCTTGTTTCTAGTTTTTATCTAGGGATGTTCTGTTTTTACCCTGAGTCTCAATGGGCCCCCAAGTGTCACTTCACAGATTCTCCAAAAACAGTGTTTCCATCCTGCTTAAACAAAAGACAGTTTTAACACTGTGAGATGAAACCACACATCTCAAAGCCGTTTCACAGATAAATTCTTTCAAGTTTTTATCTGGGGATACTCTGTTTTTCACCAGAGGCCTCAGTGGGCTCACAAATGTCAGTTTTCAGATTCTCCAATTAGAGTGTTTCCAACCTACTGAATCAAAACAAAGGTTTAACTCTGTGAGCTGAATCCACACTTCACAAGGCAGTTTCACAGAGAGTTTCTTTCTAGTTTTTATCTGGGGATATTTGGTGCTTCTTAACAGGCCTCCATGGGCTTCCAAATGTACCTTTGCAGATTCTACAAAAGGAGGGCTTCCAACGTGCGAATAAGAAGAAAAATTTAACTCTGTGAGATAAATCAACATATTACAAAGCAGTTTCACAGATAGCTTCTTTCTAGTTTTTATCTGGGGATATTCGCTTTTTCACTAGAGGCCTCAATGAGCTCCCAAAAGTCCCTTTGCTGATTCTACAAAAAAATTGTTTCAAACCTGCAGCATCAAAATGATTGTTTAGCACTGTGAGATTAATCCACCCATCACAAAGCCATTTCACAAATAATAGCTTCTTTTTAGTTTTTATCTTGGTATATTCAGTTTTTCCTCATAGACCTCAATGGGTTATCATTTGTCCCTTTGCAGATTAACCAAAAGAGTGTTTCCAACCGCCTGAATCAAAAGAAAGTTTTAACTCTGTGGGTTAAATCCACACATCACAAAGTAGTATGACACAGAGCTTCTTCCTAGTTTTTATCAGGATATTCTGTTTTCCCCATAGGCCTCAATGGGCTCCCAAATGTCCCATCGCATATTTTCCAGGAAGTGCATTTACAGTCTGCTGAATCAAAAGAAAGATATAATGCTATGGGATGAATCCACACATCAGAAAGCAGATATCTTCTCTCTAGATTTTATCTGGAGATATTCTGTTTTCCTTCACAGGCCTAAATGGGCTTTCAAATGTCCCATCACATATTTTCCAAAAAGAGTATTTCCAACCTGCAGAATCATAAGAAAATTTTAACTCCATGAGATGAATACACATCACAAAGCAGTTTCAGATAGCTTCTTTCGTTTTTCTATCTGGTGATATTCTATTTTTCTTTGTAGGCCACAATGGGCTCTGAAATGTGTCTTCACAGTTTCTCAAAAAGAGTGTTTTAATCCTGCTGAATCAAAAGAAAGGTTTAACACTGTGAGACGAATCCACCTATCACAAAGCTGTTTCACTAATAGCTTCTTTGTGGTTGTTATGTGGTGATATTCGATTTTCCCCATAGGCCTTAAGGAACTCCAAAATGTCCCTTCACAGATTCTACAAAAAGAGTGTTTGCAACCCTCTGAACAAGAAGAAAACATTAACTCGTGAGATGCATCCACACATCACAATACTGTTTCACAGATACCTTGTTTTTAATTTTTATCTCTGATATTCAGTTTTTCCCCATAGGCTACAATGAACTCCAAAATGTCCCTTCACAGATGCTCCAAAAGAATGCTTCCAACTTGCTGAATCAAAATGAAATTTTAAATCTGTGAATTGAATACACACATCACAAAGCCATTTCAGCCAGCATTTTTGTTCTCTTTTATCTGGGGATATTTGGTTTTTATTCCAAGGACCTCAGTGGGCTTCCAAATGTCCCTTTGCAGATTCTCCAAAAAGAGTGTTTCCAACATGCTGAATCAAAAGAAAAATTTAACTCTGTGAGATGAATCTACATATCACAAAGCATTTCACATAAAAATTCTTTGTAGTTTTTATCTGGGGATATTCAATTTATTTTCATAAGTTTCAAAAAACTTCCAAAAGTCCCATCACAGATTCTCCAAAAAGAGTTTTACCAAACTGTGGAATCATAAGAAAGGTTTAGCTCTGTAATCTGAATCCATGCATCACAAAGAAGTTTCACAGGTAGCTTATTTGTGTTTTTTTATCCAGGGATATCCTTTTTTTCCTGATAGGTCTCAAATGGCTCCCAAATGTGCCTTCATAGATTCTACAAAGAGAGTGTTTCCATCCTGCTGAATAAAACCTTCTTTCAATGTTTTATCTGGGAATATTCTGCTTTTTCATGTATGCCACAATGTGCTTGCTAATTTCTCTTTGAAGATTCTCCAAAAAAAAAGTGTTTCCAACCTGCAGAATCAAAAGAAAGTTTTAATGCTGTGAAATTAATCCACACATCACAAAGCTGTGTCACACATGGCTTCTTTCTAGTTTTTATCTGGGAATATTTGATTTTCCCCAATGTCCTCAAAGGGTTACAATGTATTCCTTCACAGATTCCCCAAAAGAGTGTTTCCAACTTGCTGAATCAAAAGGAAGGTTTAACTGTCTGAGATAAATCCACACATCACAAAGTAGTTTCAGAGATAGCATCTTTATAGTTTTGATCTGGGAATATTCTGTTTTTCCCCAAAGGCCTCAATGGGCTCCCAAATATACCATCACATATTTTCCAAGAAGAGGGTTTCCAACCTGCTGAATCAAAGGAAAGGTTTAACTCTATGAGATGAATCCACACATCACAAAGCAGTTTCACAGATAGCTTCATTTGAGTATTTATCTGGAGATATTTAGAGTTTCCCATAAGCCTCAAGGGGCTCTCAAATGTCCCATCACATGCTTTCCAAAAATGGTGTTTCCAACCTGTGGAATCAAAAGAAAGTTTTAATTCTGTGAAATAAATCCACACATCACAAAGCAGTTTCACAGATAGCTTCTTTCTAGTTTTTATCTGGGGATATTCGGTTTTTCCCACAGGCCTCAAAGGGCTCCCAAATGTCCCTTTCCAGATTTTCCAAAAACAGTGTTTCCAACCTGCTGAATAAGAAGAAAATCTCAACTTTCTGAGATGAATCCACACATCACACAGCAGTTTCATGGATAGCTTTTTGTTTGTTTTTAACTGAGGATATTTGATTTTTCCCCATAAGTCTAAATAGGCTCCTATATGTCCCTTTGCTGATTCTCCAATTAGAGTGCTCCCAACCTGCTGAATCAGAATAAAGGATTAAGTTTGTGAGATGAGTTGAAACCTCATAAAGCAGTTTCATGGATATCTCTTTTCCAGTTTTTTATCTGGAAATATTCAATTTTTCCCCTTAGTTTTCAATGGGTTCCCAAATGTCCTTTCACAGAATCTCCAAAAAGAGTGTTTCTAACTTGCTGAATCAAAAGAACAGTTTAACTCTGTGAGATGAAGCTGCATGCCACAAATCGTTTCACAGATAGCTTCTTTGTAGTTTTCATCTGAGGATATTGTGAGGATATTCTGAGGGAGCCTAAATGGGCTCCTAATGTCACTTTGTTGATTCTCCAAAAAGAGTTTTTCCAACCTGCTAAATAAAAAAAAATGTTTAACTCTGTGAGATGAATCCACACATCACAAAGCAGTTTCAGATATAGCTTCTGTCTGGTTTTTATCTGGGAATATTTATTTTTTCCCCATAGGCCTCAATGTGCTCCCAAATGTCCCTTTGCAGATTCTCAAAAAAGAGTGTTTCCAACCTTTTGAATCAAAAAAAGCTTTTGCTCTGTGAGATGAATCCACATATCACAAAACAGTTTCACAGAGAGCTTCTTCCTAGCTTTATCTGGGGATATTAACTTATTTTCCATAGGCCTCCATGGGCTCCCAAATGTCCCATTGCAGATTCTCCAAAAAAGAGTATTTACAACCTGCTGGATCACAAGAGTTGTTTAACTCTTTGAGATGGATCCACACAACACAAAGCTTTTTCACAGATAGCTTTTTTCTAGTTTTCATGTGGGGATATTTTGTTTTTACATATAAGCCTCAATGGACACCATAATGTCCCTTCACAGAGTCTGAAAAAAGAGTGTTCCCAACCTGGTGGATCAAAATAAACGTTTCACTCTGTGAGATGAATTGACATATCACAAAGGAGTTTCACAGATAGCTTCTTTCTAGTTTTTATCTGGGGATATTCAGTTTTTCCCCATAGGCCTCAATGGGCTCCCTAATTTCCCTTTACAGATCATCCAAAAAGAGTGTTTCCAACCTGCTGAATGAAAATAAAGTTTTAACTATGTGACCTGAATCCACACATCACAAAGTTGTTTCACAGATAGCTTCTTTCATAACCCTCAATGGGCTCCCAAATGTCCTTTCAAAGATTCTAGAAAAACAGCGTTTTCAACCTCATGAATAAAAAAAAGGTTTGACTCTGTGAGATGAATCCACACATCACAAAGCAGTTTCACAGACAACTTCTTTCTAGTTTTTATTTGAGGATATTTGGTTTTTCCCCATAGGCTGCAACAGGCTCCAAAATGTCATTTAGAAAATTCTTCAGTTAGACCATTTACAACCTGCTGAATCAAAAGAAAGGTTTAACTCTGTGAGATGAATCCACACATCACAAGGCAGTTTCACAGATAGTTTTTCTGGTTTTTATCTGGGGATATGCAGTTTTTCCCCATAGGCATCAATGGGCTTCCTAATGTGCCTTCACAGATTCTCCAAAAAAAGTGATTCCAACCTGCTGAGTCAAAACAAACGTTTAACTATGTGAGATGAACCCAAATATGACAAAGCAATTTTACAGAGAGATTCTTCCTAGTTTTTATCTTGGGATATTTCGTTTTTTCTCATAGGCCTCAAGGGGCTTCCCAAAGTCTTTTCACTGATTCTCCAATTAGAGTGTTTCCAAACTGCTTAGTCAAAAGAAAAGTTTAAATCTGTGAGATGAATTGACTCATCACAAAGCACTTACACAGATAGCTTCTTTCTAATTGTTATCTGGGTATATTCAGTTTTCCACATAGGCTTCAATGGGCTCCCAAGTGTCCTTTCACGTATTCTCCAAAACGAGTGTCTCCAAACAGCTGAATCCAAAGAAAGGTTTAACTCTGTGACATAAATCCACATATCACATAGCAGATTCACAGATAGATTATTTTTAATTTTTATCTGGGTGTATTCTTTTTTTCTGATAGACCTCGAGGGGCTCCCAAATGTCCCTTTGCAGATTCTACAAAAAGTGCATTTCCAATCTGCTTAATCAAGAGAATTGTTAAACTGCATGAGATGAAGCCATACATCACAAAGCAGTTTCACAGATAACTTCTTTCTAGTTTTTATCTGGGGATATTCAGTTTGTCACCATAGGCCTCAATGCACTCCAAAATGTCCTTTTGCAGATGCTAAAAAAGGACTGTTTCCAACCTGCTGAATGAAAAAGAACGTTTAGTTCTGTAAGAAGAATCCACACATTGCAAAGCGGTTTCACAGAGAGCCTCTCTCTAGTTTTTATCTTTGGATACTTGCTTTTTCACCATAGGCCAAAAAGAGCTCCCAAATGTTTCCTCACAGATTCTACAAAAAGAGTGTTTTGAAACTACTTAACCAAGAGGAAGTTTTAACTCTCTGAGATGAATCCACACGTCATAAAGCAGGTTAGCTTGTGGCTTATTTCTAGTTTTTATCTGGGGATATTGGCTTTTTCTCTATAGGCCTCGATGCGCTCACTAATGTCAATTTGCAGATTCTACAAAAAAAGTGTTTGCAAACTACTGAATCAACAGAAAAGCTTAACTCTGTGAGATGAATCCACACATCACAAAGCAGTTTCACAGATAGCTTCTTTTTAGTTTTTATCTTGCGATACTGGCTTTTTCACCATAAGCCTCTATGAGCCCCCAAATATCTCTTTGCAGATTCTACTCAAACAGTGTTTAAAAACTGCTGAATCAAAAAAATGGTTTATCTCTCTGAATTGAATCCACACATCACAAAGGGGTTTCACAGATATCTTCTTTCTAGTTTTTATATGGGGATATTTAGTTTGTCACCATAGGCCTCAGTGAGCTCCCAAATACCCCTTTGCAGATTCTACAAAAACAGTGTTTCCAAATTGCTGTATCAAAAGAAAGGTTTAACTCTGAGAGATGAATCCACACATCACAAAGCAGTTTCACAGATAACTTCTTTCTACTTTTTATTTGGAGTTATTTGGTTTATCACTGTAGCCCTCAATGTACTCCCTAATGTCCTTTTGCAGATACTAAAAAAGGACTGTTTCCAACCTGCTGAATTAAAAGAAAGGTTCCAGTCTGTGAGAAGAATCCACACATCTCTAAACAGTTTCACAGCTAACTTCTTTCTAGTTTTTATTTGGGGATATTCTCTTTTTCACCTTAGGCCTCAACAAGTTGCCAAATGTCTTTTCATGGATTCTAGAAAAGCAATGTTTCCAACCCGCTGATTCAGAAGAAAGTTTTACTTCTGTGAGATGAATCCACACGTCATGGAATAGTTTCACAGATGGCTTCTTTCTACTTTTCATCTTTGGATATTCAGTTTGTCACCATAGGCGTCAATGCACTATCAAATGTCCCTTTGTGGATTCTACAAAAGGACTGATCCCAACCTGCTGAATCAATAGAAAGGTTTACCTCTGTGAAATGAATCCACACATCACAAAGCAGTATGAGAGATTCTACAAAAGGGCTATTTCCATTCTGCTAAATCAAAAGAAAGGTTTAAATCTTTGAGACGAATCCACACATCACAGAGCAGCTTCACAGATAGCTTCTTTCTAGTTTTTATCTGGGGATATTCGGTTTGTCACCATAGCCCACAATGCACTCCCAAATGCTTCTTGGCAGATCCTACAAAAGGACTGTTTTTAACCTGCTGAATCAAAAGAAAGTATTAACTCTGTGAGACTAACGCACACACCATAAAACAGTTTCTCAGATGGCTTATTTCTAGTTTTTATCTTCTTCAAATAGAGTATTTCCAAACTGCTGAATCAAAAGAAAGGTTTAACACTATGATATGCATCCACACATCACAAGGCAGTTTCACACAGAGCTTCCTTCTAGTTTTTATCTGGGTATATTTGCTTTTTCACCCTAGGCCTCAATGAGCTCCAAATTGTCCCTTCACAGATTCTATAACAACATTGTTTCCAAACCAAGGAATCAAAAGCAAGATTTCTTTCTGTGAAATGAATCCATACACACAAAGCGTGTCACAAACAGCTTCTTTCTAGTTTTTATGTGGGGATATTTGGTTTGTTACACCAGGCCTCAATGGCTCTGAAATGTCTCTTCTAAGATTCTACAAAAAGTCTGTTTCCAACCTGCTTAATCAAAACAAAGTTTTAACTCTGAGAAGAATCCACACATCACAAAGCAGTTTCACAAAGAAATTCTTTTTATTTTTTATCTGGAGATAATCACATTTTCAACATAGGCCTAAATGCATCTCAAAATATCCCTACAGAGATTTTTCAAAAAGAGTGTTTCCAAACTGCTGCATCAAAACAAAGTTTTAACACTCTGAGTTGAATCCACTCATCACAAAGTAGTTTCACAGTTAGCATCATTCTAGTTTTTATCTGGGGATATGCAGTTTATCACCACAGGTCAGAATGCACTCCCAATTTTCCTTTCACAGATTCTGCAAAAGGACTGTTTCTATCGTGCTGAATAAAAAAAAGTTTATTTCTGTGAGAAGAATGCACATATCACAAAGAAGTTTCACAGATAACTTCTTTCTACTTTTTACCTGGGGATATTCACAGTTTCACTATAGGCCTCAATGTGCTCCTAAATTTCCCTTCACAGACTCTATACAAACAGTGTGTCCAAACTGCTGAATCAAAAGAAAAGTTTAATTCTGTGAGTTGAATCCAAACATCACACAGCAGTTTCAGAGATAGCTTCCTTCCAGTTTTTGTCTGGATGTATTTTCTTTTACACCATAGGCCTCAATAAGCTCCCAAATGTCCCTTCGTGGATTCTATGCAAACAGTGTTTTCAAACTGCTAAAGGAAAAGAAAGTTTTAACTCTCTGAGTTGAATTCAAACATGACAAAGCAGTTTCACAGATAGCTTCTTTTTAGTTTTTATCTCAGTATATTCTGTTTGCCACCATAGGCCTCAATGTGCTCCCAAATGTCACATCACAGATTCTACAAAAAGACTATTTTTAACCTGCTGAATCAAAAGAAAGTTTTAACCCTGTGAGAAGAATCCACAGATCACAAAGCAGTTTCACAGATAACTTCTTTCTAGTTTTTATCTGGAGTTATTTGCTTCTTCACTAAAGGCCTCAATGAGCTCCAAAACATCCCTTCACAGTTTCTACAATAACAGTGTTCCAAACTGCTGAATGAAAAGAGAAGTTTAACTTCCTGAGGTAAATCCACACATCACAAAGCAGTTTCACAGACAGCGTCTTTCTAGTTTTTATCTGGGGATATTCTATTTATCAACATAGGCCAGAATGCAGACTCAATTATCCCTTTGTAGATTCTACAAAAACAGTGTTTCCAAACTGCTGAATCAAAAAAAAAAGTTTAACCCTGTGAGATAAATCCACACTTCCCAAAGCAGTTTCACAGATAGCTTATTTCTAGTTTTTATCTGGGGATATTTGGTTTTACAACATAGGTGTCAATGAGCTCCCAAATGTCCCTTCGCAGACTCAACCACAACAGTGTTTCAAAACTGCTGAATGAAAAAAAAAGGCTTAATTCTGTGAGATGAATTTACACATCACAAAGCAATTTAACAGATAGCTTCTTTCCAGTTTTATCTGGGGATGTTCTCTTCCACACCACAGGTCTGAATGCACTCTAAATGTCTCTTCCCAGAATCTACAAAAGGACTGTTTCCAACCTGCTGAATCAAAAGAAAGGCTTAACTCTGTGAGATGAATCCATCTGTCACAAAGCAGTTTCACAAATAGCTTCTTTCTAGTTTTTATATGGAGATATTTGCTTTTTCACAATAGGCCTCAATGCACTACGAAATCTCCCTTTGCAGATTCTTGAAAAAGACTGTTTCCAACCTACCGAATCAAAAAAAAGTTTAACTCTGTGAGATAAATCCAGACATCATAAAGCAGTTTCACAGGTAGCTTCTTTCTAGTTTTTATCTGGGGATATTCAGTTTGTCACAATAGACCTCAACACACTCCAAAAATGTCCCTTCATAGATTCCCCAATAACACTTTTTCCAAACTGTTGAATCAAAAGAAAGGTTTAACTCTCTGAGATAAATCCACACATCACAAAGCAGCTTCACAGAAACTTCTTTCTAGTTTTTATCTTGAGATATCCAGTTTGTCAGTATAGTCCTCAATGCTCCCCAAAATAACCCTTCACAGATACTACAAAAGGACTGTTTCCAACATGCTGAATCAAAATGAAGTTTTAACTCTCTGAGATGAATCACACATAACAAAGCAGCTTAACAGATAGCTTCTTTCTAGTTTTCATCTGGGGATATTCATTTTTTCACCATAGGTCTCAATGAGTTCCAAAATGTCCCTCACAGAATCTACAGAAACAGTGTTTACAACATCCTAATCAAAAGAAAGGCTTAATTCTGTGAGATAAATCCACACATGACAAAGCATTTTCACAGTTAGCTTCTTCCTATTTTTTATCGGGGGATATTGGCTTTTTCACCACAGGCCACTATTCTCTCTGAGATGTCCTTTTGCACATTCTACAAAAATAGTGTTTCCAAACTGGTGATTCAAAATCGAGGTTTAAATCTGTGAGACAAATCCACACATCAAAAAGCAGTTTCACTGATAGCTTCTTTCTGTGTTTATCTGGGGATAATTGCCTTTTCACCACGGGCATCAATGAGTTCCCAAATGTCCCTTCACAGATCCTACAAAACAGTGTTTCCAAATAGCTGAATCGAAAGAAAGATTTAACTCTGTGAGATGAATACAAACATCACAAAGCAGTCTCACAGAGAGCTTCTGTCTAGTTTTTAACTGTGAATATTACCTTCTTTACCATAGGCCTCATGAGCTCCCAAATGTCCCTTCACAGATTCTGCAAAAAAAAAAAAAAATGTTTCCAAAGTGCAGAACAGAAAAGTTTACCTCTGTGAGATGAATCCACACATCAGAAAGCAGTTTCACAGGTAGCTTCTTTTTAGTTTTTATCTGGGGATATTCGGTTTTTTCACCATAGTCCTCAATGCACTCCCAAATATCCATTCACAGATTCAACAGAAAGTGTTTCCAATGTGCTGAATCAAAAGAAAGATTTAACTCTTTGAGATGAATCCATACATCACAAAGCGGATTCACAGATAGCTTCATTCTACTTTTTATCTGGGGATATTCACTTTTTCACCGTTGGTCTCAGTGAGTTCCAAAATATCCATTCACAGATTCTACAAAAACAGTGTTTCCAAGCTGCTGAATATAATGAAAAGCTTAACTCTCTGAGATGAATCCACACAACACAAAGCAATTTAACCAATAGCTTCATTTTAGTTTTTATCTGGGTTTATTCCCTTTTTAACCACAGGACTCAATTCACTCCCAATGTCCTTTTACAGATTTTACAAAAACAGTTTTTCCAAACTGCTGAATCAAAAGAAAGGTTTAATTCTATGAGATAAGTTGACACATCACAAAGCAGTTTAACAGACAGATTTTTTTTTTTTTAGTTTTTATCTGGAGATATTCAGTATTTCACTTTTGGCCTCAAAGAGATTTCAAATATCCCTCTGCAGATACTACAAATCAGTGTTTCCAAACTGCTGAATCAAAACAAAGGTTTAACAATGTGAGATGAATCCACACAACACAATGCAGCCTAACAGGTATCTTCTTTCTAGTTTTTATATGGGGATATACTCTTTTTCACCATAGATTTCAATGAGGTCCCAAATATCCATTTGCAGATTCTACAAAAATAGTTTTTCTAAGGTGCTGAATCAAAGGAAAGTCTTAACTGTCTGAGATAAATCCATACATCACAAAGCAGTTTTGCAGATAGCTTCTTTGTAGTTTTTTATCTGGAGATGTTTGCATTTTCACCATAGGACTCAATTCCCTCTCAAATGTCCTTTCATAGATTCTACAAAAACAGTGTCTCCAAACTGCTGAATCAAAATAAAGTTTTCCCTCTGTGAGATGAATGTGCATATAACAAAGCAGTTCACAGATAGCTTCTTTCTAGTTTTTATCTTGTGATTTTCTCTTTGTCACCATTGGCCTCAATGACCTCCCAAATGTCCCTTCATAGATTCTACAAAAACAGTGTTTCCAAACTGCTGAATCAAAAGAAAGGGTTAACTCTGCCAGATGAATTTACACACACAAAATACTTTTCCACATATCTTCTTTCTAGTTTTTATTGGGGATATTCTCTTCATTACCATAGGCCTCAATGACCTCCCAAATGTCCCTTTGAAGATTCTAAAGAAATAGTGTTTCCAACGTGCTGAATCAAAAGAAAGGATTAACTCTGAGAGATAAATGCACACATCATGAAGCAGTTTCACAGATAGCTTCTTTCTAGTTTTTATCATTGGATATTTGCCTTTTCCCATTAGGCCTCAATGACTTCCCAAATTTCCCTTCACAGATTCTACAAAAACAGTTTTTCCAAACTGTTGAATCAAAAGAAAAATTTAAATCTGTGATATGAATGCACCATTCACAAAGCAGTTTCACAGATAGCTTCTTTGTAGTTTTTATTTGAGGATATTTGCCCTTTCACCATAGGACTCAAAGGCTTCCCTAATGTCCCTTCAAAGGTTCTACAAAACAGTGGTACAAACTGCTGAATGAATAGAAATGTTTATCTCTCTGAGTTGAATGCACACATCACAAAACAGTTTCTTAGATAGATTCTTTCTGGTTTTTATATGGGGACATTTCCTTTTTTACCACAGGCCTCAATGTACTCCCAAAAGTCCCTTTGACGCTGCTACAAAAACAGTGTTTCCGAACTGCTAAATCAAAGGAAATTTTTAAGTCTGTGAGATGAATCCACACATCCCAAGGCAGATTAACAAAAAGCTTCTTTGTAGTTTTTATCTAGGGTTATTTGTTTTTCACTATATGCATCAATGAGCACTTTGCAGATTCTACAAAAACATTGTTTCCAAACTGCTAAATCAAAAGAAAGGCTTAACTCTGTTAGATGAATCCACACAGCAACAGCAGTTTCACAGACAACTTTTTTCTAGTTTTTATCTGAGGATATTCACTTTTTCACCATGTGCTTCAAGCTCTCCCAAATGTGCCTTCACAGATTCTACAAAAAAAAAAATTTCCAAACTGCAGAATCAAAAGAAAAGTTTCATTCTGTCATTTGAATGCACACATCACAAAACGGTTGCTCAGATAGCTTCTTTCTAGTTTTTATGTGGAGATATTCGCTTTTTCACTATATCCGTCAATGCGCTCCCAAATGTCCTTTTGTAGATTCTACAACAACAGTGTTTCAAAACTGCTGATTGAAAATCAAGGTTTAACTCTGTCAGATGAATACACACATCACAAAGCAGTTCCTCAGATAGCTTCTTTCTAGTTTTTATCTCGGAATATACACTTCTCTGCCAGGGCCTCAATTAGCTCTGAAATGTTCCTTTGCAGATTCTACTAAAACAGTGTTTCCAAACTGCTGAATCAAAAGAAAGGTTTAACTCTGTGAGATGAATCCACACATCCCAAAAAAGTTTAACAGATAGCTCTTTTTTTTTTTTTTTTTAGTTTCTTTCTGGGGATATTCACTTTTTCACCACAGGTCTCAAAGCACTCCCAAATATCCCTTCACAGATTCTAAAAAAACAGTTTCCAAACTGCTGAATCCAAAGAAAGGTTTATCTCTGTGAGATGCTTCCATACATCACAAAACAATTTAACAAATAGCTTATTTCTAGGTTTTATCTGGGTATATTTGCCTCTTTACCATAGGCCTCAATGCCTTCCCAAATGACCTTTCAGAGATTCTACAAAAACAGTGTTTCCAAACTGCTAATACAAAATAAATTTTTAACTCTCTTAGATGAATCCAGACATCAAAAAGTAGGTTCACAGCAAGCTGCTTTCTGGTTTTTATCTGGAGATATTCACTTTTTCACCATAGGCATCAATGGGCTCCCAAATGTCTGCTTGTGGATTCTACAGAAACAGTGTTTCAAAATTGCTGAATTGAAACAAGTCTTTAACTCTGTGAGACGAATCTACACATCACAAAGCAGTTTCACATGCAGCTTCTTTCAAGATTTATCTTCGAATATTTTCTTTTTTATTGTAGGCCTCAATGTGTTTGCAAGTGTCCCTTTGTAGATTCTACAAAAACAGTGTTTCCAAACTGCTGAATGAAAAGGAAGTCTTAACTCGGTCAGCTGAATCCAAACATGACAAAGCAGTTTTGCAGATAGCTTCTTTCTTGTTTTTATACGGGGATAGTCACTCTTTCATGGCTGGCTTCAATGCACTCCCAAATATCCCTTTGCAGATTCTACAGAAACAGTGTTTCCAACATGCTGAATCCAAAGAAAAGATTAACACTGGAAGATAAATCCACACATCACAAATAACTTTCACATATAGCTTCTTTCTAGTTTTATCAGTGAATATTTGCTTTTCCAACATTGTTCTCAATGAGCTCCCAAGTGTCCCTTGGCAGATTCTACAAAAACGTGGTTTCCAAACTACTGAATCAAAAGATAGGTTTAAATCTTTGAGATGAATCCACACATCACAAATCAATTTCAAAGATAACTTCTTTCTAGTTTTTATCTGGGGATATATGTTTTTTCACCATAGATCTAAAAGTGCTCCCAAATGTTCCTTCACAGATTCTAAAAAACAGTGTTTCCTAAATGTTGAATCAAAAGAAAGGCTAACTCTGTGAGTTGAATGCACACACCACAAAGCAGTTTCTCACATAGCTTCTTTCTAACTTTTATCTGGGGATATTCGCTTTTTCACCATAGGCCTCAATGTGCTCCCAAATGTTCTTTCACAGAAACTACAAAAACAGTGTTTCCAAACTGCTGAATCAGAAGAAAGGTTTAACTCTGTGAGATGATTCCACACATCACAAAGCAGTTTGACAGATAACATCTTTCTAGTTTTTATCTGGGTATATCTTTTTATCACCAAAGGCCTCAATGAGCTCAAAAATGTCTTTTCACAAATTCTACAAAAACAGTGTGTCCAAACTGCTGAATCAAAAGGATGGTTTAACTCTATGAGACGAATGCACACATCAAAAAGCAGTATCTCAGATAGACTCCCTTCAGTTTATATCTGAATATATTTGCTTTTTCAACAAAGACCTCAATGCACTCCCAAATGTCCTTTCACAGGTCCTACAAAAACAGTGTTTCCAAACAACTGAATCAAAAGCAAGGTTTAACTTTCTTAGATGGATGCACACATCACAGAGGAGTTTCTCAGGCACATTCTTTCTAGTTTGTAACTGGGGATATTCTCCTGTTCACCACAGGTCTCAGTCAGTTCCAAATGTCCCTTCAGAGATTCTACAAAAACAGTGTTTCCAACATGCTGAATCAAAAGAAGGATTTAACTCTGTGAGATGAATCCACACATCAAAAAACAGTATCTCAGATCGCTTCTTTCAGGTTTATATCCAAATATATTTCCTTTTTCAAAAAAGGCCTCAATGCTCTCCCAAAAGTCCATTCACAGGCTCTATAAAAACAGTGTTTCCAAACTCCTCAATCAAAAGAAATGTTTAACTCTGTGAGTTGAATGCACACTTCACAAAGAAGTTCATCAGATAGCTTCATTCTAGTTTTCATCTGGGAATATTCACTTTTTCATCATGGGACTCAAGGAGCTCTCAAATGCCCCTTTGCAGATTCTACAAAAACAGTATTTCCAAACTGATGAATCAAAACAAAAATTTAAAACTCTGAGATGAATCCACACATCATAAAGCAGTTTCACCTATAGCTTCTTCCCAGTTTTCATATAAAGATATTCATTTTTCACCATAGACCTCAATACACTCCCAAATATCCTTTCATAGACTCTACAAAAAAAGTTTTTCCAAAATGATGAAGGAAAAGAAGGATTTAACTCTTTGAGATGAATCCACACATCACAAATCAGTTCCTCAGATAGATTCTTTCAAGTTTCTTATAGGTATATTCCCTTTTTCACCATAGGCCTCAATGCAGTCCCAAATGTCCATTGCCAGATACTACAAAAGCAGTGTTTCCAAACTGCTGAATCAAAAGAAAGGATTAGCTCTGTGAGATGTATGCACACATCACAAAGTGGTTTCTCAGATATCTTCCTACCAGTTTTTATTTTGGGATATTCACTTTTTTACCATTGGCCTCAATGAGCTCCCAAAAGTCCATTCACAGGTTTTACACAAACAGTGTTTCCAAACTGCTGAATTAAAGTAATTGTTTAACTCTGTGAGATGAATGCACACATCATGAATCAGTTTCTCAGAAAGCTTCTTTAAACTTTTAATATGAAGATATTCTTTTTCACCATAGACCTCATTACGATTCCAAATCTCATTTCACAGATTCTAAAAAAACAGTGTTTCCAAACTGTTGAATCAAAAGAAAAGTTTAACTCTGAGAGATGAATGCACTCTTCACAAAGCAGTTTCTCAGAGAGATTCTTTCTAAACAGTGTTTCCAAATTGCTGACACAAAAGAAAGGTTTATAACTGTGAGATGAATGAACACATCAAAGAGCAGATTCTCAGATAGCTTCCAACGAGTTTTTATCTTTGGACATTCAGTTTTTCACAATTGGCCTCAATGAGCTCTGAAATGTCCACTCACTGAATGTACAAAAACAGTGTTTCCAAACTCCTGAATCAAAAGAAATGTTTAACTCTGTGACATGAATGCACACATCATAAATCAGTTTCTCAGAAAGCTTCTTTCTAGTTTTTATCTGAAGATATTTTATTTTTCTCTAAAGGCACCAATGCGCTCTGAAATGTCCTTTCACAGATTCTACAAAAACAGTGTTTCCAAACTCCTCAATCAAAAGAAATGTTTAACTCTGTGCGTTGAATGCACACTTCACAAAGCATTTCATCAGATAGATTCATTCTAGTTTTAATCTGGGAATATTCACTTTTTCATCATGGGACTCAAGGAGCTGTCAAGTGTCCCTCTGCAGATTCTGCAAAAACAGTGTTTCCAAGCTGATTAATCAAAATAAAAATTTAAATCTGTGAGATGAATCCACACATCGCAAAGCAGTTTCACCAATAGCTTCTTTCCAGTTTTTATATAAAAATAATCGCTTTTTCACCATAGACTTCAATGCACTCCTAAATGTCCTTTCACAGGCTCTACAAAAAAAGTTTTTCCTAACTGTTGAATCAAAAAAAGGTTTTACCTGTTTGAGATGAATCCACACACCACAAATCAGTTACTCAGATAGATTCTTTCAAGTTTCTTATAGGGATATTCCCTTTTTCACCACAGGGCTCAATGTTGTCCCAAATGCCCATTCTCAGATTCTACAAAAACAGTGTTTCCAAACTGCTGAATCAAAAGAAAGGTTTAACTCTGTGAGATGAATACACACATCATAAAGCAGTTCTTCAGAAATCTTTCTTATAGTTTTTATCTGATGATATTTTCTTTTTCACCACAGATCTCAATATGATCCCAAATTCCTGTCACACATTGTAGAAAAACAATGCTTACAAACAGCCGAATCAAAAGAATGCTTTAATTCTGTGAGATGAATGCACACAACTCAAAGCAGTTTCTCAGAAAGCTTCCTTCTAGTTTTTATCCGAAAATAATTTATTTTTCAACATAGGTGAAAAGCACTCCCAAATGACTTTTACATATTTTACAAAAATAATGTTTCCAAACTGCTGAATGAAAAGAAAGGATTAACTCTGTGAGATGAATGCACACATCACAGAGTGGTTTCTCAGATACCTTCCTACCCATTTTTATTTTGGCATATTCACTTTTTCACCATTGGCCTCAATGAGCTCCCAAATGTCAATTCACAGATTTTACAAAAACAGTGTTTCCAAACTGCTGAATTAAAATAAGGGTTTAACTCTATGATATGAATGCTCACATCATAAATCAATTTCTCAGAAAGCTTCTTTAAGCTTTTAATCTGAAGATATTTTCTTTGTCACCATAGACCTCATTATGATCCCAAATGTCATTTCACAGATTCCAAAAACACTGTTTCCACACGGCTGAATCAAAAGGAAAGTTTTAGTCTGTGAGATGAATGCAAACTTCCCAAAACAATTTCTCAGAAAGATTCTTTCTAAACAGTGTTTCCAAACTGCTGAAACAAAAGAAAATTTTCTCTGTGAGATGAATGAACACATCACAGAGCAGTATCTCAGATAGCTTCCCTCGAATTTTTATCTTGGGACATTTGCTTTTTCACAATTGGCCTCAATTAACTCCGAAATGTCCACTCACAGAATGCACAAAATCAGTGTTCCTAAACTCCTGAATTAAAAGAAATGTTTAACTCTGTGACATGAATGCACACATCACAAAGCAGTTTGTCAGAAAGCTTCTTTCTAGTTCTTACCTGAGGATATTTTATTTTTCTCCAAAGGCATCAATGCATTCCCAAATGTCCTTTCACAGATTCTTCAAAAGCAGTGTTTGCAAACTGCCGAATCAAAAGAAAGGTTTAACTCTGTGAGATGAATGCAAACATCACAAAGCTGTATCTCTGATAGCTTTCTACTACTTTTTATCCTGGGATATTCACTTTTTCAACATTGGCCTCAATGAGGTCCCAAATGTCCACTCGCAGAATGGACAGACAGTGTTTCCAAACTGCTCCATCAAAAGAAAGGCTTCACTCTGTGAGATGAATAAAGACTTCACAAAGTAGTTACTAAGAGAACTTCTTTCTAATTTTATTATGAAGATATTTCCTTTCTCAACTCATGCTTCAATGCACTCCCAAGCATCCCTTCACAAATTCTACAAAGACAGTGTTTCCAAACAGCTGATTCAAAGAAACGTTTATCTCTGTGAGATTAATGCACACATCTCAAAGCAGTTTCTCAGAATCCTTTCTAGTTTTTATCTGAAGTTATTTTCTTTTTCACCATAGGCTTCAAAACGCTCCAAAATATCCCTTGGCAGATTCTACAAAAACAGTTTTTCCAAACAGCTGAATAAAAAGAAAGGTTTAATTTTGCAAGATGAATGCAGACATCACAAACCAGTTTCTCACATAGTTTCATTCTATTTTTAATCCTGGGATATTCGCTTTTTCCCCACTGGCCTCAGTGAGCTCCCAAATGTCCGTTCTCAGAATGGACAAATATGGTGTTTCCAAACTGCTGAATAAAAAGAAATGTTTAACTCTGTGAGATGAATGCACACATCACAAAGCAGTTTCTCAGAAAGACTCTTTCAATTTTTCATCTGAACATATTTTCTTTTTCACCATAGGCCTCAATGCACTCCCAAATATGCCTTCGCAGATACTACAAAAACAGTGTTTCCAAACTGCTGAATGAAAAGAAATCTGTAACTCAGTGAGATTAATGCACACATCACAAAGCGGTTTCTCAGATAGTTTCCTTCTAGTTTAAATCATGGGATTTTCACTTTTTTGCCACTGCCCTGAATGAGCTCCCAAATATCCCTTTGGAGCTTCTACACAAACAGTGTTTCCAAACTGCTGAATGAACAGAATGTTTTAACTCTGTGAGATGAATTCACACATCACAAAGCAGTTTCTCAGACAGCTTCCTTCTAGTTTTTATCCTGGGATATTTGCTTTTTTGTTTTTGGCCTCAATGAGCTCCCAAATGTCCATTCGCAGAATGGACTAAAACAGTGTTTCCAAACTGCTGAATCAGAAGAAAGGTTTAACTCTGTGAGATGAATGCACAATCACAAAGAAGTTTCTCAGAAAGCTTCTTTCTAGTTTTTATCTGAAGATATTTTCTTTTTCACCATAAGCCTCAATGCGCTCCCAAATATCCCTTCACAGATTCTACAAAAACAGTGTTTCCAAACTGATGAATAAAAAGAAAGTTTTAAATATGTGAGTTAAATGCACACATCACCAAGAAGTTTCTCAGAAAACTTCTTTCTACTTTTTATCAGAATATATTTTCCTTTTCACCACAGGCCTCAATGTGCTCCCAAATATCCCTTTGCAGATCCTTCAAAAACAGTGTTTCCAAACTGCTGAATGAAAAGAAAGGTTTAACCCTAGGAGATGAATGCACACATCACAAACCTTTTTCTCAAATTTCTTCCTTCTAGTTTTTATCCTGGGATAATTGCTTTTTCACCTTTGGTTTCAATGATCTCCCTGAGCTCATTGAGACATTTGGGAGCTCACTGAATCTTTCTGAGAAACTGCTTTGTTATGCGTGCATTCATCTCTCAGAGTTCAAGCTCTCTTTTGATTCAGCAATTTGGAAATACTCTTTTTGTCTATTCTGCTAATGGACATTTTGGACCTCATTGAGGCCAATGGCAAACAAGTGAATATCCCAGCTTAAAAACAAGAAAGAGACTATCTGGCAAACTGCATTGTGATGTGCGCATTCATTTTCCAGAGATAAACATTTCTTTCAATTCAGCGGTTTTTAAACACTGTTTTTTAATGTTCTGTGAATGGACATTTGGGATCACTTTGAGGCCTATGGTGAAAAAGAAAATATCTTCAGATAAAAACTAGAAGAACTCTTGCTGAGAAACTGCTTTGTGATGTTTGCATTCATTGCATGGAGTTAAACCTTTCTTTTGGCTCAGCAGATTGGAAACACTGTTTTTGTTCATTCTGTGAATCAACATTTAGGAGCTCATTGAGGCCAATGGCAAAAAAGGGAATATGCCTCTATAAAAACTAGAAGGAAGCTATCTGAGATACTGCTTCATGATGTGTGCATTCATCTCCCAGAGTTAAAACTTTCTTTTGATTAAGCAGTTTAGTAACACTCTTTTGGTGCATTCTGTGAGTGGACAGTTGGGAGCACATTGTTGCCAATGGTGAAAAAGAAAATGTCTTCAAATTAAAACAAGAAAGAAGCTTTCTGAGAACATGCTTTGTGAATTGTCCATTCATCTCATAGGGATAAACCTTTCTTTTGATTCAGCATTTTGGAAACCTTGTTTTTGTCTATTTTGTGAATGCACATTTTGGAGCTCATTGAGACCAATGACATAAAAGTGAATATCTGAGGTAAAAACTAGAAGGAAGGTATCTGAGAAGCAGCTTTGTGATGTGTGCATTTCATTTCCCAGAGTTACACCTTTCTTTTTCATTCAGCAGTTTGGAAATAATGTTTTTGTATATTCTTGAAATGGACAATTGAGAGTGCAATGAGGCCTGAGGTGACAAGGAAAATACCTTCTGAAAAAAAGTATATAGAAGGTTTCTGAGAAACTTCTTTGTGATGGGTGCATTCATCTTGCAGAGGTAAAACTTTTTTTTCATTCAGCAGTTTGGAAACACCATTTTTGAAGAATCTATGAAGGGATATATGGGAGCACATTGAGGCTTATGGTGAAAAAGAAAACATCTTCAGATAAAAATGAGAAAGAAGCTTTCTGAGAGATACCTTTGTGATGTGTGCATTCATCTCGCAAAGTTAAACCTGTCTTTTCATTCAGCAGTTTGGAATCACTGCTTTTGTAGAATCTGCAAAGGGATATTTGGGAGCACATTGAGGCCTATGGCAAAAAAAGTTAATACCCAGGGATATAAACTGGAAGGAAGCTATCTGAGAAACTGCTTTGTGACGTGTGCATTCATCTCACAGACTTAAACTGTTCCTTTGATTCAGCAATTTGGAAACTCTGTTTTTGTAGAATCTGTGGAGGGACATTTTGGAAAGCTTTGAAGCCTATGGTGAAAAAGAGAATATCTTTATCTAAAAACTAGAAAGACGCTTTCTGAGGAATTACATTGTGATGTGTGCATTCATCTCAGAGAGTTAATCCTTTCTTTTGATTCATCAGTGTGGAGACATTGTTTTTGTCCATTCTATGAAAGGACATTTGGGGTCTCATTGAGGCCAGTGGTGAAAAAGAGAATATCCAGGACAAAAACTAGAAAGAAGCTATCTGAAAAACTGCATTATTATGTGTGCATTCATAACAGAGTCAAAACTTTCCTTTGAGTAGGCCGTTTGGAAACATCGTTTTTGTACATTCTGTGAATGGATATTTGGGAGTGCATTAAGGCCAATGGCGAAAAAGGGAATATACCAGGATAAAAACTAGAAGGAAGCTATCTGAGAAACTGCTTTACAATGTGTACATTCAAGTCACTGAGTTAAACATTTGTTTTCATTCAGCAGTTTGGAAGCACTGTTTTTGTATAATTGCTGAAGGGACATTTGGGAGCGTATTGTGGCCTGTGGTGAAAAAGAAAATATCTTCAAATAAAAACTAGAAAGAAGCTTTCTGAGAAACTGCTTTGCGATGTCTGCATTCATCTCACAGAGTTAAACCTTCCTTTTAATTCAGCAGTTTGGAAACACAGTTTTTTCCATTCTGCAAATGGATATTTCAGAGCTCATTGAGGACAATGGCAAAAAAGCGAATATACCAGGAGGAAAACTATAATGATGCTATCTGAGAAACCACTTTGTCATGTGTGCTTTCATCTGACAGACTTAAACCTTTCTTTGGATTCACCAGTTTTGAAACAAGTTTTTGTCCATTCTTTGATTGGCCTTTTTGAGCTCTTTGAGGCCAATGGTGAAAAAGAAAATAACTTCAGATAAAAACGAGAAAGAAGCTTTCTGAGAAACTGATTTCTTATGTGTGCATTATTCTCACAGAATTAAACCTTTCCTTTGATTCAGCAGTTTTGAAACACTGTTTTTGTCCATTTGGTGAATGGACATTTGGGAGCCAATTGAAGCCAATGGCAAAGAAGTGAATATCCCAGGATAAAAACTGGAAGGAAGCTATCTGAGAAAACTTTTTATGATGTGTGCATTCATCTCACAGAGTTAAAACTTTCTTTTCATTCAGCAGTTTGGAAAAGCTCTTTTTCTAGAATCTGCCAATGGGTATTTGGGAGTACACTGACGTCTATGGTGAAAAAGAAAATAGCTTCAGACAAAAACTAGAAAGAAGTTTTCTGAGAAACTGATTTGTGACGTCTTCATTCATCTCACAGAGTTAAACCTTGCTTTTGATTCAGCAGTTTGGAAACACCTTTTTTGTCCATTCTGTGAATGGATATTAGGGAGATCATTGAGGCCAATGGTGAAAAAGAGAATATCCAAGTATAAAAACTAGAAAGAAGCTATCTGAGAAACTGTTTGGTGATGTGTGCATTCATCTCACAGAGTTAAACTTTTCCTTTGATTCAACAATTTTGAAAAACTGTTTTTGTCCATCCTGTGAGTGAATATTTGGGAGCTCATTGAGGCCAAAGGCAAAACAGTGAATGTCCCTAAATAAAAATTAGAAGGAAGCTGTCTGAATAACAGGTTTGTGATGTTTGCATTCATCTCACAGATTCAAACTTTTGCTTTGATTCAGTATTTTTAAACACTGTTTTTGTCTATTCTGTGAATGGACATTTGGGAGCTTCTTAAGGCCAATGGCAAAAAAGTGAATATCCCAATGTATAAACTAGAAGGAAGCTGTCTGAGAAACTGCTTTCTGATGTGCACATGCATCCTGCCAAGTTAAACCTTTCTTTGATTCAGCAGTTAAGAAACACTGCTTTTGTCCTTTCTGTGAATGGACATTTGTGTGCTCATTAGGCCAATGGTGAAAAAGCTAATATCCCAGGATACAACTAGAAGGAAGCTAGCTGAGAAACTGCTTTATGATGTGTGCATGCATCTCACAGCGTTAAATGTTGCATTTCATTCAGCAGTTTGGAAACACTGTTTTTGTAGTATCTGCAAAGGGATATTTGGGAGTGCTTTGAGAACTATGGTGAAAAATAATATATGTTCAGAAAAAAGAAGGAAGACTATTTCTGAGAAATTGCTTTGTAATTTGTGCATTCAACTCCTAGAGCTAAACCTTTCTTTTGATTCAGCAGTTTGGAAACACTGTTTTTGTTGATTCATTGAATGGATATTTGGGAGCGCATGAAGGAAAGTGGTGAAAAAGAGAATATCCAAGGACAAAAACTAGAAAGAAGCTATCTGAGAAACTGCTTTGTGATGTGAGCATTTATCTTGCAGAGTTAAAAGTTTCTTTTCATTGAGCAGTTTGGAAAAACTTTTTGTAGAATCTACAAAGGGATATTTGGTAGCACATTGAGGCCTATGGTGAATAAGAAATTATCTTCAGATAAAAACTAGAAAGAAGCTTCGTGGGAAACTTCTTTGTGATGTGTGCATTCATCTCACTGACCTAAACATTCCTTTTCATTAGGCAGTTTGGAAAACCTGTTTTTGTAGAATCTGCAAAGTGGTATTTGGGAGCTCATTTAGGCCTATGGTGAAAAATAAAATGTCTTCACATAAAAAGTAGAAAGAAGTTTTCTGAGAAACTTATCTGTGATTTCTCCATTAATCTCACATAGTTAAACCTTTATTTTTATTCAGCAGTTTGGGAAACTATTATTGTCCATTCTGTGAATGGACATTTGGGAGCTTATTGAGGCCAATGGCAAAAAAGAGAATATCCCAGAATAAAAACTAGAAGGATACTATCTGAGAAACTGCTTTGTGACATATGCATTCGTCCCACAGAGATAAAACTTTCTTATCATCCAGCAGTTTGGAAACGTTGTTTTTTAAGAATCTGTTAAGGGATATTTGGGAGTGCATTGAGTCCTATGCTGAAAAAGAGAGAAAAACTAGAAAGAAGTTTCAGAGAAAGTGATTTGTGATGTGTGCATTTGTCTCACAGGGATAAACCTTTCTTTTGATTCAGCAGTTTTGAAAACCTGTTTTTGTCCTTTCTGTGAGTGGATATTTCGGAGCTCTTTGAGGCCAAGGGCAAAAATGTGAAAGTCCCAGGATAAAAACTAGAATGAAGCTATGTGAGAAACTGCTTTGTGATGTGTGCATTCAACACACAGAATTATACCTTCTTTTTATTCAGCAGTTAAGAACCACTGTTTTTGTAGAATCTGTGAAGGGATTTTGGGATCTTATTGAGGCCTATGGTGAAAAAGAAAATATCTTCAGATAAAAGCAAGAAAGAAGCTTTCTGAGAAACTGCTTTGTGATGTGTGCATTCATCTCACAGAGTTAAAACTTTCTTTTGATTCAGCAGTTCGGAAACACTGTTTTTGTTTATTCTGTGAATGGACATTTGGAAGTTCATTGAGGCCAATGTTGAAAAAGCAAACATCCCGGGATGAAAACTTGAAGGAATCTATCCAAGAAACCACTTGCAATGTGTGCATTCATCTCACAAATTTAAACCTTACTTTTGATTCAGCAGTTTGGAAACAGTGTTTTTATCCATTCTGCAAATGGCCATTTAGGAGCTCCCTGAGGCCAATGGAGAAAAAGGAATATCCCAGGATAAAAATAAAAAGAAAGCTATCTCAGAAACCCCTTTGTGATGTGTGCATTCATCTCAGAGAATTAAACCTTTCTTTTCATTCAACAGCTTGGAAACACTGCTTTTGTATAATCTGTGAAGGACTATTTGGGTGCACATTGAGGCTTATTGTGAAAAAGAAAACATCTTCAGATAAAAACTAGAAAGAATATTTCAGAGAAACTCCTTTGTGATGTGTGCATTCATCTCACAGAGCTAAACGTTTCCTTTCATTCAGCAGTTTGGAAACACTGTGTTTGTAGAATCTGCGAAGAGATATTTGGGAGCACCTCAAGGCCTATGGTGAAAAAGAAAATATCTTCAGATAAAAACTAGAATGAAGCTTTCTGACAAACTGTTTTGTTATTTGTGCATTCATCCCACACTCTTAAAATGTTCTTTTGACTAAGTAGTTTGGAAAAACTGTTTTTGTCCATTCTGCAAATGGATATTTTGGTGCCCATTGAGGCCAATGGTGAAAAAGTGAATATCCCAGGATAAAAACTAGAAGGAAGCTATCAGAGAAACCCCTTTATGATGTGTGCATTTATTTCACAGAGATACACTTTTCTTTTCATGCAGCTGTTTAGAAACACTGTTTTTGTAGAATCTGAGAAAGTACATTTGGGGGTGCAGTGAGGCCTATGGTGAAAAAGAAAATATCTTCAGATAACATCTAGAAAGAAGTTTTTGGAGAAACTGCTTTGTGATGTCTACATTCATCTCATAGAGTTAAACGTTTCTTTTGATTCAGAGGTTTGGAAACACTGTTTTGGTCCATTCTACGAATGGACATTTGGAAGCTCATTAAAGTCAATTGTGAAAAAACTAATATCTCAGGATAAAAACTACACTGAAGCTATCTGCAAAATGGCTTTGTGAAGTGTGCATTCATCTCACAGAGGTAAACATTTCTTTTCATTCAGCAGTTTGTAAACACTGTTTATGTAGAATCTGAAAAGGCATATTTGGGAGTGCACTGAGGCCCATGGTGAAAAACAAAATATCATCAAATAAAAACTAGAAAGATGCTTTTTGAAAAACTGCTTTGTGATGGATTCATTCATCTCACAAGGTTGAACATTTCTTTGATTAAGCAGTTTGGAAAAACTGTTTGTCTCCATTCAGAAAATGGACATTTGGGAGCTCATTAAGGAAAATGGCAAAAAAGTGAATAACCCAGGATAAAAACTAGAAGGAAGCTGTCTGAGAAACTGGTTTGTGATGTGTGCATTCATCTCACAGATTTAAACTTTTCTTTACATTCAGCAGTTTGGAAACACTGTTTTTGTAGAATCTGAGAAGGGATCTTTGGGAGTGCATTGAGGCCCATGGTGAAAAACAAAATATCATCAAATAAAAACTAGAAAGAAACTTGCTGAGTAACTGCTTTGTGATGTGTGCATTCATCTCACAGAGGTAAACTTTACTTTTGATTCTGCAGTTTGGAAACACATCGTCCATTCTGCGAATGGACATTTGGGAGCTCATTGATGCCAACAGCAAAACAGCGAATATTCCAGGATAAACACTAGAAGGAAGCTATGTCAGAAACTGCTTTCTGAAATTTGCATTCATCTCACAGACATAAACATTTCTTTTCATTCAGCAGTTTGGAAAATCTTTTTTTTTCCTCCATTCTGGGAATGGACATTTGTGAGCTCATTGAGGACAGCAGTGAAAAAGTGAATATCCCAGGATAAAAACTAGAAGGAAGCTATATGACAAACAGTTTGGTGATGTCTGCATTCATCTCACAGAGGTAAACCTTTCTTTCCATTCAACAGTTTGGAAACACTATTTTTGTAGAATCTGCACAGGGATATTTGGAGTGAATTGAGGCCTATGGTGAAAAAGAAAATATTTTCACTTAAAAACTAGAAAGAAGAAGCTTTCTGAGAATCTGCTTTGAGGTGTGTGAGTTCATTTCACAGAGTTAAACCTTTCTTTTGATTCAGCAGTTTGGAAAACCTTTTTTTGCCCATTCCTAAAATGGACATTTTGGAGCTCATTGAGGCCAAAGGTAAAAAAAGTGAATATCCCAGGATAAGAACTGGAAGGAAGCTATCTGATAAACCACTTTGTGATGTGTTCATTCATCTCTCAGTTAAACATTTCTTTTCATTCAGCATTTTGGAAACACTGTTTTTGTCCTTACTGTGAATGGACCTTGGGGAGCAAATTGAGGCCAATAGCAAAAAAGTGAATGTCCCAGGATAAAAAGTAGAATGAAGCTATCTGAGAAACTGATTTGTGATATGTGCATTCAACTGTCAGAGTTAAAGCTTCTTATTCATTCAGCAGTTAGGAAACACTTTTTTGTAAAATCTACAAAGGGATATCTGGGAGCTTATTGAGGCCTATGGTGAAAAAGAAATTATCTTCAGATAAAAACTAGAAAGAAGCTTTCTGAGAAACGGCTTTGTAACATGTGCATTCATCTCAAAAAGTTAAAACTTTATTTTGATTCAGTAGTTTGCATACTCTGTTTTTGTACATTTTCCAAATGGAGATTTGGGAGCTCATTGAGGCCAATGGCAAAAAAGCGATAATCCCAGGGTAAAACCTAGAAGGAAGATACTGGAGAAACCTCTTTATGATGTGTGCATTCACCTGGCAGATTTAAACCTTTCTTTACATTCGGCAGTTAGGAAACAGTTTTTGTCCATTCTGTGAATGGACATTTGGGAGCTCATTGAGGCCAATGGCAAAAAAGAGTATATCCCAGGATAAAAACTGGAAGGAAGCTATCTGAGAAACCACTTTGTTATGTGTTCATTCATCTCACAGAGTTTAACCTTCCTTTTATTCAGCAGTTTGGAAACACTATTTTGTAAGATCAGCAACTAGATATTTGGGAGCTCATTGAAGACAATGATGAAAAAGAAAATAACTTCAGATTAAAATTAGAAAGAAGCATTCTGAGAAACTGCTTTGTGAGCTGTGCATTCATCTCACATACCTAAACCTTCCTTTTCATTCATCAGTTTGGAAACACTGTTTTTGTAGAATCTGCATAAGGTCATTTGGGAGCACATTGAGGTCTATGGTGAAAAGGAAAATATCTTCACATAAAATCTAGAAAGAAATTTTCTGAGAAACTGCGTTGTGATTTGTCCATTAATCTGACACAGTTAATTTTCTTTTTATTCAGCAGTGTGGGAACACTTTTTGTCTGATATGTGAATAGACATTTTGGAGCTCATTTTGTCAAATTTCAAGAAAGAGAATATCCCAGTATAAAAATTAGAAGGAAGCTATCTGAGAAACTGCTTTATCATGTGTGCATTCATCTTGCAGAGTTAAACCTTTCTTTTCATTCAGCAATTTTGAAACGCATTTTTGTAGGATCTTGGAAGAGATATTTTACAGTGGATTGAGGCCAATGTTGATAAAGTAAATATCATCAGATAAAAACTAGAAAGAAGCTATCTGGGAAACTGCTTGTTGATGAGGGCATTTATTTCACAGAGCTAAAACTTTTTTTATTCAGCAGTTTGGAAAGACTCTTTTTGTAAAACCTGTGAAGGCACATTAGGAAACATGTTGAGGCCTATCATGAAATAGAAAATATCTTCAGTTAAAAACTAGAGGGAAATTTTCTGAGATACTGTTTTGTGATGTGTGTATTCACCTCACAGAGTTAAAACATTCTTTTGTTTAAGCAGTGTGGAAACTATTTTTGTTCATTCTGCGAATGGACGATTAGGAGCTCATTGAGGCCAATGGTGGAAAAGTGAATATCCCATGATAAAAACTAGAAGGAAGCTATCTGAGAAACCGATGTGTGAAGTGTGCATTCATCTCACAGAGTTAAACCTTTCTTTTCATTCAGTAGTTTTGAAACACTGCTTTTGTAGAATGTGCAAATGGATATTTGGGGGTCCACTGAGTCCTGTGGTGAAAAAGAAAATATCTTCAGACAAAAAATAGAAAGAAGCTTTCTGAGAAATACTTGGTGATCTTGGAATTCAGCTCAGAGAGGAAAATCTTTCCTTTGATTCAGCAGTTTGGAAACACTGCTTTTGTCCATTCTGTGAATGGACATTTTGTAGCTCTTTGAGGCCAAAAGTGAAAAATGGAATATCCCAGGTTTAAAACTTGAAGGAAGCTATCTGAGAATCCGTTTTGTGATGTGTGCATTAATCTCACAGAGTTAAACCTTTCCTTTCATTCAGCATTTTGGAAATACTGTTTTGTCCATTCTGCAAACGGACATTTGGGAGCTCATTGGGCCAATGGCAAAAAAGCGAATATCTCAGGACAAAAACAAGAAGGAAGCTATCTGAGAAACTTCTTCATGATGTGTGCATTCATCTCGCAGAGTTGAATGTTTCTTTGTATTCAGCAGTTTGGGAACACTGTTTTTGTAGAATTTGTGAAGGGATATTTGGGACTGCCTTGAGGCCTATGGTGAAAAAGAAAATATCTTCAGATAAAAACTAGAAAGAATCTTTATGAGAAACACATTTGTGATGTGTGCATTCATCTCATAGATTTAAACATTGTTTTGATTCAGCAGTATGGAAATACTGTTTTTGACCATTTTGTGAAAGGACATTTGGGAGCTCATTGTGGCCAATGGGTTTTCTGAAAAAGGGAATATCCTGTTATAAAAACTAGAAGGAAACTGAGAAACTGCTTTGTGATGTGTCCATTCATCTTGCAGAGTTAAACCTTTCTTTACATTCAGCAATTTGGAAACACAGTTTTTGTAGAATCTGGAAAGGGACATCTGGGTATGCATTGAGGCCGGTCATGAAAAAGAAAATATCTTCAAGTAAAAACTACAAGAAAACTTTCTGAGATACTGCTTTGGGTAGCATGCATTCATCCAACAGAGGTAAATCATTCTTTTGATTCAGCAGTTTCGAAGCAGTCTTTTTGCCCATTGTTTGAATGGACAGTTTGGAGCTCATTGAGGCCAATAGCAAAAAAGCAAATATGCCAGGGGAAAAACTAGAAGGAAGCTATCTGAGAAACTGCTTTGTTATGTGTGTATTCATGTCACAAGGTTAAACCTTTCTTTTCATTCAGCAGTTTGGAGACACTGTTTTTCTATAATATGTGAAGGAATATTTGGGAGCACATTGAGGTCTATGGTGAAAAAGAAAATATCTTCAGATAAAAAATAGAATGAAGCTTTCTGAGAAACTACTTTGTGATGTATGCATTCGTGTCACAGATTTAAACCTTTCTTTTGATTCAGCAGTTTGCAAACACTGTTTTTGTCCATTCTGACAAAGGACATTTGGGAGCCCATTGAGGCCAAAGGTGAAAAAGTGAATATCCCAGGATAAAAACTAAAGGAAGGTATCTGAGAAACTGCTTGGTGATAGAAGCATGCACTTCACAGAGTTAAATCTTTCTTTTCATTCAGCAGTTTGGAGACACTGTTTTTGTCCCTTCTGCAAATTGAGAGTTAGGACGTCAATGAGCCCAAAAGCGAAAAAGCAAATATTCCAGGATAAACACCATGAGGAAGCTATCTGAGAAACCGCTTTGTGATGTGTGCATTCATCTGGCAGAGTAAAAACTTTCTTTTCATTCAGCAGTTTGGAAACACTGTTTTTGTCCATTCTGCAAATGGACATTTGGGAGCTGATAATGACCAATAGCAAAAAAGCAAATATCCCAGGATAAAAACTAGAAGGAAGCTATATGGGAAACTGCTTTGTGATGTGTACATTCATGTCTCATAGATAAACCTTTCTTTTGACTCAGCAGTTTACATACACTGTTTTTGTCCTTCCTGTGGATGGACATTTGGGAGCTCATTGTGGCCAATTTCAATAAAGCAAATATCCCAGGATAAAAACTACAAAGAAGCTATCTGAGAAACCACTTTGTGATGTCTGCATTCAATTTGCAGAGTTAAACCTTCATTTTCATTCAGCAGTTAGGAAACACCATTTTTGTACAATCTGCAAAGCGATATTTGGGAACTTATTGAGACCTATGGTGAAAAAGAAAATATCTTCAAATAAAAACTAGGAAGAAATTTCCTGAGAAACTGATTTGTGATATGTGCATTCATCTCACAGACTTAAATTTTTCTTTTGATTCAACAGATTGGAAACGCTGTTTTTGTCCATTTGGAGAATGGATATTTTGATGCTTATTGAGGCCAATAGCAAAAAATTGAATATTCCAGAATAAAAACTAGTAGGAAGCTCTCTGTGCAACTGCTTTGTGATATGTGCATTCATCTCACAGAGTTAAACGTGACTTTGCATTCAGTAGGTTGGAAACACTCTTTTTGTAGATCTGCAAAGGGATATTTCAGAGCACACTGAGGCCTATGTAGAAAAATAAAATATCTTTAGATAAAAACTAGAAAGAAGCTATCTGAGAAACTGCTTTCTGATGTGTACATTCATCTCACTGAGTTAAAGCTTTCTTATGATTCAGCAGTTTGGAAACTCTTTTTGTCCATTCTGCGAATGGACATTTGGGAGCTAATTGAGACCAATGGCAAAAAAGCGAATATCTCAGGATAAAAACTAGAGGGAAGCTGTTTAAGAAACTGATTTGTGATATGGGCATTCATCTCACCGAGTTAAAACATTTCTTTGATTCAGCAGTTTGGAAACAGTATTTTCGTCCATTCTGCAAAAGGACTTTTGGGAGCTCACTGAGGCCAAAGGTGAAAAAGTGAATATCTCAAATGAAAACTAGAAGGAAGCTGTCTGAGAAGCCCCTTTTTGATGTGGGCTTTCATTTCGCAGAATTAACACTTTCTTTTAATTCAGCAGTTTGGAATCACTGTTTTTGTGGATTCTACGAAGGGATATCTGGGAATGCTTTTAGTCCTATGGTGAAAAAAGAATATATCTTCATATAAAAACTAGAGAGAAGTTTTCTGAGAAACTGCTTTGTGATTTCTGCATTCATCTCACAGAGTTAAACATTCCTTTTCACTCAGCAGTGTGGGAACACTGTTTTTGTCCATTCTGTGAATGGACATTTTGGAGCTCTTTGAGGCCAATGGTGAAAAAGCAAATATCCCAGGATAAAAATTGAAGGAACCTATCTGAAAAATGGCTTTGTGATGTGTGCATTCATCTCGCAGATTTAAACCTTTCTTTTCATTCAGCAGTTAGGAAACATTGTTTTTGTAGAATCTGTGAAGGGTGAAAAAGAAAATATCTTCATCTAAAAACTGGAAAGAAGCTTTCTTAGAAAATACTTTGTGATGTATGCCTTCATCTCACAGAGTTAAACCTTTCTTTTGATTCAGCAGTTTATTGATGCCAATGTTGAAAAAGAGAATATCCCAGGATAAAAACTATAAGGAAGCTATGACATCCACCACTTTGTGATGTGTGCATACGTCTCACAGATTTAAACCTTTCTTTTGATTCAGCAGTTTGGAAACACTGTCTTTGTCCTTTTTGTGAATGAACATTTGGGAGCTCTTTGAGGCCAAAGGTGAAAAAGCGAGTATCCCAGGAGAAAAACTAGAATGAAGCTATCTGAGGAACCACTTTGTGATGTGTGCATTCAACTCACAGATTTAAACGTTTCTTTTTATTCAGCAGTTAGGAAACACTGTTTTTGTAGAATCTGCAAAGGGATATTTTGTATCTTATTGAGGCCAATGGTGAAAAAGAAAATACCTTCAGATAAAAATTAGAAGGAAACTTTCTGAGAAACTGCTTTGTGATGTGTGAATTCATCTCACAGAGTTAAACTTTGCTTTTGATTCAGCTGTTTGGAAACACAGTTTTTGTCCACTGTGCAAAAGGACATTTGGGAGCTCATGGAAGTCAATGGCAAAAAAGGGAATATTCCAAGATGAAGCTGAGAAGCAAGCTATCTGAGAAACCACTTTGTGATGTGTACACTCATCTCACAGAGTTAAACCTTTGTTTTGATTCAGCAGTTTGGTAACACTGTTTTTGTAGACTCTGAGAAGGGATATTTGGGGGTGCATTGAGTTCTGTGATGAAAAAAGAATATATCTTCAGATAAAAATTAGAAAGACGTTTTCTGAGAAACTGCTTTGTGATGTGTGCATTCATCTTACAGAGATAAACATTTATCTTGATTCAGCAGTTTGGAAACACTGTTTTTATCCATTCTGTGAATGGACATTTGGGAGTTCATTAAGGCACACATGAAAAGGTGTATATCCCAGGGTAAAAACTAGAAGGAAGCTATCTGAGAAACCACTCTGTGGTGTGTGCATTGATCTCGCTGATTTAAAGCTTTCTTTTGATTCAGCAGTTTGGAATCACTGTTTGTGCTCATTCTGTAAATGGATATTTGGGAGCTCATTGAGGTCAATGGCAAAAAAGTGAATAACTGAGGATAAAAACTAGAAATAAGCTATCTGAGAAACGGATTTATGATGTGTGCATTCATCTCGCAAAATTAAACATTTCTTTTCCTTCAACAGTTTGGAAACACGGTTTTTATAGGATCTGCAAAGGGATATTTTGGAGCACATTGAGGTCTATGGTGTAAAAGAAAATATCTTCAGATAAAACCTAGAAAGAAGCTTTCTGAGAAATTGCATTTTGATGTGTGCATTCATCTCACAGAGTTAATACTTTTTTTTGATTCACCAGTGTGGATACACTGTTTTTGTCCATTCTGCTAATGGACCTTTGGGGGCTCATTTAGGCCAATGGCAAAAAAGTGAATATCCCAGGATAAAAACTAGAAGGAAGGTATCTGAGAAACTGCTATGTGATGTGTGCCATCATCTCACAGTCTTAAAAGTTTCTTTTCATTCACCAGTTTGGAAACAGTGTTTTTGTAGAATCTGCAAAGTCATATTTTTGAGTGCATTGAGCCCAATGGTGAAAAACAAAATATCTTCAGACAAAAACTAGAAAGAAGCTTTCTGAGAAACTAATTTGTGATGTGTGCATTCATTTCACAAAGCTAAACTTTTTTTTGATTCAGCAGTTTGGAAAAACTGTTGTTGTCCATTTTGTGAATGGACATTTTGGAGATCATTGAGGCAAAAGGAGAAAAACGGAATATCTCAGGATAAAAACTTGAAGGAATCTATCTCACACATCACTTTGTGGTGCCAGCATTCATCTCACAGAGTGAAACCTTTCTTTTCATTCAGCAGTTTGGATACACTGTTTTTGTCCATTCTGAAAATGGACATTTGGGAGCACATTGTTGTCAATGGCAAAAAAGCAAGTGTCCCAGGAAAAAAAAAAAAAAAACTTGAAGGAAGCTATCTTAGAAACCCCTTTAATTAATGGGCATTTATCTTGCAGAGATAAGCCTTTCTTTTCATTCAGCATTTTTGAAACACCGTTTTTGTAGTATCTATGAAAGGATATTTGGGAGCACAATGAGGACTACGGTGAAAAAGAAATTATCTTTAGATGAAAACTAGAAAGAAACTCTCTGAGAAACTGCATTGTGATGTGTTCATTCATCTCATAGAGTTAAAAGTTTCTTTTGATTCAGCAATTTGTAAACACTGTTTTTTTCCATTCTGCTAATGGACATTTAGGAGCTCATTGAGGCCAATGGCAAAAAAGCTAATATCCCAGGAAAAAAACTAGAAGGAAGCTATCTTAGAAACCATTTTACAAAGTGTGCATTCATCTAGCAGAGATAAACATTTGATTTGATTTAGCAGTTTGGAAACACTGTTTTTTTTAGAATCTCTGAAGGGATACAAGGGAGTCCATTGAGGTCTTTGGTGAAAAAGAAAATATCTCCAGATAAATACTAGAAAGAAGCATTCATAGAAACTCCTTTGTGATGTGTGCAATCATCTCACAGATTTAAACCTTTTTTTTCTTTTAGCAGTTTGGAAACACTGCTGTTGTCCACTCCATGAATGAACATTTTGGAGCTCATTGAGGTGAATGGCAAAAAAATGAATATCCCAGGATAAAAACTAGAAGGAAACTATCTGAGAAACTGCTTTGTGATGTGTGCATTCATCTAGCAGAGTTAAACATTTCTTTTGATATGGCATTTTGGAAACACTGTTTTTGTCGATTCTATTAATAGACATTTGGGAGATCATTGAGGCCAATGGGGAAAAAGAGCATGCATCAGGATAAAAACTAGAAGGAAACTGAGAAACCACTTTGTGAAGAATGCATTTGTCTTGCAAATTTAAAGGATTGCTTTCATTCAGCAGTTTGGAAACACAGTTTTTGTAGATCTGCGAAGGGACATTTGGGAGTGCATTGAGGACTGTGGTGAAAAAGAAAGTATCTTCAGATGAAAACAAGAAAGAAGCTTTCTGAGACACAGCATTGTGCTGTGTGCATTCATCTCACAGGGTTAAACCTTTCTTTTCTTTCAGCAGTTTGGAAACACTGTTTTTATCCATTCTGCAAATGGACGTTTTGGAGCTCTTTGAGACAATGGCAAAAAAGAAAATATCCCAGGATAACAACTAGAAGGAAGCTATCTGAGAAACCACTTTGTGATGTGTGCATTCATCTTACAGTGTTAAACCTTTTTTTTTTTAAATTTAGCCATTTGGAAACACTGTTTTTGTCTATTCCGTGAATGGACATTTGGGAACACATTTTGGCCAATGGCAAAAAAGTGAATATCCAAGGATAAAAACTACAAGGAAGCTATCTGAGAATCTGCTTTGTGATGTGTGCGTTCATTTCACAGAGTTAAACCGTTCTTTTCATTCAGCAGTTTTGAAACACTGCTTTTGTCCATTCTGCAAATGGACATTTGGGAGCTCATTGAGGCCAATGGCGAAAAAGAGACTATAACAGGATAAAAACTAGATGGAATCTATCTGAGAAACTGCCTTGTGATCTTTGTATTCACCTCATGGAGATAAACCTTTCTTTCCATGCAGCAGTTTGTAAACACTGTTGTAGAATCTGCAGAAGGATATTTATGAGTGCCCTGTGGCCTATGGTGAAAAATAAAATATCTTCAGATAAAAACTAGAGGGAAGCTTTCTGAGAAACTGCTTTGTGATGTGTGCATACATCTGATAGAGTTAAAACTGTCTTTTGATTCAGCAGTTTGGAAACACAGTTTTTGTCCAATTAGTGAGTGGAAATTTGGAACTCATTGAAGCCTATAGCAAAAAAGCAAATTTCTCAGGATAAGAGCTAGAAGGAAGCTACCTGAGAAACCACTTTGTAATGTGTGCATTCATCTCACATAGTTAAACATTTCTTTTGATTTAGCAGTTTGAAAACATAGTTTATGTCCATTCTGTGAATGGACATTTTGGAGGTCATTGAGGCCAAAGGCAAAATACTGAAGATTCCAGATAAAAATTGGGAGGAAGGTATCTGACAAACCACAATGTGTTGCATGCATTCATCTCACAGAGTTAAATATTTCTTTTCCTTCAGCAGTTTGGAAATATTGCTTTTGTCCATCCTGCAAAAGAATATTTTGGAGCTCCTGGAGACCAATGGTGAAAAAGCAAATATCCAAGGTTACAACCTCAAAGGAACCTAGCTGAGAAACTGCTTTGTGATGTGTACATTCATCTCGCAGTGATAAAATTTTCTTTTCTTTCACCAGTTTGGAAACACTGTTTTTATAGAATCTGAGAAGAGATATTTGGGAGCACATTGACATATATGAAAAAGTATATATCTTAAGAAAAAAACTAGAAAGTCTCTTTCTGAGAAACTGCTTTGTGATGCTTCCATTCATCTCACAGATATGAATATTTCTTTTGATTGAGAAGTTTGCAAACACTGTTTTTGTCCTTTCTTTGAATGGACATTTTGGAGGTCATTGATGCCAATTTCAAAAAAGCAAATATCCAAGGGTAAAAAATAGTAGGAAGCTATGTGAGAAATTGATCTGTGATGTATGTATTCATCTATAAGAGATAAACCTTTCTTTTGATTGAGCAGTTTGGAAACAGTTTTTGTAAAATCTGAGAAGAGATATTTGGGAGTACTTTGAGGACTATGGTGAAAAAGAAAATAACTTCAGATAAAATCTAGAAAGAAGCTTTGTGAAAAACTGCTTTGTGATGTGTGCATTCATCTCACACAGGTAAAAATTTCTTTTGATTCAGCACTTTGGAAAAACTGTTTTTGTCCATTTTGTGAATGGACATTTGGGGGTCATTTAGGCCAGTGATGAACAAAATAATATTTCAGGATAAAAACAAGAATGGAGCTGTCAAAGAAACCATATTGTGGTGTGTACATTCATGTCACAGAGTTAAACTTTTCTTTTGATTCAGCAGTTGGAAACACTGTTTTTGTAGAATGTGTGAAAGTATACTTGGGAGCACATTTAGGCCTATGGTGAAGTAGAAAATATCTTCAGATGAAAACTAGAAAGAAGCTTTGTGAGAAACTGCTTTGTGATGTGTGAATTCACCCCACAGAGTTAAAACTTTGTTTTGATTCAGCAGTTTGGAAACACTGTTTACGTCCACTCTCTGAATGGACATTTAGCAGCTCATTGAGGCCAATGGTAAAAAAGTGAATATCCCAGGATAAAAACTAGAAGGAAATGATCTGAGAAACTGCCTTGTGATGTATGCATTCACCTGGCAGAGATAAGCCTTTCTTTGCATTCAGCAATTAGGAAACACGGTTTTTGTAAAATCTGCAAAGGGATATTTGGGAGCACTTTAAGTACTATGGTGAAAAAGAAAATATATTCAGATAAAAACTAGAAAGAAGCTTTCTGAGAAACTGCTTTCTGATAGGTGCATTCATCTCACAGAGCTAAACAGTTCTTTTCATTCAGGAGTTTGGAAACCCTGTTTTTGTAGAAACTGCAAAAGTGTATTTGGGAGAACATAGCAGCCTATAGTGAAAAAGCAAGTATCTTCAGATAACAACTAAAAAGAAGCTACCTGAGACACCCCTTTGTGATGTGTGCATTCATCTCACCGAGTTAAACCTTTCTTTTCATTAAGTAGTTTGGAAACACTATTTTTGTCCATTCTGTGAATGGACGTTTAGGAACTCAGTAAGACCAATGGAGTAAAAGCAAATATCCCAGGATAAAAACCAGAAGGAAGGTCTCTGAGATACTGCTTTGTGATATGTGCTTTCACCTCGCAGATTTAAACCTTTATTTTCATTCAGCAGATTGGAAACACTGTTTTTGAAGAATCTGCAAAGGGATATTTGGGAGCACATTGCAGCCTATGGTGAAAAAGAAAGTATACTCAAATAAAAACTAGAAAGAAGCATGCTGAGAAACTGCTCTGTGTTGTGTCCATTCATCTCACACAGTTAAATGTTTCTTTTCATTCGACAGTTTGGAAACACCATTTGTGTCCATTCTGTGAATGGACATTTGGGAGCAGATTGAGACCAATGGCGAAAAGGCGAGTATCCCAGGAGAAAAACAAGAAGGAAACTATTAGAGAAAGTGCTTTGTGATGTGGGCTTCCATCTCATGGAGATAAACCTTTCTTTCATTCAACAGTTTGGAAACACTGTTTTTCTCAAATCTGAGAAGGAATAATTGGGAGTGCATTTAAGCCTATGGTGAAAAAGAAAATATGTTCAGGTTAAAGCCAGACGGAAAGTTTTTGTGAAACTGTTTTGTGATGTGTGCATTCATCTCACAGAGTGAACCCTTTATTTTGATTCAGCAGTTTAGAAACACTGTCTCTGTGAATTCTGTGAATAGACTTTTGAAAGCTCCTTGAGGCTGGCAAAAAAAGTTAATATCTCAGGATAAAAACTAGAAGGACACTATCTGAGAAACCACTTGTAAATTGTGCATTCATCTCACAGAATTAAATTTTTCTTTTCATTCAGCAGTTTGGAAACACTGTTGTTGTAGAATCTGCAAAGACATATTTGGGAACGCAATGAGGACTACAGTGGAAAAGAAATTAAATTCAGATAAAAACTACAAAGAATCTTTCTGAGGTACTGCTTTGTGATGTGTGCATTCATCCTGCAGAGTTAAACCTTTCTTTTTGTTCAGCAGATTGGAAACACTGTTTTTGTCCATTCTGCAAATGGACATTTGGCAGCTTATTGAGGCCAACGACAAAACAGAAAATATGCCACGATAAAAACTACATGAAGCTATTTGAGACTCGGCTTTCTTAGGTGTGCATTAATCTTGAAGAGTTAAACTTTTCTTTTGATTCAGCAGTTTGAAAACACTGCTTTTTTAAGAATCTCTGAAGGGCAATTTCGGAGTGCATTGAGGCCTATGGTGAAAAATAAAACACCTTCAGATAAAAACTAGATGGAAGCTTTCTGAGAAACTGATTTGTGATGTGTGCATTCGTTCCAGAGAGTTAAACCTTTCTTTTAATTCAGCAGTTTTCAAAAACTGTTTTTGTCCATTCTGTGAATAGACATTTGAAAACTCCTTGAGGCCAATGAAGAAAAAGTGAATATCTCAGGACAAAAACTAGAAGGAAGCTATCTGAAAAACCGCCTTGTTTGGTGTGCATTCAACTCTCAGAGTTATAACGTACTTTTCATTCAGCAGTTCTGAAACACTGTTTTTGTAGAATATCTGAAGGGTTGTTTCACAGTGCATTGAGACGGTGAAAAATAAAATACCTTCAGATAAAAACTAGGTGGAAGCTTTCTGAGAAACTGATTTGTGATGTGTGCATTCATTCCACAGAGTTAAACCTTTCTTTTGATATAGCAGTTTTCAAAAACTGTTTTTGTCCATTCTGTGAATAGACATTTGAAAACTCATTGAAGCCAATGGAGAGAAAGCAAATATCCCAGGATAAAAACTAGAAGGAAGCTATCTGAGAAATGCTTTGTGATGTGCACATTCATCTCACAGAGTTAAACCTGTCTTTTCATTCAGGAGTTTGGAAACACTGTTTTTGTCCATTCTGCCAATGGATATTTGACAGCTCATTGAGGCCAATAGTGAAAAAGTGCATATCCCAGGATAAAAACTAAAAGGAAGCTACCAGAGAAAATGCTTTGTGATGTGTCAATTCTTCCCACAGAGGTATAAGTTTCTTTTCATTCAGCAGTTTAGAAACACGGTTTTGTCCATTCTGAGAATGGACAGTTAGGAGCTCATTCAGGACAATGGTGAAAAAGTGAATATCCCAGGATAAAAATTAGAAAAACGGTATCTGAGGAACTGCTTTTTGATGTGTATTCATCTCACCAAGGTAAACCTTTCTCTTCATTCAGCAACTTGGAAACCCTGTTTTTGTAGTATCTGTGAAGGAATACTTGGGTGTCTTTTGAGGCCTATGTGGATAAAGAAAATATCTCCAAATAAAAACTAGAAAGAAGCTTTCTGAGAAACTGCTTTGTTGTTTGTGCATTCATCTATGAGATGTAAAACTTTCTTTTGATTCAGCTGTTTGTAAACACTGTTTTTGTACTTTCTGTGAATGGATATTTGGGATCTCATTGAGGTGAATTGCAAAAAAGTGAAAATACAAAGATAAAAACTAGAATGAAGCTATCTGAAAAACTGCTTTATGATATGTTAACATTTCTTTTCATTTAGCATTTGGAAACACAGTTTTTGAAGGATCTGTGATGGCATATTTGGGAGCTCTTGGATGCCAATGGTGAAAAAGAAAATACCTTTAGATAAAAACTAGAAAGAAACATTCTGAGAAAGTGCTTAGTGAAGTGTGCATTCATCTCACAGAGGTAAACATTTCTTTTGATTCAGCATTTTTTTTGTCCATTCTGTGAATGGACATATGGGAGCTCATTGAGGCCAATGGCAAAAAAAAATGAATATCACAGGACAAAAACTAGAGGGAACCTATCTGATAAACGGTTTTGTGATATGTGCATTCACCAAGCAGAGTTAAACCTTTCATTTCATTTAGCAGTTTGGAAAGTTTTTTCTTTGTTTTTTAGCATCTGCTAAGAAATATTTGGGAGTGCATTGATGCCTATGGTGAAAAAGTAAATATATTTAGATAAAAACTAGAAATAATCTTTCTGAGAAACTGCTTTGTGATGTGTACCTGCACCTCACTGAATTAAACCTTTCCTTGGATTCAGCAGTTTTGAAATAATGTTTTTGTCCATTTTGTGAATGTACACTTAGGAGCTCCTTGAGACCAATGGTGAAGTGAATATCCAAGGATAAAAACTAGAAGGAAGCTGTATGAGAAATCACTTTGTGATGGGTGCATTCATCACGCAGATTTAAAAGTTTATTTGATTCAGCAGTTTGGAAACACTGTTTTAGTCCTTTCTGTGAATGGACATTTGGGAGCTCTTTGAGGTCAATGATGAAAGTGCGATAATCCCAGGGCAAATCCAAAAGGAAGCTATATGAGGAACCAATTTGTGATGTGTGCCTTCATCTCAGAGAATTAAATCTTTCCTTTTATTGAGCAGTTTTAAAGCACTCTTTTGTTAGAATCTGTGATGGGATATTTGGGAGCACATTGTGGCCTATAGTGAAAAGGAAAATATCTTCAGATATAAAAACTAGAAAGAAACTTTCTGAGAAACTGCTTTGTGATGCTTTCATTCATCTCCAAGAGTTAAACCATTCTTTTGATTCAGCAGTTTGGAAACATAGTTTTTGTTCATTCTGTGAATGTACATTTGGGAGCTCATTGAGGGCAATAGTGAAAAACCGAATATCCCATTATGAAAACTAGAAGGAATTTATCTGAGAAACAGCATTGTGATGTGTGCATTCATCTCACAGAGGTAAACTTTCTGTTCATTCAGCAGTTTAGAAATACTGTTTTTGTAGAATCAGCTAAGAGGTATTTGGGAGAGCATTGTGGCCTATGGTGAAAAAGAAAATATCTTCAGAAAAAGACTAGAAGTAACTTTCTGAGATGTGATGTTTGCATTCATCTCAAAAAGTTGAACCATTCTTTTGATTCAGCAGTTTGGAAACACTGTTTTTGTCCATTCTGCGTGCGGTCATTTGGGAGCTCATTGAGTCCAACAGTGAGAAAACAAATATCCCAGGAAAAAATCAAGAAGGAAGCTACTGGAGAAGCCACTTTTCAGTATGCTCATTCATCTCACGGAGTTTAACATTGCTTTTGATTCAGCAGTTTGGTAACACTATTTTTGTACTTTCTGCAAATGGACATTTGAAAGGTCATTAAGCTAATGGTGAAAAAGAGACTATCCCAGGATGAAATCTAGAAGGAAGCTATCTGAGAAATTGCTTTGTGATGTGTGCATTCATTTCACAAAGTTAAATCTTTTTTTGATACAGCAGTTTTGAAACACTGTTTTTGTGCATTCTGCAAATGGACACTTGAGAGTTCCTTGAGGCCAATGGCAAAAAAGTGAGTATCCCAGGATAAAAATTAGAAGGAGGCTGTCTGAGAAACCACTTTGTGATGGGGGCATTCATTGCATAGATTTAAAACTTTCTTTGATTCAGCAGTTTGTAAACAGTTTTTTTCCTTTCTGTGAATGGATATTTGGGAGCTCATTGAGGTCATTGGCAAAAAAGCAAATATCCCAGGTTAAAAACTAGAATGAAGCTGTCTGAGAAATCACATTGTCATGTGTAAACCTTTCTTTTTATTCAGCAGTTTTAAACATGATTTTTATTCAATCTGCATAGGGATATTTTGGAGTGCATGGAGGCCAACGGTTGTAAAGGAAATATTTTCAGATAAAAACTAGACAGAAGCTTTCTGAGAAGCTACTTTTTGAAGTGTGCCATCATCTCACACAGTTAAACCTTTCTTTTGATTCAGCAGTTTGGAAACACAGTTTTTTTCTATTCTGTGAATGGACATTTCAGAGCTATTTGAGGCCAATGGCGAAAAAGTGAATATCCGAGGATAAAAACTAGAAGGAAGCAATCAGAGAACTCTCTTGGTGATGTGTGCATTCACCTCACAGAGTTAAACCATCATTTTCCCTCAGCAGTTTGGAGAAACTGTTTTTGCAGAAACTGTGAAGGAATATTTAGGAACACATAGAGGCCTAAGGTGAAACAGAAAATAACTTCAGATAAAAACTAGAAATGAGCTTTCTGAGAAACTGCTTTGTGACGTGTGCATTCATCTCACAGAGTTAAAGCTTTCTTTTGATTTGGCAGTTTGGAAACAGAGTTTTTGTCAATTCTGCGAATGGACATTTGGGAGATCATTGAAGCCAATGGTGAAAAGGGAATAGCCTGGGATAAAAACTAGAAGAAAGGTATCTGAGAAACTGCTTTGTGAACTGTGCATTAATCTCACATAGCTAAAATTCTCTTTTCATTGAGCAGTTTGGAAACACTGTTTTTGTAGAATTTGTGAATTGATATTTGGGGGTGCATTGAGGCCTATGGAGAAAAAGAAAATATTTTTGGAAAAAATGGGAAAGAACCTTTGTGAGAAATTGCTTTGTGATGTGGCCATTCATCTCACAGAGTTAAAACTTTCTTCACATTCAGCAGTTTGGAAACACTGTTTTTGTCCATTTTTTGAATGGACATTTTTGAGCTCATTTAGGCCAATTGCAAAAGAGTGAATATCCAAGGATAAAAACTAGAAGGAACCTATCTAAGAAACTTCTTTGTGATGTGTGCATTTGTCTTGCTGACTTAAACATTTCTTTCCATTCAGTGCTTTAGAAACACTGTTTTTGTAGAATCTGCAAAGGGATATTTGGGAGTGCATTGTGGCCTGTGGTGAAAAGGAAAATATCTTCAGATAAGAATCAGAAAAAAGCCTAGGCAATACCATTCAGGACATAGGCATGGGCAAGGACGTCATGTCTAAAACACCAAAAGCAATGGCAACAAAAGCCAAAATTGACAAATGGGATCTAATTAAACTAAAGAGCTCCTGCACAGCAAAAGAAACTACCATCAGAGTGAACAGGCAACCTACAAAATGGGAGAAAATTTTCGCAACCTACTCATCTGACATAGGGCTAATATCCAGAATCTACAATGAACTCAAACAAATTTACAAGAAAAAAACAAACAACCCCATTAAAAAGTGGGTGAAGGACATGAACAGACACTTCTCAAAAGAATACATTTATGCAGCCAAAAAACACATGAAAAAATGCTCATCATCACTGGCCATCAGAGAAATGCAAATCAAAACCACAATGAGATACCATATCACACCAGTTAGAATGGCAATCATTAAAAAGTCTGGGAACAACAGGTGCTGGAGAGGTTGTGGAGAAATAGGAACACTTTTACACTGTTGGTAGGACTGTAAACTAGTTCAACCATTGTGGAAGTCAGTGTGGCGATTCCTCAGGGATCTAGAACTAGAAATACCATTTGACCCAGCCATTCCATTACTGGGTATATACCCAAAGGACTATAAATCATGCTGCTATAAAGACACATGCACACATATGTTTATTGTGGCACTATTCACAATAGCAAAGACTTGGAACCAACCCAAATGTCCAACACTGATAGACTGGATTAAGAAAATGTGGCACATATACACCATGGAATACTATGCAGCCATAAAAAATGATGAGTTCATGTCCTTTGTAGGGACATGGATGAAATTGGAAATCATCATTCTCAGTAAACTATTCTCAAGAACAAAAAACCAAACGCCGCATATTCTCACTCATAGGTGGGAATTGAACAATGAGATCACATGGACACAGGAAGGGGAACATCACACTCTGGGGACTGTTGTGGGGTGGCGGGAGGGAGGAGGGATAGCATTGGGAGATATACCTAATGCTAAATGACAAGTTAGTGGGTGCAGTGCACCAGCATGGCACATGTATACATATGTAACTAACGTGCACAATGTGCACATGTACCCTAAAACTTAAAGTATAATAATAAAAGAAAAAAAAGAAAGAAAAAAAGGAATCAGAAAAAAGCTTTCTGAGGAACTGCATTGTGACGTGTGCATTCATCTCACTGAGTTAAACTCTTCTTTTGATTCAGCAGTTTGGAAACACTGTTTTGTCCATTCTGAGAATGGATAGTTGGGAGCTCCTTGGGGCCAAGGGCAAAAAAGAAAATATTCTAAGATAAAAACTATAAGGAAGCTATCTGAGAAACTGCTTTGTGATGTTTGCATTTGTCTCACAGAGATAAAACTTTGTTTTAATTGAGCAATTTGGAGAAACTGTTTTTGTCCAATCTGTGAATGGACATTTGAGAGCAAATTGAGGCCAGCAGTGAAAAAAAAAGAATATCACAGGATAAAACCTTGAATGGAGCTGAGAAACCATGTTGTGATGTGTGTATTCATTTTTCAGAAGTAAATGTTTCTTTTTATTCAGCTGTTTGGAAACAATGTTTTTGTAGAATCTGTGACGGTGTATTTTGGAGGGCATTGAGGCCTATTGAGAAAAGAAAATATCTTCAGATAAAAACTAGAAAGGAGCTTTCTTAGTAACTGTTTTGTGGTGTGTGCATTCATCTCACCAATTTAAACCTTTCTTTTGATTCAGCAGTTTTGAAACACTGTTTTTGCCCATTCTGCCAATGGTCAATTGGGAGCTCATTTAGGCCAATGGAAAAAAAGCAAATATCCAAGGATAAAAACTACAAGGAAACTATTTGTGAAACCGATTGGTGATGTGCACATTCATCTCACAAAGTTAAACCTTTTCTTCATTCAGCAGTTTGGAATCATACTTTTTGTCCATTCTGTGAATGGGAGATCATTGAGGCCAATAGCAAAAGAGTAAATTTCCAAAAATAAAAACTAGAAGGAAACTATGAGAAACTGCTTTGGAAAGTGTGCATTCTCTCACAGAGCTCACATTTTCTTTAGATTCAACAGTTTGGAAACTCTGTTTTTGTCCATTCTGGGAATGGATATTTGGGAGCTTATTGAAGCCAGTGGTGAAAAAGCAAATATTCCAGGATAAAAACTAGAAGGAAACTATCTGAGAAACAGCTTTGTGATATGTTCATTCATCTCAGAGAGTTAAACCTTTCTTTTCAATCAGCTCTTTGAAACACTATTTTTGTAGATCCTTCAAAGGGATATTTAGGAGCACATAGAGGCCTAAGGTGAAACAGAAAATAACTTCAGATAAAAACTAGAAATTAGCTTTCTGAGAAACTGCTTTGTGATGTGTGCATTCATCTCACAGACTTAAAACTTTGCTTTATTCAGCAGTTTTCGAACACTGTCTTTTCCTTTCTTCGAATGGACATTTGGGAGCTCATTGAGGCCAATGACAAAAAAGCGAATATCCTGGGATAAAAACTAGAAGGAAGCCATTTGAGAAACCAATTTGTGATATGTGCATTCTTCTCACAGTGTTAAACCTTTCTTTTGATTCAGCAGTTTTGAAACACTGTTTTGGTCCATTCTGTGAATTGATATTTGGTAGTTCATAGAGGCCAACGTGAAAAAGGGTATATACCAGGAAAAAAAATAGAAGGAAGCTATCTGAGAAACTGCACTGTGATGTGTGCATTTATCTCACAGAGTTAAACCTTTCTTTTCATTGAGCAGTTTGTAAACTCTATTTTTTTAGTATCTGCAAAGTGATATGTGGGAGTGCGTTGAGGACTTTGGTGAAAAAGAAAATATCTTCTAATAAAAACTAGAAAGAAGTTTTATGAGAAATGGCATTCTGATGTGTGCATTCATCTCAGAGAGGTAAACCTTTCTTTTGATTCAGCGCTTTGGAAACACTGTTTTTTTTCCCATTCTGTGAGTGGACATTTCAGAGCTCATTGAAACCAATGGCAAAAAAGGGAATACCCCAGGAAAAATACTAGAAGGAAGCTATCGGAGAAACTGCTCAATAAAATGTGCCATCACACTGCAGAGTTAAACCTTTTTTTAATTTAGTGGTTTGGAAACACTGTTTTTGTAGAATCTGCAAAAGGGTATTTGGGAGCATATTGAGGCCTTTGCTGAAAAAGGAAATATTTTCAGATTAAAACTAGAAAGAAGCTATGAGAAAATGCTTTGTGAGCTGTGCATTCATCTCACAGGGTTAAACCTTTCTTTAGATTCAGCAGTTTGGAAATACTGTTTTGTCCATACTATAAATGGACATTTGGGAGCTCATTGAGGCCAATGTTGAAAAAGTGAATATCCAAGGATAAAAACTAGAAGGAAGCAACCTGAGAAACCATTTTGTGATGTGTGCATTCACTTCACAGAGTTAAAACCTGCTTTTCATTCAGCAGTTTGGAAAGACTGTTTTTGTAGAATCTGTGAAGGGATATTTGGCAGTGCATTGAGGCCTATAGTGAAAAAGGAAATATTGTCACATAAAAACTAGAAAGAAGCTTTCTGAGAAACTGCTTTGTGATGTGTACCTTCGTGTCACAGAGTTAAACGTTTATTTTCGTTCAGCAGATTGGAAACAATGTTTATTTCCATTCTGCAAATGGCCATTTTGGAGCTCTTTGTGGCCAATGGCGAAAAAGCAAATATAGAAGGATATTCACTAGAAGGAAGCTGAGAAAACACTTTGTGATGGGTGCATTCATCTCTCATAATTAAATATTTCTGTTCATTGAGCAGTTTGGAAACACTGTTTTGTGGAATTAGCGAATTGATATTTGAGAGCACATTGAGGTCTATGGTGTTAAAGAAATTATCTTCTGAAAAAAATGGGAAAGAAGCTTTGTGAGAAACTGCTTTGTGATATGTCCATTCATCCCACAGATTTAAACCTTTCTTTAAATTCAGCAGTTTGAAAATACCGTTTTTGTCCATTTTGCAAATGGACATGTTGAGCTCATTGAGGCCAATTGCAAAAGAGCGAATATCCAAGGATAAAAACAAGAAGGAAGCTATATGGGAAACCTTTTTGTGTTGTGTGCATTTGTCTCACTGGCTTAAACATTTCTTTTCATTCAGCAGTAGGGAAACACTGTTTTTGTAGAATCTGTGAAGGGATATTTGGGAGCGCATTGAGGCATATGGTGAAAAGGAAAATATCTTCAGATAAATACTAGAAGGAAGCTATCTGAAAAACCATTTTGTGACGTTTACATTCATCTCACAGAGATCAAACTTTCTTTTAATTGAGCAGTTAGGAAACACTGTTTTTTCCAATGTGCAAATGGACATTTGGGTGATAACTGAGGCCAAAGGTGAAAAAGTGAACATCCCAGGATAAAATGTAGAAGGGAGCTATCTGAGAAGCCATCTTGTGGTGTGTGTATTCATCTTGCAAAGTTTGGGAGCTCATTGAGGCCAATAGCAAAAATGCAAATATCCAAAAAATAACAACTAGAAGGAAGCTATGAGAAACCACTTTTGAATGTGTGTGTTCATCTCACAGTGAAAACTTTCTTTTGATTCAGCAGTTTGAAATCTCGGTTTTTGTCCATTCTGTGAATGGACTTTTCGGAGCTTATTGAGGACTGTGGTGAAAAAGAAGATACCCAGGATAAAATCTAGAAGGAAGCTATCTGAGAAACCACTTTGTGATATGTTCATTCATTTCAGAGAGTTAAACATTTCTTTTCATTCAGCTGTTTGAAACACTGTTTTTGTAGAATCCTCAAAGGGATATATGGGAGTGCATTGAGGCCTACGGTGAAAAAGAAAATATCTTCAGATAAAAACTAGAAAGAAGCTTTCTTAGAAACTGCCTTGTGATGTGTGCATTCCTCCACAGAGTTAAAACTTTCCTCTGATTTAGCAGTTTGGAAACACTCTTTTTGTCCATTCTTTGAATGGACATATGGGAGCTCATTGAGACCAATGGCAAAAAAGCTAATATCTAAGGATAAAAACTAGAAGGAAGCTATGTGAGAAATCACTTTGTGATGTGTGAATTCATCTCACAGTGTGAAATCTTTCTTTTGATTCAGCAGTTTGGAAACACTGTTTTTGTCCATTCTGTGAATGGACTTTTGGGAGCTCATTGAGGCCAATGGTGAAAAAGTGAGTATCAAAGGATAAAAACTAGAAGCAAGCTACCTGAGAATCCACTTTGTGATGTGTGCATTCATCTCACAATGTGAAATCTTTCTTTTGATTCAGCAGTTTGGAAACACTGTTTTTGTCCATTCTGTGAGTGGACTTTTGGGAGCTCATTGAGGCCAAAGGTGAAAAAGTTAATATCAAAGGATAAAAACTAGAAGCAAATTACCTGAGAATCCACTTTGTGATGTGTGCATTTATCTTGCAGAGTAAAACTTTCTTTTGATTCAGCAGTTTGGAAACCCTGTTTTTATCCTTTCTGTGAATGGATACTTGTGAGCTCATTGAAGCCAATGATGAAAAAGTGAAAATTCCAGGATCAAAACTGCAATGAAGCTTTCTGGCAAACTGCTTTTTGATGTGTGCATTCATCCCACAGAGCGAAAACTTTCCTTTGATTCAGCAGTTTGGAAACAATCTTTTTCTCCATTCTGCAAATGGATATTTAAGAGCACATTGAGACTAATGGCAAAAATGCGAATATCCCAGGATAAAAACAAGAAGAAGCTATCTGAGAAACTGCTTTGTGATGTGTGCATAAATCTCACAGAGTTAAAACTTTCTTTTCATGCAGCAGTTTGGAAACACTGTTTTTGTAGAAGCTGCAAAGGGATATTTGGGAACACATTGAGACCTTTGGTGAAAAAGGAAATATCTTCACATAAAAACTAGAAAGAAGCTTTTGAGAAACAGCTTTGTGATGTGTGCATTCACTTCACAGTTTAAAAACTTCCTTTTCATCCAGCTGTTTGGAAACACTGTTATTGCAGTATCGACGAAGTTATATTTGGGAGCCCATTGAGGCCTATGGTGAAATAGAAAACATCTTCAGATAAAAACTAGAAAGAAGCATTCTGAGAAACTGCTTTGGTATTGGTGCATTCATCTCACAGATTTAAAGCATTCTTTTTATTTAGCAGTTTGGAAACACTGTTTTTGTAGAATCTCAGAAGGGATATTTTGGAGCGCCTTGAGGCCTATGGTGAGAAAGGATATATCTTCAGATAAAAACTAGAAAGAAGTTTTCTGAGAAACTGCTTTGTGATGGGTGCATTTAATTCACATAGTTAAAACGTTATTTTGACTCAGCAGTTTGTAAACTCTGTTTTTCTCTATTCTGCAATTGGATATTTGGGAGCTCATTGAGGCCAATAGTGAAAAAGTGAATATTCAAGGATAAAAACTAGAAGGAAACTATCTTAGACACCCCTTGTGATGTGTGGATTCATCTCGTAGAGGTAAACCTTTCTTTTCATTCAGCAGTTTGGAAAGGCTGCTTTGGTAGGATCCGTGAAGGAAAATTTGTGAGCATGTTAAGGCCTGTGGTGAAAAAGAAAATATCTTCAGATAAAAACTAGAATGAAACTTTTTGAGAAACTGCTTTGTGTTGTGTGCATTCATCTCGCAGAGATAAACATTTTCTTTTCATTCAGCCGTTTGGAAACATTGTTTTTGTCCATTTTGTGAGTGGACATTTGTGAGCTCACTGAGGCCAATGGCTAAAAAGTGATTATCCCAGGATTAAAACTAGAAAGAAGCTACCTGAGAAACTGCTTTGTGATGTGTCCATTCATCTCGCAGAGTTAAACATTTCTTTTCATTCAGCAGATTGGAAATGCCGTTTTTGTAGAATCTGCAAAGAGATATTTGGGAGCACATTGAGGCCTATGTTGAAAAAGAAAATATTGTCAGATAAAAACTACAAAGAAGCTATCTGAGAAATTGCTTTGTGATGTGTGCATTCATCTTGCAGAGTTAAACCTTTCTTTTGATTCAGCAGTTTGCAAACACTGTTTTTGTGCATTCTGTGAATGGACATTTTGGAGCTCATTGAGGCAAAATGTGAAAAAGTGAATATCCCTGGAAAAAACTACAAGGCACTATCTGAGAAACTGCTTTGTGATGTGTGTATTCAGCTCATGGAGTTAAATCTTACATTTCATTCAGCAGTTTGGAAACATTGTTTTTGTAGAACATGTGAAGGGTTATTTGCATACTGCATTGAGGCCTATGGTCCAAAAGAAAATATCTTCAGATAAAAACAAGAAAGAAGATTTCTGAGAAACTGCTTTGAGATGTGTGCATTCACCTCACAGAATTAAACTTTTCTTTCAATTCAACAGTTTGGGAACACTGTTTTTGTCCATTCTGAGTACGAATATCTGGGAGCTCATTGAGGCCAATGGCAAAAAATCAAATGTCCCAGGATAAAAACTAAAAGGAAGCTATCTGAGAAACCACCTTGTGATGTTTGCATTCATCTCACAGCGTTAAACCCTTCTTTTTATTCAGCAGTTTGGAAACACTTTTTTTGTAGAATCTGCAAAGGGATGTTTGGGAGCACATTGAGGCCTATGGTGTAAAATAAATTATCTTCAGGTAAAAAATAGAAAGAAGCTCTCTGAGAAACTGTTTGTGATGTGTGCATTTGTCTCACAGAGGTAAACGTTTCTTTTGATTCAGCAGTTTGGTAACACTGTTTATGTCCATTCCTGTGGATGGCCATACAGGAGCTCATTAAGGCCTATGGTGAAACAGTGAATATCTCAGGATAAAAACTAGTTGAGGCTATCTCAGAAATCGCTTTGTGACGTGTGCATTTAGTTTGAGGCATTAAATATTTTTTTTTCTTCAGCAGTTTGGTAACACGGTTTTTGTAGAATCTCCAGATGGACAATTGGGAGCACATTGAGGACAATGGTGAAAAAGAAAATATCCCCAGATAAAGACTACGAGGAAGTTATCTGAGAAACCCTTTTGTGATGTTTGCATTCATCTAGCAGAGTTTAATCTTTCTTTTGATTCAGCAGTTTGGAAACACTGTTTTTGTGCATTCAGCGAATGGACTTTTGGGAGCTCATTGAGGCAAAAGGTGAAAAAATGAATATTCCAGGAAACAACTACAAGGCACTATCTGAGAAACCTCTTTGTGATGTGTGTATTCAGCTCATGGAGTTAAATCATATATTTCATTCAGCAGCTTGGAAACGTTGTTTTTGTAGAATTTGTGAAGTTATACTTGCATAGCTCATTGAGGCCTATGGTGAAAAAGAAAATATCTTCAGATTAAAAACTAGAAAGAAGCTTTCTGAGAAACTGCTTTGAGATATGTGAATTCCTCTCACAGAGTCAAACTTTTCTTTTGATTCAACAGTTTGGAAACACTGTTTATATCCATTCTGTGGATGGCCATATGGGAGCTCACTAAGGCCTATGGTGAAAATTGAATATCCCAGGATAAAAACGAAAAGGAAGCCATCTCAGAAAGTGCTTTGTGATGTGTGCATTCAGCTTGAGGAGTTAAATATTTCTTTTCCTTCAGCAGTTTGGTAACACAGTTTTTGTAGAGTCTCAGAACGGACAACTTGGAGCTCATTGAGGCCAATAGCGAAAAGGGGAATGTTTCAGGATGAAAACTAGAAGTAAGCTATATTAGAAATCTTTTTGTGATGTGTTCATTCATCTCACAGAGGTAAACATTTCTTTTCATTAATCAGGTTGGAAAAACTGTTTTTGTAGCCTCTGCAAAGGTTTATTTGGGAGCACATTGAGGTCTATGTTCAAAAAGAAAATATCTGCAGATAAAAACTAGAAAGAAGCATTCTGAGAAACTGCTTTGTGATGTGTGCATTCACCTGACAGATTTAAACTTTTCCTTTGATTCAGCAGTTTGGAAACACTTTATTTGTCCAATCTGGGAATGCACATTTGGGAGCTCATTGAGGCCAATGGTGAAAGAGTGAATATCCCAAGATAAAAACTAGAAGGAAGCTATCTAAGGAACTGTTTTGTGATGTGTGCATTCATCTTGCAGTGTTAAACCTTTCTTTTGATTCAGCAGTTTAGAAACATGATTTTCGTTTATTCTGCAAATGGACCTTTGGGAGCTCATTGAGGCAAAAGGTGAAAAAGTGAATATCACCAAATAAAACAGAAAGAATGTATATGAGAAACAGCTTTGTGATGTGGACATTTATATCACAGAGTTAAAACTTACTTTTGATTCAGCAATTTGGATACAATATTTTTGTCCATTCTATGAAAAGACATTTGGGAGCTCTTTGACGCCAAAGTCGAAAAAGTGAATATCCCATGAAGAAAATCAGAAAGAAGCTATCTCAGGAACCTCTTTGTGATGTGTGCATTCGTCTTGCAGAGGTCTATCTTTCTTTTCGTTAAGAAGTTTGGAAAAACTGTTTTTGTATGATCTGGTATAAGATATTTGGGAGCAAATTGAGGCCTATGGTGAAAAAGAAACTATCATCAGATAAAAAGTCGAAAAATAGTTTCTGAGGAACTGCTTTGTGTTCTGTGCATTCATCTCACAAAGTTACACCTTTCTTTAGACCTAGCAGTTTGGAAAAACTGATTTTTTCCATTCTGGGAATGGACATTTCAGAGCTCATTCAGGCCAATGACAAAAAATCGAATATCCCAGAATGAAAAGTAGAAGGAAGCTATCTGAGAAACCTTTATGTGATATGTAAACTCATCTCACTGAGTTAAACCTTTCTTTTCATTCCGCAGTTTTGAAACACTATTTTTGTCCATTCTGTGAGTGGACATATGGTTGCTCATTGAGGCCAATGGTGAAAAAGGGAATATCACCAGATAAAAAGTAGAAGGGAGCTATATGAGAAACTGCTTTGTGATGTGTGCATTCATCTGTCTGAGTTAAACTTTTCTTTTCATTCAGCAGTTTTGAAACACTGGTTTTGTAGAATCTGCCAAGGGATATTTGGGAACACCTTGAGGCCTGTGATGAAAAAGAAAATATCTTCAGATAAAAACCAGAAAGAAGCTTTCTGAGAAACTTCTTTGCTGTGTGTGAATGCATCTTACATAGTTAAAACTTTCTTTTGATTGAGTAGTTTGGAAAAACTGTTTCCATCTGGATATTTGGGAGCTCATTTGGCCAATGGCAAAAAAGGAAAAAACCCAGAATAAAAACAAGAGGATGCTATCTGAGAAACTGCTTTGTGACGTGTGCATTCATCTTGCAGAGTTAAACCTTTTCTTTCATTCTGAAGTTTTGAAACTTTGCTTTTTTCCTTTCTGTGAATGGGCATTTAGGAGCTCTTTGAGGTTAATGGCAAAAAAAATGAATATCCCAGGAAGAAACCAGAAAGAAGCTGACAGAGAAAAATCTTTGTGATGCGTGCATTTATCTCGCAGAGATAAACCTTTCTTTTCATAAAGCAGTTTGGAAAAATTGTATTTGTGGAATCTGCAAAGAAATATTTGGGAGCACAGTGCAGCTTATGATGAAAAAGAAAATGTCTTCAGGTAAAAACTAGAAAGAAGCTTTCTGAAAAACTGCTTTGTGATTGTGCATTCATTGCACAGAGTTAAACCTGTTATTGATTTAGCAGTTTGGAAACACTGTTTTTGTCCACTCTATGAATGGATATTTGGGATCTCATTGAGACCAATGGGGAAAAAGCAAATATCCCAGGATAAAAACTGGAAGGAAGCTATCTGAGAAACCATTTTGTGATATGTGCATTCACCGCACAGAGTTAAAACTTTCTTTTGGTTCAGCAGTTTGGAAACACTGTTTTTGTCAATTCTGTCAGTGGACTTTTGGGAGCTCATTGAGGCCAATGGCAATAAGGTGAATATCATAGTATAAAAACAGAAGGAAGCTATCTGAGGAAGCTATAAAAGCAGAAGGAAGCTCTTTGTGATGTGTGCATTCAGCTTGAGGATGTAAATCTTATTTTTCTTTCAGCAGTTTGGAAACACTGTTTTTGTAGAATCTACAAATGGACATTTGGGAGTGAACTGAGGCCTATGGTTGAAAAGAAATCATCTTCAAATAGAAACTATAAAAAATCTTTTTGAAAAACTGCTTTGTGATGTTTGCATTCGTCTCACAGGGTTAAACCATTCTTTTGTTTCAGCAGCTTTTAAACACTGTTTTTGTCCATTCTGTGAATGGACATTTGGGAGCTATTTGAGGTCAAAGGTGAGAAGAAAATATCCCAGGATAAAAATTAGAAGGAAGCTCTATGAGAAACTGCTTTGTGATGTGTGCATTTGTCTCAGAGAGTTAAAATTTTCTTTTGATTCAGTGGTTTGGAAACACTGTTTTTGTCTTTTCTGCAAACGGCCTTTAGGGAGCTCATTGAGGCCAATGGCAAAAAAGCAAATAACCTAGAATAAAAACAGAAAGAAGCTATCTGTGAAACTGCTTTGTGATGTGTGCATTCATCTAGCAGAGTTAAACCTGTCCTTTCACTCAGCAGTTTTGAAACACTGTTTAATTTCCATTCTGCAAATGGACATGTGGGAGCTCACTGAGGCCAATTGCGAAGAAACGAATATCCCAGGAAGAAAATGAGAAGGAAGCTATCTGAGAAACCCATATGATGTGTGCATTCATCTTGTTGAGGTAAAACTTTCTTTTCATTAAGCAATTTGGAAAAATTGTTTTTGTAGCATCTGCAAATAAATATTTGGGAGCACATTGTGGCCTATGGTGAAAAAGAAAATATCTTCAGATAAAAATAGAAAGAAACTTTCTGAGAAATTACTTTGTGATGTGTGCATTCATCTCACAGACTTAAAACTTTCTTTTGATTCAGAAGTTTGGAAACACTGTTTTTTTCCATTCTGCAAATGGAAATTTGGGAGCTCATTGAGGCCAATGGCGAAAAAGAAAATATTTCAGGATGAAAACTAGAAGAAAGCTATATTAGAAAACTTTTTATGATGTGTTCATTCATCTCAAAGAGGTAAACCTTCCTTTTCATTAAGCAGTTTGGAAAAACTCTTTTTTTAGCATCTGTGAAGGGTTATTTCAGAGTGCATTGAGGCCTATGTTCAAATAGAAAATATCTGTAGATAAAAACTAGAAAAAATGCTTTCTGAGAAACTGCTCTGTGATGTGTGCATTCATCTCACAGAGTTAAACTTTATTTTGATTCAGCAGTTTGGAAACACTTTATTTGTCCATTCTGGAAATGCACATTTCAGAGCTCTTTGAGGACAATGGTGAAAAATTGAATGTCACAGGATATAAACTCAGAGGAAACTATCTGAGAAACTGCTTTGTTATGTGCACATTCATCTAGCAAGTGAAACCTTTCTTTACATTCAGCAGCTTGGAAACACTGTTTCTGTAGAATCTGTGAAGGGATATTTGGGAGTGCTTTGAGGCCTATTTTGAAAAAGAAAATATCTTCAGATAAAAATGAGAAAGTAGCTTTCTGAGAAACTGCTTTGTGATGTGTGCATTCATCTCAGACATTTAAACCTTTCTTTGAATTCAAAAGTTTAGAAACACTGCTTTTGTCCATTCTCTGAATGGACATTTGGGAGCTCTTTGAGGCCAATGGCAAAAAATCAAATTGTCCCAGGATAAAAACTAAGAGGAAACTATCTGAGAAACTCCTTTGTGATGATGTGTTTCATCTCACAGAGTTAAACCTTTCTTTTGATTCAGCAGTTTGGAAACGCTTTATTTGTCCATTCTTGGAATGCACATTTGGGAGCTCATTGAGGCAAAAGGCGAAAAATTGAATGTCACAGGATATAAACTCAGAGGAAGCTATCTGAGAAACTGCCTTGTGATGTGCACATTCATCTCGCAGAGTTAAAACTTTCTTTTCATTCAGCAGTTTGGAAACACTCTTTTTGTAGAATCTGTGAAGGTATATTTGGGAGCACATTGAGACCTATGATGAAAAAGAAAATATCTTCAGATAAGAAATAGAAGCTTTCTGATAAACTGCTTTGTGTTGTATGAATTCACCTCACAAAGTTACACCTTTCTTTTAATTCAGCTGTTTGGAAACACTGTATTTTTTATTCTTCGACTGGATATTTGGGAGACCTTTAAGCCCAATGATGAAAAATTGAATGTCCTAGGATAAAAACTAAGAGGAATCTATCTGAGAAACTGCTTTGTGATGTGTGTTTTCATCTCGCTGAGTTAAAACTTTGTTTTGATTCAACAGTTTGGAAACACTTTATTTGTCCATTCTTGGAATGCACATTTGGGAGCTCACTGAGGCAAATGGCAAAAAATTGAATATCACAGGATATAAACTCAGAGGAAGCTATCTGAGAAACTGCCTTGTGATGTGCTCATTCATCTCACAGAGTTAAACCTTTCTTTTCATTCAGCAGTTTGGAAACACTCTTTTTGTAGAATCTGTGAAGGTATATTTGGGAGCACATTGAGGCCTATGATGGAAAAGAAAATACCTTCAGATGAAAAATAGAAAGAAGCTTTCTGAGAAACTGCTTTATGTTGTATGCATTCATCTCACAAAGTTACACCTTTCTTTTAATTCAGCTGTTTGGAAACACTGTTTTTGTTTATTTTGCAATTGGACATTTCGGAGTCCTTTAAGCCCAATGATGAAAAATTCAATGTCCCAGGATGAAAAGAAGAAGGAAGCTATCTGAGAAAACTTTTTGTGAAATGTGCATTCAACTCGCAGAGTTAAAACTTTCTTTTCATTTAGCAGCTTGGAAAAACTGTTTTTGTCCATTCTGTGGTGGACATATAGGAGCTCATTGAGGCAAATGGCAAAAAAGCAAATATCACCGGATAAAAACTAGAAGGAAACTATCTGAGATACCGCTCTGTTATGTGTGCATTCATATCACATAGTTAATCCTTTTTTTTGTTCAGTAGTTTGGAAACACTGTTTTTGTCTGGACATTTGGGAGCTCATTGAGGCCAATGGTGAAAAAGTGAATATGCCAGGATAAAAACTAGATGGAAGCTATCTCAGAAACATTTTTCTGATGTGTGTATTCATCTCACAGAGTTAAAAGTTTCTTTTGCTTCAACAGTTTGGAAACACTGTTTATGTAGAATATGTGAAGGGATCTTCAGATAAAAACCAGAAAGAAGCTTTCTGAGAAAGTGCTTTGTGATGTCTGCATTCACCTTACAGAATTAAACCTTTCTTTTGATTCAACAGTTTAGAAACACTGTTTTTGTCCATTCTCTGAACGGACATTTTGGTGTTCATTAAGGACAATGGCAAAAAATGGAATGTCCCAGGATAAACACTAAGAGGAATCTATCTGAGAAACCAGAATCTGCAAAGGGATATTTGGGTGCACATTGAGAACTGGGGTGAAAATATAATACCTTCAGATAAAAACTAGAAAGAAGCTTTCTGAGAAACTTCTTTGTGATATGTGCATTCATCTCATAGAGTTAAATGTTTCTTTTGAGTCAGAAGTTTGGAAACGCTGTTTTTGTCCATGCTGTGAATGAACATTTTGGTGTTCATTAAGGACAATGGCAAAAAATGGAATGCCCCAGGATAAACACTAAGAGGAATCTGTCTGAGAAACCACTTTGTGATGTGTGCATTCATCTCACAGAGTTAAATCTTTCTATTCATTCTGCAGTTCCAAAACACTTTTTTTGTAGAATCTATGAATGGACATTAGGAAGGGAATTGAGGCTTATGGTTGAAAAGAAAATATCTTCAGATGGAAACAAAAAAAATCTTTTTGAAAAACTGCTTTGTGATGTGTGCATTCATCTCTCAGGGTTAAACCATTCTTTTGATTTAGTGTTTTTAAACTTTGTTTTTGCCCATTATGCAAATGGACATTTGGGAGTTCATTGAGGTCAATGGCAAAGAAGAGAATATCCCAGGATAAAAACTAGAAGGAAGCACTATGAGAAACCTCTTTCTGATGTGTGCATTTGTCTCAGAGAGTTAAAACTTTCTTGTGATTCAGCAGTTTGGAAACACTGTTTTTGTCTTTTCTGCAAATGGACATTTTGCTGCTCTTTCAAGCCAATAGTGAAAAAGGGAATGTCCCAGGATAAAAACTTAGAGGAAGCTATCTGAGAAAACAGTTTGGGTGCTTGCATTCGTCTCACAGACTTAAATCTTTCTTTTCATTCAGCAGTTTGGAAACACTGTTTTTGTCAATTTTTCAAATGGACTTAAGGGAGCTCATGGGGGCCAATTGCAAAAAAAAGCAAATAACCCAGAACAAAAACAGAAGGAAGCACTCTGTGAAGCTGCTTTGTGATGTGTGCATTCATCTAGCAGAGTTAAATCTTTCCTTTCCTTCAACAGTTTTGAAAACTGCTTTTTTCTTCCATTCTGAATGGACATTTGAGAACTCATTGAGGCCAATGTCGAAAAAGGGACTATCCCAGGAAGAAGATGAGACTGAACTTACTTGAGAAACCTCTTTGTGATGTATGCATTCATCTCACTGAGGTAAACCTTTCTTTTCATTAAGCAATTTGGAAAAACTCTTTTTGTAGCATCTGCAAAGAAATATTCGGGAGCACATTGAGGCCTATGATTAAAAACAAAATACCTTCATATAAAAATTAGAAAGAGTCTTTCTGAGAAACTGCTTTGTGACATATGCACTCATCTCACAGAGTTAAAAGTTTCTTTTGATTCTGCAATTTGGAAACTATTTCTGTCCATTCTGTGAATGGACATTTGGGAGCTCAGTGAGGCCAATGGCAAGAAATCGAACATCCCAGGATGAATACTATGTGGAAGCTCTCTGAGAAACTGCTTTGTAATGTATGCATTAATCTCACAGAGTTAAACATTTCCTTTCATTCAGCAGTTTTGAGACACTGTTTTTTTTCATCCTGCAAATGGACATTTGGGAGCTCATTGAGGTCAATGACAAAAAAGCAAACATACAAGGATAAAAACTACAAGGAAGCTATCTGAGAAACTGCTTTTGATGTGTGCACTCATTTTGCCAAGTTAAAACTCTCTTTTTATTCAGCAGTTTGCAAAAACTGTTTTTGAAGAATCTGCAAAGGGATATTTGGGATCTCATTGAGGCCTATGGTGAAAAAGGAAATATCTTCAGATAAATCTAGAAAGAAGCTTTCTGAGAGACTGCTTTGTGATGTGTGCATTAATCTCACGAGTTAAATATTTGTGTTCATTCCGCTGTTTAGAAACACTGTTTTTGTCCATTCTGTGAATGGACATTTTGGAGCTCTTTGATGCCAATGGCAAAAAAGGGGATATCCCAGAATAAAAACAGAAGGAAACTGTCTTAGAAACCACTTTGTGATGTGTGCATTCATCTAACAGATTTAAACTTTCTTTTGATTCATCAATTTGGAAACACTGCTTTTGTCCATTCTGCAAAAGGGCATTTGGGACCTCGCTGATGCCAATGGTGAAATACCAAATATTCCAGAATGAAAACAGAAGGAAGCTATCTGGTAAACCTGTTTGTGATGTGTGCATTCAGCTCGAGGAGTTATATCTTTCTTTTTATTCAGCAGTTTGGAAAAGCTGTTTTCGTAGAATCTGAGAATGGACAGTTGGGAGCGCATTGAGGCCTATAGTGAAAAAGAAAATATTTTCAGATAAAAACTAGAAAGAGGATTTCTGAGAAACTGCTTTGTGAAGCAAGCATTCACCTCACTGAGATAAACCTTTTTTTGATTCATCAGTTTGAAAAACACTGTTTTTGTCCACTCTGTGAATGGACATTTGAGAGCTTATTGAGGCCAATGGTGAAAAAGCGAACATCCCAGCATAAACAATAAGTGGAATCTATCTGAGAAACCGTTTTGTGATGTGTGCTTTCATCTCAGAGAGACAAAAACCTTCTCTTGATTCAGCAGTTTGGAAACACTGTTTTTTCCATTCTACACATCTACATTTGGAAGCTCATTGAGGCCGAAGGTGAAAAAGAGGATATCCCACGATACAAAGAGACGGAAGCAATCTAAGAAACCACTTTGTGATGTGTTCATTCACCTCGAGGAGTAAAATCTTTCTTTTCATTCAGCTGTTTGGAAACACTGATTTCTAAAATCTGCAAATGGAAATTTGTGGTGCATTGAGGCCTAAGGTAGATATCATCAGATAAAAACTAGAAAGACGTTTTCTGAGAAACTGCTTTGTGATGTGTGCTTTCATCTCACAGAGTTAAACCTTTCTTTTGTTTCAGAAGTTAGGAAACACTGTTTTAGTCCATTCTGTGAATGGATATTTGGGAGCTAATCAAGGCCAATGACAAAAAAGTGAATATCCCATGACAAAAACTAGAAAGAAGCAATCTGAGAAAATGCTTTGTGATGTGGGCATTCATCTCTTAGAATTAAACCTTCCTTTTCATTCAGCAGTTTGTAAACACTTTTTCTGTTCATTCGATGAATGGACATTTTGAAGCTCATTGTGGCCAATGGCCAAAAATCAAATGTACAAGGATGAAAACTGAGAGGAAGCTATCTGAGAAACATCTATGTCATGTGAGCATTCATCTCAAGGAATTAAATCTTTCTTTTCATTCAGCAGTTTGGAAACCATTTTTTTGTAGATCTGCAAATGGACATTTGGGAGCTCACTGAGGCCAAGGGTGAAAAATTGAATGTCCCAAGATAAAAACTAAGAGGAAGCTATCTGAGAAATATCTTTGTGATGTGTGAATTCATCTCACAGTTATGCCTTTCTTTTCCTTCAACAGTTTGCAAGCAATATTTTTTTAAAAATCTGTGAATGGATATTGGGGAGTGCATTGAAACCTATGATGAAAAAGAAAATATCTTCAGATGAAAACTAGAAATAAGCTATCTGAGAAACAGCTTGTGATGTATGCATTCATCTCAGAGAGTTAAATCTTTATGTTGATTCAGCAGTTTGGAAACACTGTTTTTGTCCATTCTGTGATTGGACATTTTGGAGCTCATTGAGGCCAATGGGGAAAAGCAAATGTAGCATGATAAAACCTAGAAGGAAATTATCTTAAAAAAACTGCTTAGTGATGTGTGTATTCATCTTGCAGAGTTACTCCTTTCTTTCATCGATCAGTTTGGAAACACCATTTTTGTAGAATCTATGAGGGAATATTTGGAGCACAATGAGGCCTATGGTGAAAAATAAAATATCTTCAGTTAAAAACTAGAAAGAAGCTTTCTGAGAAACTGCTTTGTGGTGTTTGCATTCATCTCACAGATGAAAACTTTCTTTTAATTCAGGAGTTTGGAAACAATGTTTTTTTCCATCCTGAAAATGGACATTTGGGAGCTGTTTGAGGTCAATCAGGAAAAAGTGAATATCCCAGGATAAAAACTGGAAAGAAGCTATCTGAGAAACTGCTTTGTGATGTGTGCATTCATCTCACACAGTTAAACCTTTATTTTGATTCAGCAGCTTGGAAACACTGTTTTTGTCCATTCTGCAAATGGATATTTGAGATCTAATTTAGGCCAATGAGGAAAAGCGAATATCCCAGGATAAAAAACAGAAGGAAACTATCTGGGGAACTACTTTGTGATGGGAGCATTCATCTCCCAGAGTTAAAACTATTTTTCATTCAGCAGTTTGAAAATACTGTTTTTGTAGAAACTGTGAAGGGATATTTGGGAGTGCATTGAGGCCTATGGTGATAAACAAAATATCTTCAAATAAAAACTAGAAAGAAGCTCTCTGAGAAACTGCTTTGTGATGTGTGCATTTTTCTCACACAGTTAAAACTTTCTTTTTATTAAGCATTTTGGAAACATTGTTTTTGTCCATTCTGAGAATGGACATTTTGAAGCTCATTGAAGCCAATGGCAAAAAAACAAGTGTCCCAGGAAAAAAACTAAGTGGAAGCTATCTCAGCAGCCACTGTGTTATGTTTGTATTCAACTCACAGAATTAAAACTTTCTTTTCATTCAGCTCTTGTGGAACACTGTTTTTGTCCAATCTGCAAGTGAACATTTGGGTGCTCATTGAGGCCAGTGGAGAAAAACAGAATATCCCAATATAAAAACTAGAGGGAAGCTATCTGAGAAACCATTCTGTGATGTGTGCATTGATCTCACAGAATAAATTTTACTTTTGATTCAGCAGTTTGGAAACACTGTATTTGTCCATTCTGTGAATGGACATTTTGGAGCTCATTGAAGCCAAAGGCAAAAAAGCAATTATCCCAGGATAAATACTGGAAGGAAATTATTTGAGAAACAGATTTGTGATGTTTGCATTAAGGTTGAGGAGTTTAATCTTTCTTTTTATTCTGCTTTTCAACTGTGCTTTTGGAAGAACTGTTTTGTAGAATATGCAAATGGACATTTGGAAGCTCAATGAGGCATATGTACAAAAAGAAAATAACTTCAGATAAAAACTAGGAAGAATCTTTCTTAGAAACTGTTTTGTGGTGTGTCATCCATCTCACAGAGTTAAACCTTTGTTTGATTCAGCATTTTAAAACAATTTTTTCGTCCATTCTCCGAATGGACATTTGGTAGATAATGGAGGCCAAAGGCAAAAAAACGAATATCCCATTACAAAAACTATCAAGAAGCTCTCTAAGAAACTGCTTTCTGATGAGTGCACTCATCTCAAAGAGCTAAAACTTTCTTCTTTCAGCAGTTTGGAACCACTGTTTTGTAGAATCTGTGAAGGGATATTTGGGAGTACATTGAGGCCTATGGTGAAAAAGAAAATATCTTCAGATAAAAACTAGAAAAAAGATGTCTGAGAAACTGCTTTGTGATGTGTGCATTGATCTCACATAGCTAAACCTTTCTTTTGATTCAGCAGTTTGGAAACAATGTTTTTGTTCATTCTGTGAATGGACATTTGGGAGCGCAATGAAGCCAATGGCCAAAAATCGAATGTCCCTGGATAAACATTAGGAGGAAGCTATCTGGGAAACTGCTTTGGGATGTGTGCATTCAGCTTGCAGAGTTAAACCTTTCTTTTCATTCAGCAGTTTGGAAACACTGTTTTTCTCCATTCTGTGAATGAACAATTGGAGTGCATTTAGGCCAATGGAGAAAAAGTGAACATCCCAGGATAAAAACTAGAAAGAAGTTATCTGAGAAACTGCTTAATGATGTGTGCATTCATCTCGCAGAGTTAAACTTTTCTTTTCTTTCAGCAGTTTGAGAACACCATTGTTGTCCATTCTGCCAATGGACTTTAGGGAGCTCGTTGAGGCCAAAGGCAAAAAACGTGCATATGCCGGGATAAAAACTAGGAGGAAGCTATCTGAGAAACTGCTCTGTGATGTCTGCATTTATCTCACAGAGTTAAACCTTTCTTTTCATTCAGCAGTTTGGAAACAATTTTTTAATAGAATCTGCCAACAGATATTAGGTAGTGCATTGAGGCATATGGTGAAAGAGACAATATCTTCAGATAAAAACCAGAAATAATTTTCTGAGAAACTGCTTTGTGATATGTGCATTCATTTCACAGAAATAAACCTTTCTTTTGATTCAGTAATTTGGAAACACTGTTTTTGTCTATTCTACAAATGCACATTTTGGAGATCTTTGAGGCCAGTTGTGAAAAACTGGATATCCCCAATAAAAACTAGAAGGAAGCTATCTGTGAAACCAATTTGTGATGTGTGCATTCAGCTTGCAGAGTTAAAGCATTCTTTTCATTCAGCATTTTGGAAGCACTCTTTTTGTAGAACCTGTGGAAGGATATTTGGGAGCATAATGAGGTTATGGTGAAAAAGAAAATATCTTCAAATTGAAAACTAACAGAAGCTTTCTGAGATACTGTTTTGTGATGTGTGCATTCATCTCAAAGAGTTAAACCTTTATTTTGTTTCAGCAGTTTGGAAATACTGTTTTTGCCCATTCTGCGAATGGACATTTGGGATCTCATTGAGGCCAATGGCGAAAAAGTGAATATCCCAGGATAAAAACTAGAAGGAAGCTATCTGAGAAACCTCTTTGTGATGTGTGCATTCATCTTGCAGGGTTAAAACTTCTTTTCATTTAGCAGTTCAGAAACACTTTTTTTGTAGAATATGAAAAGGGATATTTGGAAGTGTGTTCAGGACCATGGTGAAAAAGGAAATATCCTCAGATAAAAACTAGAAAGAAGCTTTCTGAGAAACTGCTTTGTCATGTGTACATTCCTCTGGCACAGTTAAACCTCTGTTTTCATACAGCAGTGTAAACACTGTCTTTTTCAATTCTGCAAATTGACATTTGTGAGCTCATTGAGGCCCATGAGGAAAATGCGAATATCCCTGGATAAAAACTAGAAGGAAGCTATCTGAGGATCTGCTTTGTGATGGGTGCATTCATCTCACAGAGTTAAAACTTTCTTTCAATTCAACAGTTTTGAATCAATGTTTTTGTCTATTCTGTCAATGGACATTTTGAGCTTATTGAGGACAATGGTGAAAAAGTAAACGTCCCAGGATAAAAACTAGTAGGAAGGTATCAGAGAAACCACTTTGTGATGTGGGCAATCATCTCTCATAGACAAAGTTTTCTTTGAATTCAACTGTTTGGAAACACTGTTTTGTAGAATCTGTCAAGTGATATTTAGGAGTGCATTGATGTCTATGGTGAAAAATAAAGTAACTTCAGATAAAACCTAGAAGGAATCTATCTGAGAAACCACTTTGTAATGTGTGCATTCATCTCGTAGAGTTAAACTTTCCTTTTTAGCCAGAAGTTTGAAAACACTCTTTTTGTAAAATCTGCAAAGGGATAATTCGGAGTGCATTGAGGCCTTTGGTGAAAAATAAAATATCTCGAGATAAAAAAAAGAAAGAAGCTTTCTGAGAAAGTGCTTTGTGATGTTTGCATTCGTCTCACAAGGTTAAACTTTTCTTCTGATTCAGGTGTTTGGAAACTCTGTTTTTGTCCATTCTGCAAAAGTACATTTGGGAGCTCACTGAGGCCAAAAGGGAAAAAGCAAATATCCCAGGATAAAAACTAGAAGGAAGCTATCTGAGAAACTGCTTTGTGATGTGAGCCTTTGCCTCACAGAGATAAACTTTTCTTTTCATTTAGCAGTTTGGAAACACTTTTTTTAAGAATCTGTGAAGGGAAATTTGGGAGCGTGTTAAGGCTTATGGTGAAAAAGGAAATATCTTTAGATAAAAACTAGAAAGAAGGTTTCTGAGAAGCTGCGTTATGATGTGTGCTTTCATCTCACAGAGCTAAACCTTTCTTTTGATTCTGCATTTTTGAAACACTGTTTTGGTCCATTCTGCGAAAGGACATTTAGGATCTCATTGATGCCAATGGCAAAAAGTGAATATCCCACGATAAAAACTAGAAGTAATCTATCTGAGAAACCGCTTTGTGATGTGTGCGTTCATCTAACAGAGTTAACACTTTCTTTTCATACAGCAGTTTGTAAACACTATTTTTGTCCATTCTGTGAATGGACATTTAGGAGCTCAATGAAGACAAGGCAAAAAAGTGAATATCCCAGGACAAAAACTAGAAGGAAGCTATCTGACAAACAACTTTGTGACGCATGCATTCATCTCATAGAGATAAGCCTTTCTTTACATTCAGCAGTTCGGAAACACTGTTTTTGTAGGATCTGTGAAGGGATATTTGGGAGCATATTGAAGCCTATGGTGAAAAAGAAAATATCTTCAGATAAAAAGTAGAAAGAAGCTTTCTGAGAAACAGTCTTATGATGTGTGTATTCATCTCACAGAGTTAAACATTTATTTTCATTCAGCAGTTTGGAAAAACTGTTTTGTCCATTCTGCAAAAGCACATTTTTGAGCTCATCTAGGCCAATGGTGAAAAAGCGAATATCCCAGGATAAAAACTAGAAGAAAGATATCTGAGAAACCGCTTTGTGATGTGTTCACTCATCTCATAGAGTTAAACCTTTCTTTTCATTCAGCAAGTTGGAGACACTGTTTCTATCCATTATGCAAATGGAGATTTGGGAGCTCATTTAGGCCAAAGGCAAAAAGCTGTTATACCAGGATAAAAACTTGAAGGAATCTATCTGAGAAACTGCCTTGTGATATTTGCATTCATCTCACAGAGTTAAATTTTTTTTTTGATTCAGCAGTTTGGAAACACTGTTTTTGTCCATTCTATGAATGGACATTTGGGAGCTCATTGAGGCCAATGGTGAAAAAGCAAATATCCCAGTATAAAATCTAGAAGGAAGCTATCTGAGAAACTGCCTTGGGATGTGTGCATTCTTTTGGCAGATTTAAATCCTTATTTTGATTCAGCAGTTTGGAAAAACTGCTTTTGTCCTTTCTGTGCATGGACATTTGGGACCTCATTCAGGCCAATGGCAAAAAAGCAAATATCGCAGGACAAAAACTAGAATGAAGCTGTGTGAGAAACCACTTTGTGCTTTATGATGTGTGCATTCACCTCGCAGAGTGAAACCCTCCTTTTCATTCAGAAGTTTGGAAACACTGTTTTTGTAGAATCTCTCAATTGATATTTGTGAGTGCATTGAGGCCTATGATGAAAACAAAATATCTTCAGATAAAAACTAGAAAGAAGATTTCTGAGAAACTACTTTGTGATGTGTGCATTCATCTCACAGAGTTTAACCTTTCTTTTTATTAAGTAGTTTGGAAACACTGTTTTTGTCCATTCTGCGAATGGACGTTTTGGAGCTCACCCAAGCCAATTGCAAAAAATCCATTATCCCATGATAAAAACTAGAAGGAATCTACCTGAGATACCACTTAGTGACGTGTGCATTCATCTCACAGAGTTAAACCTCACTTTTCATTCAGCAGGTTGGAAATACTGTTTTTCTCCACTCTATGTATGCATATTTTGGAGCTCATTGAGGTCAAATGCAAAATAGTGAGCATACCTGGATAAAAACTAAAAGGAATCTATCTGAGAAATGGCCTTGTGATGTGTGTATTCATCTCACAGAGTTAAAAAATTTTTTTGACTCAACAGTTTGGAAACACTGTTTTTGTCCATTCTGTGTATGCATATTTGTTAGCTCATTGAGGCCAAAGGTGAAAAAGAGATCATCTCAAGATAAAAGCTGGAAGAAATTTTCTGAGAAACCACTTTCCAATGTGCATTCATCTCACAGAGTGAAACATTTATATTCATTCAGCAGTTTGGAAAAACTGTTTTGTCCATTCTGCGAATGGACATTTGGGAGCTCATTGAGGCCAATGGTGAAAAAACGAATATCCCAGGATAAAACTAGAAGGAAGCTTTGTGAGAAACCACTTTTGGATGTCTGCATACCTCTCAGAGTGAAACCTTTCTTTTGATTCAGCAGTTTGGAAATATTATTTTTGTTCATTCTGTGAATGGACATTTGGGAGCTCTTTGAAGCCAATGTCAAAAAAGTGAGTATTCCGGGATAAAACTAGAAGGAAGTTATCTGAGAAATGACTTTTTGATGTGTACATTTATCTCACAGAGTTAAACAGGCTTTTCATTCACAGTTTGGAAACACTGTTTTTGTAGAGTCTGTGAAGAGATATTTGGGAGTGCACTGAGGCCTGTGTTGGAAAAGAAAATATCTTCAGATAAAAACTGGAAAGAAGCTTTCTTAGAAACTGCTTTGTGATGTGTGCCTTCATCTCACAGAGTTAAAAATTTCATTTGATTCTGAAATTTGGAAACACTATTTTTGTCCATTCTGTGAATAGACATTTCATAGCTCATTGAGGCCAATGGCAAAAAAGCAAATATTCTAGGATGAAAACTAGAAGGAAGCTATCTGATAAAGTGATTTGTGATGTGTGCATTCATCTCTCAGAGGTAAACATTTCTTTTCATATAACAGTTTGGAAACACATTTTTGTCCATTCTGCAAATGGACATATGGGGGCTCATTGAGGCCAATTGCAAAAAACAAAAATCCCATGATGAAAACTAGAAAGAAGCTACCTGAGAAATCGTTTTGTGATGTGTGCATTAATCACTCATAATTAAACCTTTCTTTTTGTTCAGCAGTTTGGAAACACTGTTTTTGTAGAATCTGTGAAGCAATAATTGGGTAATGTTGTGGCCTATGCTTAAGAAGAAAATATCTTTAGATAAAAAATAGAAAGAAGCTTTCTGAGAAACTGCGTTGTGATGTGTGCCTTCATCTCACAGAGTTAAATTTTTTTTTGATTCAGCAGTTTGTAAACACTGCTTTTGTCCTTTCTGTGAATGGATATTTGGGAGCTCATCTAGGCCAGTGGTGAGAAAGCGAATATCCCAGGATAAAAACTAGAAGGAAGCTACGTGAGAAACAGCTTAGTGATATGTGCATTCATCTCATAGAGTTAAATCTTTCTTTTCATTCAGCTGTTTGGAAAGACGGATTTGTCAATTCTGTGAAAGGAGATTTGGGAGCCCGTTGACACTAAAGATGAAAAAGCTAATATACCAGGATAAAAACTAGAAGGAATTTATCTGAGAAACTGCCTTGTGATATGTGCATTCATCTTGCAGGTTTCATTTTTTTTTGATTCGGCACTGTGGAAATGCTGTTTTTGTAGAATCTGAGAAGCAATCTTTTGGATCAGATTGAGGCTAATGATGAAAAAGGAAATATCTTCAGATAAAAATTAGAAAGAATCTTTCTGAGAAACTGCTTTGGGATTTGTGCATGCATCTCACAGAGTTAAACCATTCTTTTGATTCAGCAGTTTGGAAACCCTGTTTTTGTCCATTATATGAATGGACATTTGGGAGCTCTTTGAGGCCAACGGTGAAAAAAAGAATATACCAGGGTAAGAACTGGAAAGAAGCTATTGGAGAAACCACTTTGTCATATGCTCATTCATCTCTCTGAGAAAAATGTTTCTTTTCATTCAGCAGTTTGGAAACACTGTGTTTGTCCATTCTGTGAATTGATTTTTGAGCTCATTGAGGCCAATAGTAAAAAAGCGAATATCCAAAAATAAAAACCCAGAAGGAAGCTATGAGAAATTGCTTTGAGATGTTTGCATTCATCTCGTGGAGTTAAACCATTCTTTTCCTTCAGCAGTTTGGAAACACTATTTTTGATGAATCTGTGAAGAGATATTTGGGGGAGGGCATTGGAGCCTCTGGTGAAAAAGAAAATATCTTCAGCATAAAACTAGAAAGAAGCTTTGTGAGAAACTGCTTTGTGATGTGTTCCTTCATCTCACACAGTTAAACTTTTCTTTTGATTCAGCAATTGGGAACACTGTTTTTCTCCATTTTGTGAATGTACATTTGGCAGCTCATTGAGGCCAATGGTGAAAAAGTGAATATCCCAGGGTAAAAACTAGAAGAAAGCCATCTGAGAAAAAGCTTTGTGATGTCTGCCTTCATCTTGTAGAGGTAATCTTTTCTTTTCATTCAGCAGTTTGGAAACACTGTTTTTGTAGAATCTGTGAAGGGGTAATTGGGAGCACATTTGGTCCCATGGTGAAAAAGAAAATATCTTCAGATTTAAACTAGAAAGAAGCCTTCTGAGAAACTGATTTGTGATAAGTTCCTTCATCTCACAGAGTTAAACCTTTTTTTTGATTCAGCAGTTTGGAAACCGTGTTTTTGTCCCTTCTGTGAATGGACATTTGGGAGCTCATTGAGGCCAATGGAGGAAAAGTGAATATCCCAGGATAAAAACCAGAACTAAGCTACCTGAGAAATAGCTTTGTGATATGTGCATTCGTTGCACACAGATAAATTTTCCTTTTGATTTGGCAGTTTGTAAATACTGTTTTTGCATATTCTGGGAACATACATTTGGGAGCTCATTTAGGCCAATGCTGAAAAAGCAAATATTGCAGGATAAAAACTAGAAGGAAGCGACCTGAGAAATTGCTTTGTGATGTCTGCCTTCTTCTCATAGAGTTAATCCTTTATTTTCATTCATTAGTTTGGAAAAACTGCTTTTATAAAATCTGCTAAGGGGTATTTAGGAGCATAATGGGGCCTATGGTAAAAAAATTATCTTCAGATTAAATCTAGAAAGAAGCTTTCAGAAAAACTTCTTTGTGATGGGTTCCTTCAACTCATAGAGTTAAACCTTTCTTTTGATTCAGCAGTTTGGAAACACTATTTTTGTCTCTTCTGCGAATGCATATTAGGGAGCTCTGAGGCCAATGGCAAAAGAGTGCACATCCCAGGATAAAAACCAGAATGAAGCTATCTGAGAAACCGCTTTTTGATGGTCTCATAGAGTCAATGCTTTCTTTTCATTTAGCAGTTTGGAAACACTTTTTTTAGAACCTACAAAGGCATATTTGGGAGGGCATTGAGGTCTAAGGTGAAAAACAAAATATCTTCAGAAGAAAACTACAATAAAGCTTTCTGAGATACTGCTTTGTGATGTGTGCAATGATCTCGCAGAGTTTAAACTTTCTTTTGATTCAGCAGTTTGCAAACACTGTTTTTTTTTCCATTCAGTGAATGGAGATGTGGGAGATCATTTAGGCCAAAGGTGAAAAAGTGTATATCCCAGGATAAAAACTAGAAGGAAGCTATCTGAGAAACTGCTTTCTGATGTGTGCATTCATCTCGCAGAGGTAAACATTTCTTTTCATTCAGCAGTTTGGAAACACTGTTTTTGTCCATTCTGCGAATGGATTTTGGGAGCTCATTGAGACCAATTGCAGAAAAGAGAATATCCAAAAGTAAAAACCCAGAAGGAAGCTATGAGAAACTGCTTTGGGATGTGTGCATTCATATTGCAGAGTTTAAGTATTCTTTTCCATTAGCAGTTTGGAAACACTGTTTGTGAAGAATTTGTGAAGGGATACTTGGGAGCACATTGAGGCTTATGGTGAAAAGAAAAATATCCTCAGATAAAAATTAGAAGGAAGATTTCTGAGGAACTGCTTTCTGATATGTAATTTCATCTCACAGAGAAACATTTCTTTTGATTCAGCAGTTTGGAAACACTTTTTTTGTAAATTCTGCAAATGGACATTTGGGAGCTCATCAAAGCCAATGGAGAAAAATCGAATATCCCAGGATAAAAACTAAAAGGAATCTATCTGAGAAACCGCTTTTCAATGTGTGCATTCATCTCGTAGTGTTAAACCTTTCCTTTCATTCAGCAGTGTGGAAACAGTGTTTTTGTAGAATCTGGGAAGGAATATTTGGAGCACAATGAGGCCAGTGGAGGAAAAGCAAGTATCCCAGGATAAAAACCAGAGTGAAGCCACCTGAGAAACAGCTTTGTGATGAGTGCATTCATCGCAAACAGATAAACATTTCTTTTCATTAAACCATTTGGAAACACTGTTTTTGTCCATTCTGCAAATGGACATTTTCGAGCCCATTCAGGCCAATGGTGAAAAAGCATATATCCCAGGATAAACTAGAAGGATGCTATCTGAGAAACTGCTTTGTGATGTGTGCATTCAGCTCGCAGAGTTAAACCTTTATTTTCATTCAGCAACTTGGAAACACTGTTTTTGTAGAATCTGTGAAGGGATATTTGGGAGATCATCAATGCCTCTGGTTAAAAAGAAAATATCTTCACACAGAAACTAGAATGAAGCTTTCTTAGAAAATGCTTTCTGATGTGTGTGTTCATCTAACAGAGTTAAACCTTCCTTTTGATTCAGGAGTTTGGAAAAAATTTTTTTTCCCCATTCTTCAAATGGATATTTGGGAGCTAATTGAGACTTCATCCTGTCATAGTGTTAAACTTTGTTTTCATTCAGAGTATGGAAACAGAGTTTTTGTCCATTCTGCAAATGGACATTTGGCAGCTCATTGAGGCAAATGGCAAAAAAGTGAATAACCTAGGATAAAAGCCAAAAGGAACCTTTCTGAGAAACAGCTTTGTGCTGTGTGCATTCGTCTTACAGAGCTAAATCATTCTTTTGATTCAGTATTTTGGAAACACTGCTTTTGTGCATTCTGTGAATGGACTTTCAGGAGCTCTTTGTGGCCAATAGTGTAAAAGTGAATATAACAGGAAAAACGTGAAGGAATCTACCTGAGAAACTGCTCTGTGATTTGTGCATTCATCTCACAGAGTTAAAATTTTCTTTTCATTCAGCAGTTTGGAAACAGTGTTTTTGTCCATTTTGTGAATGGACATTTATGAGATCATTGAGGCCAATTGCCAAAGAGAAAATATCCAAGGATAAAAATGAAAAGAACGCTATCTGAGAAACCGATTTGTGATAAGTGCATTTGTCTCATGACTTAAACATTTCTTTTCATTCAGCAGTTTGGAAACACGGTTTTGTAGAATCTGCAAAGGGATATTTTGGAGCTCATTGAGGCCTATGGTGAAAAGGAAAATATCTTCAGATAAAAACTAGAAAGAAGCTTTCTGAGAAACTGCTTTGTGATGTGTGCATTCATCTCACAAAGCTAAAACTTTGTTTTGATTCAGCAGTTTAGAAACACTGTTTTGGTCCATTCTGCAAATGGACATTTGGGAGCTCATTGAGGTCAGTGGTGAAAAAGCTAATATCCCAGGATAAAAACTAGAAGGAAGATATCTGAGAAACTACTCTGCGATGGGTGCATTGATCCTGCAGTGTTAAACCTTTCTTTTCATTCAGCAGATTGGAAACGCTGTTTTTATAGAATCTGTGAAGGGATATTTGGGATCACAGTGAGGCCTATGGTGAAAAAGAAAATATCTATAGATAAAATCCAGAAAGAAGCGTTCTAAGAAACTGCTTTGTGATGTGTGCATAGATCTCACATAGTTAAATCTTTCTTTTGATTCAGCAGTTTGGAAACACTGTTTTTGCCCATTATGCAAATGGACATTTGGGAGCTCATTGAGACCAATAGTGCAAAAGGGAATATCCCAGGATAAAAACTAGAAGAAAGCTATCTGAGAAACCACGTTGTGTTCTGTTCATTCATCTCACAGAGTTAAATCTTTCTTTTCTTTCAGCAGTGTTGAAACACTCTTTTTTAGAATCTGAGAAGGGATATTTGGGGGCACATTGAGGCCTATGGTGAAAAGGAAATATGATCAGATAAAAACGAGAAAGAAGCTTTCTGAGAAAGTGTTTTGTGATGTGTACATTCGTCTCACTGAGTTAAACCTTCCTTTTGATTTAGCAGTTTGGAAACACTGTTTTGTCCATTCTGCAAATGGACATTTGTGAGCTCATTGAAGCCTACGGTGAAAAAGCGAATACCCCAGGATAAAAACTGGAAGGAAGCTATCTGAGACTCCACTCTGTGATGTGTGCATTGATCCTGCAGAGTTAAATCTTTCTTTTCATTCAGCAGATTGGAAATGCTGTTTTTATAGAATTGCGAAGGGATATTTGGGATCACAGTGAAGCCTATGGTGAAAAAGAAAATAGCTACAGATAAAGAATAGAAAGAAGCGTCCTGAGAAACTGCTTTGTGCTGTATTAATAGATCTCATATAGTTAAATCTTTCTTGTGATTCAGCAGTTTGGAAACACTGTTTTTGCCCATTTTGTGAGTGCACATTTGGGAGCTCATTGAGACCAATGGTGCAAAAGGGAATATCCCAGTGTAAAAACTAGAAGGAAGGTATCTGAGAAACCACGTTGTGGTCTGTTCATTCAAAATCTTCCATTTCTTTCAGCAGTGTTGAAACACTCTTTTTTAGAATCTGAGAGGGGATATTTGGGGGCACATTGAGGCCTATGGTGAAAAGGAAATATGCTCAGATAAAAACGAGAAAGAAGCTTTCTGAGAAAGTGTTTTGTGATGTGTACATTCGTCTCACTGAGTTAAACCTTTCTTTTGATTTAGCAGTTTGGAAACACTGTTTTGTCCATTCTGTGAATGGACATTTTTGAGCTCATTGAAGCCTATGGTGAAAAAGCGAATGCCCCAGGATAAAAACTGGAAGGAAGCTATCTGAGACTCCACTCTGTGATGTGTGCATTGATCCTGGAGAGTTAAATCTTTCTTTTCATTCAGCAGATTGGAAACGCTGTTTTTATAGAATCTGTGAAGGGATATTTGGGATCACAGTGAAGCCTATGGTGAAAAAGAAAATAGCTACAGATAAAAAATAGAAAGAAGCATTCTGAGAAACTGCTTTGTGATGTGTGCATGGATCTCATATAGTTAAATCTTTCTTGTGATTCAGCAGTTTGGAAACCCTGTTTTTGCCCATTCTGTGAATGCACATTTGGGAACTCATTGAGACCAATGGTGCAAAAGGGAATATCCCAGTGTAAAAACTAGAAGGAAGCTATCTGAGAAACCACGTTGTGTTCTGTTCATTCATCTCACAGAGTTAAATCTTTCATTTCTTTCAGCAGTGTTGAAACACTCTTTTTTAGAATCTGAGAAGGGATATTTGGGGGCACATTGAGGCCTATGGTGAAAAAAAATAAGCTCAGATAAAAACCAGAAAGAAGCTTTCTGAGAAAGTGCTTTGTGATGTGTACATTCATCTCACTGAGTTAAACCTTCCTTTTGATTTAGCAGTTTGGAAACACTGTTTTGTCCATTCTGTGAATGGACACTTCTGAGCTCATTGAGGCCTATGCTGAAAAAGGGAATACTGCAGGATAAAAACTAGAAGGAAGCTATCTGAGACTCTGCTTTGTGATGTGTGCATTGATATCACAGAGTGAAACATAACTTTTCATTCAGCAGTTTAGAAACACTTTTTTTGTAGAATCTCTGAAGTGGTATTCAGGAGCTCATTGAGGACAATGGCGGAAAAGTCAATATCTCAAGATATAAACTGGAGGATAGCTATCTTAGAAACCGGTTTGTGATGTGTGCATTCATCTCACAGAGTTAAAACTTTCTTTTCATTCATCAGTTTGCAAACACTGTTTTTGGATAACCTGGGAAGAGATATTTTGGAGCAAATTGAGGCCTATGCTGAAAAAGAAAATGTCTTCAGATAAAAACTAGAAAGAAGCTTTCTGAGAAACTTCTTTGTGATGTGTGCATTCATCTCACAGCGTTAAACCATTCTTTTGATGCAGCAGTTTGGAAACATTGTTCTTGCCCATTCTGTGAAAGGACATTATGGAGCTCATTGAGGCCAATGGTGAAAAAGCGAATATCACAGGATAAAAACTAGAAGGAAGCTATCTGAGGAACCACTTTAAGAAGTGTGCATTCATCACCAGAATTAAACCCTTCTTTTTCTTCAGCAATTTGGAAACACTGTTTTTTTAGAATAGTAAAGGGATACTTGGGAGCGCATTGATGCCTATATTGACAAAGAAAATAACTTCAGATAAAAACTAGAAAGAATCTTTCTGAGAAACTGCTTTGTGATGTGTGCATTCATCTCACAGAGTTAAACCTTACTCTTGACTCACCAATTTGGAAACCCTGTTTTAGTCCATTCTGTGAATGGACATTTTGGAACTCATTAAGTCCCATGGTGAAAAGGGGTATATCCCAGGATAAAAACTAGAAGGAAGCTATCTGAGAAACTTTTTGTGATGTTTGCCTTCATCCCACAGAGTTAAACCTTTCTTTTGATTCAGCAGTTTGGAATCACTGTTTTTGTCCATTCTGCAAATGGACATTTGGGAGCTCATTGAGGCCAAGGGTGAAAGAGCGAACATCCCAGGATAAAAACCAGAAGGAAGCAATCTGAGAAACCACTTCATGATGAGTGCATTCATTTCAGAGCATTAAACCTTTCTTTTGATTCAGCAGTTTGGAAAGACTGTGATTGTCTACTCTGAATGGACATTTGGGAGTTCATTGAGGCCAAAGGCAAAAAAGCGACTCTCCCAGGATAATAATGCAAAGGAAGTTATCTGAGATACTGCTTTGTGATATGTGCATTCACCTTGCAGAGTTAAACCTTTCTTTTCATTTAGGAGTTTGGAAAAACTGTTTTTGTCCATTCTGTGAGTGAATATTTGGGAGCTCATTGAGGCGAATGGTGAAAAAGCAAATAACCCAGGATAAAAACTAAAAGAAATTATCTGAAAAACCGCTTTGTGATGTGTGCATTCATCTCACAGAGTTAAACTTTTTTTCTATCCAGCAGTTTGGAAACACTCTTTTTGTAGAATCTGCGAAGGGATATTTGGGAGCCTAATGAGGCCTATGGTGAAAAAGAAAATATCTTCAGATAAAAACGAGAAAGAAGTTTTCTGAGAAACTGCTTGGTGATGTTTGCATTCACTTCACAGAGATAAACATTTCTTTTTATTTAGCAGTTTGAAAACACTCTTTTTGTCCACTCTGTGAGTGGACATTTTGGAGCTATTTGAGGCCCAAGGCAAAAAAGTGAATATCCTATTATAAAAACTAGAAGAAGCTATCTGAGAAACCGTTTTGTGACTTGTGCTTTCATCTCACAGAGTAAAGCCATACTTTTCATTCAGCAGTTTAGAAACACTGTTTTTGAGGAAACTGCAAATGGATATTTGGGTGCACATTGAAGCCTATTGTGAAAAAGAAAATATCTTCACATAAAAAGTAGAAGGAAACTTTCTGAGATACTCCTTTGTGATGTGTGCATTTATCTCACTTAGTTAAAGCATTCCTTTGACTCGGCAGTGTGGAAACACTGCTTTTGTCCATTCTGTGAGTGGACATTTGGGATCTCACTGACGCCAAAAGGAAAAACTTGAAAATCCCAAGATAAAAAGTAGAAGGAATCCATCTGTGAAACCGCTTTGTGGTGTGTGCATTCATCCCACAAAGTGAAACCTTTCTTGTCATTCAGTAGTTTAGAAACACTTTTTTTGTAGCATCTGCAAAGGGATATTTGGGAGCTCATTGAGGCCTATGGCAAAAAAGGAAATTAGAGAGAAGTTATCTGAGGAAACTCTTTGTGATGTGTGCATTCATCTTGCAGTGTCAAACAGTTCTTTTCACTTGGCAGTTTGGAAAAAGTGTTCTGTCCATTCTGTGAATGGACCTTTGGGAGCTCACTGAGTCCAATGTTGAAAAAGCAAATACCCAAGGATAAAAATTAGAAATAAGCTATCCAAGAAACCGCTTTGTGATATGTGCATTCATCTCACATTGTTAAACTTTTCTTTTCATTTAGCACTTTGGAAACGGTTTTTTTGTCCATTTTGTGAATGGACATTTGAGGGATGATTGAGGTGAATGGCTAAAAAGCAAATATCCCAGCATAAAAACTAGAAAGAAGCTATCTGAGAAACCGCTTTGTGATGTGTGCATTCAATTGAGGAGTTAAATCTTTATTTTCATGCAGCAGTTGGAAAACATTTTTTGGTAGAATCTGCGAATTGACATTTCACAGCTGACTGAGGCCTATTATGGCAAAGAAAATGTCTTCAGGTAATAACTAGAATGTATCTTTCTGAGAAAGTGCTTTGAGATGTATGCATTCATGTCACCGAGTTAAAATTGTCTTATGATTCAGCACCTTGGAACACTGTTTCAGTCCATTCTGCGAATGGATATTTGGGGGCACTGTGAGGCCAATGGTGATAAGGTGAATGTCTCAGGATTAAAACTGAGAGGAAGCTATATGAGAAACCGCTTTCTGATGTGTATATTCATCTTGCAGAGTTAAAACTTTCTTTTCTTTTCGTTCAGCAGTTTGGAAACACTGTTGTTGCCCATTCTGTGATTGGACATTTGGGAGCTCATTGAGAGCAATGGAGAAAAAGGGAATATCCCAGGATAAAAACTAGAAGGAAGCTATCTTCCTTCTAGTAGTGTCTGCAGAGGGATATTTGGGAGCATATTGAGGCCTATGGTGAAAAAGTAAATATCTTCAGATAAAAACTAGAAAGAATCATTCTGAGAAACTTCTTTATGATGTGTGCATTCATCTCACTGAGTTAAACCTTTGTTTTGATTCAGCAGTTTGGAATCACTCTTTTTGTCCATTCTGTGAATGGACATTTGGGAGAAAATTGGGGCCAATGGGGAAAAAGAGAATGTCCAAGGATAAAAAATAAGAGGAATCTATCTGAGAAACTGCTTTGTGATGTGTGCATTCAACTCCCTGAGTTAAACCTTTTTTTCATTAGGCAGTTTGGAGCTACCATTTTTGTAGAATCTGTGAATGGATATTTGGGAGCACGTTGAGGACTATGGTGAAAAAGAAAATGTCCTCGGATAAAATATAGAAAAAAGTTTTCTGTGTGACTGCTTTGTGATGTGTGCATTCAGCTCACAGAGGTGAACCTTTCTTTTGATTCAGCATTTTGGAATCGTTGCTTTTATCCATTCTGCAAATGGATATTAGGGAGCTCATTGAAGCCAAAAGTGAGAAACAAAATGCCCCAATATAAAAACTAAGAGAAAGCTGTCTGAGAAACTTCTTTGTGATGTGTACACTCATCTCGAAGAATTGAACTTTTCTTTTCATTCAACCTTTTGGAAACACTGTTTTTGTCCATTCTGCAAATGGACATTTGGGAGCTCTTTGGGTCCAATGGTGAAAAATCGAATGTCCCATGATAAAAACTATGAAGAACCTATCTGATAAACTGCTTTGTGATGTGTGTATTCATCTGGCTGAGGTAAACCTTTCTTTTTATTCAGCTGTTTGGAAACACTGTATTTGTAGCATCTGCGAAGGGATATTTAGGAGGGCATTGAGGCATGTGGTGAAAAAGAAAATATCTTCAGATAAAAATTATAAAAAAGCTTTCTGAGAAACTGCTTTGTGATGTGTGCTTTGTGATGTGTGCATTCATCTCACAGAGTTAAACCTTTCTCAGTAATATGGAAACTCTCTTTTTGTCCATTGTGTGAAAGCACATTTTGGAGTTCTCTGAGGCCAATGGCAAAGAAAGGGAATACCCCAGGATAAAAACTAGAAGGAAGGTATCTGAGAAACTGCTTTTTGATGTGTTCATTCAGCTCGAGGAGTTAAATCTTTCTTTTCATTCAGCAGTTTAAAGACACTGTTTTTGTAGAACCTGTGAGTGGACATTTAGGAGCTCACTGAGGCCAATGGTGAAAAACAATATAAATTCAGATAAAAACTAGACAGAAATTTCTGAGAAACTACTTTGTGATGTGGGCATTCATCTCACAGAGATAAACCTTTCATTTGATTCAGCAGTGTGGAAAAAGTTTTTGTCCATTCTGTGAATGGACTTTTTGGAGTTCATTCAATCCAATGGTGAAAAGTGAATACCCCAAGATAAAAACTAGAAGGAAGCTATCTGAGAAAGTACTTTCTGATGTGTGCATTCATATCACAGATTTAAAACTTTCATTTTGTTCAGCAGTTTGGAAACACTCTTTTTGCAGAACCTGCAAAAGGATATCTGGGGTTGCTTTGAGGCCTATGGTGATAAGGAAAATATCTTCAGATAAAAACTAGGAAGAATCTCTCTGAGAAACTGCTTTGTGATGAGCACATTCAGCTCACAGTGTTAACCATTTATTTTGATTCAGAAGTTTGGAAACACTCTTTTATCTATTCAGTGAATGGACATTTGGGAGCTTATTGAGGTCAATGGTGAAAAGGCGAATGTCCCAGGATAAGAACTAAGAGGAAGCAATCTGAGAAACTGCTTTTTGATGTGTGTATTCATCTCGTAGAGGTAAACATCTCTTTTAATTCAGCTGTTTGGAAACACTGTTTTTGTAGTATCTTTGAAGTTATATTTTGGAGCACAGTGGGGTCTGTGATGAAAAAGAAAATCTCTTCAACTAAAAATTTGAAAGAAGAAATGTGAGAAACCGCTTCATTATATGTGAATTCATCTCCCTGATTTAAACCTTTTTTTTTCATTCAGCAGTTTGGAAGCACTGTTTTTGAAGAATCTGCAAGGGGATATTTCAGAGTGCATTGAAGCCTATGGTGAAAAACAAAATACCCTCAGATAAAAACTGGAAAAAAACTTTCTGAGAAACTGTTTTGTGATATGTGAATTCATCACACATAGTTAAAATTTTCTTTTGATTCAGTGGTTTGGAAAAACTTTTTTTTTCCATTCTGCGAGTGGACATTTCAGAGCTCATGGAGACCAATGGAGAAACAACGAATATACCAGGATAAAAACTAGAAGGAAGCTATCTGAGAAACAGACTTGCAATGTATGCATTCATCTGGCAGAGTTAAAACTTTCTTTTCATTCAGCAGTTTGGAAATACCGTTTTTGTCCACTGTTTGAATGGATATTTGGGAGCTCATTGAGTCCAATGGTGAAAAATCGAATGTCCCATTATAGAAACTATGAAGAAGCTTTCTGATAAACTTCTTTGTGATGTCTGCATTCACTGCACCTAGGTAAACCTTTCTTTTTATTCAGCTGTTTGGAAACACTGTTTTTTTCATTCTGCGAATGGACATCTGGGACCACATTTAGGCTGATGATGAGAAAGAAAATAACTTCAGAAAAAAAACTGGATAGAAGGTTTCTGAGAAACTGCTTTGTGATGTGTGCATTCATCTCACAGAGTTAAAACATTCCTTTCATTCAGAAGTTTGGAAAAACTGATTTTGTAGAATCTGCGAAGGGATACTTGGGAATGTAATGAGGCATATGTTGAAGAAATATATTCAGATAAAAACTAAAAAGAAATTTTCCGAGAAACTGCTTTGTGATGTGTGCATTCTTCTCACAGAATTAAAACATTCTTTTGATTCAGCAGTTAGGAAACACTGCTATTGTCTTTTCTGTGAATGGACATTTGGGAGCTCATTGAGGCTGGAGGTGAAAAAGTGAATATGCCAGGAAAAAAACTACAATAAGCTGTCTGGGAAGCTGCTTTACAAAGTGTCCATTCATCTCACAAAGTCCTTTAAGCCTTTCTTTTCATTCAGCAGTTTGGAAGCACTGTTTTTGTACAAACTACAAAGGGATATTTGCGAGTGCTTTGAGGCCTATGGTGAAAAGGAAAATACCTTTAGATAAAAAATAGAAAGATGGTTTCTGAGAAACTACCTTGTGAAGTATGCATTCATCTGACAGAGTTAAACCTTACTCTTGATTCAGCTGTTTGGAAACACTGTTTTTCCAATCTGTGAATGGACATTTGGGAGCTCATTGTGGCCCATGGCAAAAACGCATATATCCCAAGACAAAAAGTAGAGGGAAGCTATGTGAGATAGCAATTTGTTATGTGTGCATTCATCTCACAGATTTAAACATTTCCTTTGAGGCAGCAGTTTGGAATCACTGTGTTTGTCCATGATCCGAATGAACATTTGGGAGCTCATTGAGGCCAATGGTGAAAAAGCAAATGTCCCAGGATAAACACGAAAAGGAAGCTATCTGAGACACCACTCTGTGATGTGTACATTCATCACGCAGAGTTAAAACTTCTTTTTCATTCAGCAGTTTGGAAACACTGTTTTGTAGAATCTGTGAAGGAATATTAGCTAGTGCCTTGAGGCCTATGCTGAAAAGGAAAATATCTTCAGATAAAAACTAGACAGAAGATTTTTGATAAACTACTTTGTGATGTGTGCATTCATCTCACAGTGTTAAACCTTTCTTTTCATGCAGCAGTTTGGAATCACTGTGTTTGTCCATACTCTGAATGGATATTTGGGAGCTCATTGAGGCCAATGGTGAAAAAGAAAATATGCCCAGATGAAAACTACAAGGAAGCTATCTGAGAAACCACTTTGTGATGTGTGCATTCATCTCACAGAGTTAAACTTTTTTTTCATTCAGCTGTTTGGAAACGCTGTTTTTGTAGAATCTGCAAAGGGATATTTGGGAGCACATTGAGGCCGATGGTGAAAAATAAAATATCTTCAGATAAAAACTAGAAAGAAGGTTTCTGAGAAACTGCTTTGTGAAGGGTGCCTTCATCTCACAAAGATAAACTTTTCTTTTGATTCCTTGGTTTGGAAACACTGTCCATTCTGTGAATGGACATTTGGAGCTTGTTGAGGCCAATGGTGAAAAAGGGAATATCCTAGGATAAAAACTAGAAGGAAGCACTCTGACAAACCTCTTAATGATTTGTGTTTTCATTTCACAGAGATAAAGATTCTTTTTATACAGCAGTTTGGAAATTGTTTTTGTCCATTCTGCAAATGAACATTTGAGAGCTCACTGAGGCCAACGGGGAAAAATCAAAAATCCCAGATAAAAATGAGAAGGAATCTATCTGAGAAGCTGCTTTGTGATGTGCGCATTCATCCCACATATTGAAACCTTTCTTTTCTTTCTGCAGTTTGGAAACACTGTTTTTGTCCATTCTGTGAATGGACATTTGGGAGCTCATGGAGGCCAAAGGTGAAAAAGTGAATATCCCAGGATGAAAACTAGAAAGAAGCTATATGAGAAATGGCTTTGTGATATGTGCATTCATCCCACAGACTGAAACCTTTATTTTCATTCAGCAGTTTGGAATCACTGTTTTTGTAGTCTCTGCGAGGGGATAGGTGGGAGCACATTGAGACCTCTGGTGAAAAAGAAAGTATCATCAGATAAAAACTAAAAGGAAACTTCTAGTTTGGCCCCAACGCGCTCCCAAGTACACCTTTGCAGATTCTACCAAAACAGTTTTTCCAAACTGCTGAATGAAAAGTTTAACTCTTTGAGGTGAATGTACACATCACAAGGCAGTTTATCAGATAGATTCCTTCTGTTTTTTATCATGGGAGATTCGCTTTTTCACTTTGGGGCTCAAAGAGATCTGAAATGTCCATTCTCTGAATAGATAAAAACGGTGTTTCCAAACTGCTGAATCAAAAGAAAGGTTTAACTTTGTGAGATGAATGCTCACATCACAAAGCTGGTTCTCAGAAAACTTTCTTGTAGTTTTTATCCTGGGATATTCACTTTTTCGCCATTGGCTGCAAAGAGTTCCTAAATGTCCATTCTCCAAATAGATAAAAATGGTGTTTCCAAATTGCTGAATCAAAAGAAAGGTTTAACTCTGTGTGTTGAAAGCGCACATAACAAAGCAGCTTCTCAGAAAGCTTTTTTCTACTTTTTATCTGAAGATATTTTATTTTTCACCATATGCCTTAATATGCTCTAAAATATCCCCTTGCAGATTCCACAAAAACAGTGTTTCCATATTGCTGAAAGAAAATAAGGTTTAATTCTGTGTGATGTATGCACATAACCAAAGCAGTTTCTCATATAGGTTCCTTCCAGTTTTATCAGGGAACATTTGCTACTTAACCTTTGGCCTCCATGAACTCCCAAATGTCCATTCACAGAATGGACAAAAACACTGTTTCCAACTGCTGAATGAAAAGAAAGGTTTAACTCTGTGAGATGAATGCCCACATCCATCACAAAGCAGTTTCTCAGATATTCTTATTCTATATTTACCCTGGGATATTCACTTTCCCCATTGTTTTCAATGAGTTCCCAAATTTCCATTCATAGAATGGACAAAAAGAGGGTTTCCAAATTGCTAAATCAAAACAAATGTTCAACTCTGTGAGATGAATGCACATATCAAAAAGCAGTTTCTCAGAAAGCTTCTGTCTTGTTCTTATCTTAAGATATTTCCTTTTCCACCATACGCCTCAATGCACTTCAAAATATACTCTCACACATTCTACAAAAACACTGTTTCCAAACTTCTGAGTGAAAAGAATGGATTAACTCTGTCAGATGAATGCACACATCTCAAAGCAGTTTCACAATGCTTCTTTTTAGTTTTCATCTGAGGTTATTTTCTTTTTCAAAATAGGCCTCAGCAGGATCCCAAATATCCCTTTGCAGATTCTACAAAAACAGTATTTCCTAACTTCTGAAAGAAATAAAGGTTTAAATCTGCGAGATGAATGCACACATCAAAAAGTGGTTTCACCGTTAGCTTCCTTGTAGTTTTTATCCTGGGATATTCCCATTTTTGCCATTTGACTCAATGAGCTCCATCCATTCACAGAATGGAAATAAACAGTGTTTCCAAACTATTGAATCAAAAGAAAATATTAACTTCATGAGATAAATGCACACATTACAAAGCAGTTTCTCAGAAAGCTTCTTTCTAGATTTTATCTGAAGATATTTTCATTTTCACCATAGACTTCAATGCACATCCAAATATTCCTTTGCAGTTTCTACAAAAACAGTGTTACCAAACAGCAGAATCAAAACAAAGGTTTAACTCTGTGAGGTGAATGCACACATCACAAAGCAGTTTCTCAGATAGCTTCCTTCTAGTGAATAGCCACGGATATTCACTTTTTCGCTATTGGCCTCAATGAGTCCTAAAACGTCCATTCACATAATGTAAAAAAAAAAAAACAGTGTTTCCAAAATGCTGAATCAAAAGAAATGTTTAACACTGTGAGATAAATGCACACATAAAAATGCAGTTTCTCAGAAAGCTTCTTTCTAGTTTTTATCTGAAGGTGTTTCCTTTTTCACCACAGGCCTCAATGCACTGCAAAATATCCCTTTGCAGATTCTGCAAAACAGTGTTTCCAAACTCCTCAATAAGGTTTAATTCTGTGTGAGGTATGCACATAACCGAAGCAGTTTCTCATATAGGTTCCTTCCAGTTTTATCAGGGAACATTTGCTACTTAACTTTGGCCTCCATGAGCTCCCAAATGTCCATTCACAGAATGGACAAAAACAGTGTTTCCAACTGCTGAATGAAAAGAAAGGTTTAACTCTGTGAGATGAATGCCCACATCCATCACAAAGCAGTTTCTCAGATAGCTTCCTCCTAATTGTCATCTGGGGTTATTCCTTTTTCACCACTGTCCTCAACGAGCTCCCAAATGTACATTAGCAGAATGGACAAAAACAGTGTTTCCGGACTGCTTAATCCAAAGAGAGGTTTAACTCTCTGTAATCAATGCACACATCACAGAGCAGTTTGTAGGATTGCTTCCTTCTAGTTTTTATTCTGGGATGTTTCCTTTTTCACCTTTGGCCTCAGTGAGACTACAAATGTTTATTTTCAGAATGGACAAAAAGTGTTTCCAAACTAGTGAATCAAAAGAAAGGTTTAACTCTGTAAGATGAATGAACACATCATAAAGCATTTTCTTATAAAACTACTTTCTAATTCTTATCTGAAGATATTTTCTTTTTTACCATAGATCTCATTGTGCTCCTAAATGTCTCTTCACAGTTTCTACAAAAACAGTGTTTCCAAACTACTTAGTGAAAGACAGTTTTATCTCTGGGATATGAATGCATGCAGCCCAAAGCTGTGTCTCACATGGCTTCCTTCTAGTTTTTATGCTGTTATATCCACTTTTTCATCATTGCCCTCAATGAGCTCCAAAATCTGCTTTTGCAGAATTGGCAAAAACAGTGTTTCAATACTATTAAATCAAAAGAAAGGTTTAATTCTGTGAGATGAATTC